>NC_000002.12:12770803-13077559 GCF_000001405.40 Homo sapiens
TTGGTGTTAGCTCCACTGAAGTGCATTGCTTTCACCTGGAGGGATGCTTTTCATCCACATCCAGACTACCTACAGCATCGCCATTTATAGCCTTCTATGTATTAATACTTTTCCCCATCAAGTTGAACCCCTGGAACTGGTTTCCTTAGTGTGTCGTTTTTATTCTCATCTGCACAATTTTTGTTTTCTCCCCTGAAACTTTGGAAAGTATTTTTGTATTCTTCTATTTCCTGCCGTTTCTTACTAATTTTTCTAAGGAGAATCAGCTGTTCATGCCATCTGGTCACAGGATTCTCAAGAATTAGAGAAGAGTTTTTAGTGATAAGAAATGTCATCATTACTTGCTTCAGGTATGCAGGCAGGAGTGAGGAGATTTAGAGAGGTCTCATGCTTCATCCTGTTGGATTAAGCTGTGGTTTAATACAGGAGCATTGTTTGGAGGTGGTGTTGTACAATCACCCACAGAGATGTAGACACGCTCACACACAAATATACATACACATACGGGCAGAGAATATACAGCAGAATAGGAACGTGGGAGGTCAGCCCTCTAATTCCACTTCTGTCACTAACTTGCAGTGTGACACTAGAATGATGACATCATCCTATAAAGCAGATCATGTGTTCCAATTTTATAGATGAGAGTACTGAGGTGCAGGGTTGTTATTTTTTGCTCTGAATACCACATTTCTATTATATAGACCAGCAAATATTCAAGTTTAGTTTTCCTAGTTCCTGAACTAAATGTTCAAAGTTTAGATCTGAAGGGAGAACCATCATATGGCTCTGTCTTTAACTCAGTGCCTACACTCTTATGATTCCTTTGGGCCGTACTCTCTGGTCCCTCTGCTAAGTAGGTGGTCCTCAAGAAAGAGAAGCCTGACTTACATATTCCACTCATAACTCCATCTGTAGGTACTCAACTCACCTTTCACATTAATTTAGGGCCAACTCCATGCCAGACATAATTGAGACACTTGAGATAAAGAAGAAAAAAAGACAAAATTATCTCATATTATGAATGTACACTGTAGTGGGAGTTTGGGGAAAACGGAATATAAACAAATCATTAAAGGAGATAAATTCAGATGATAATATCAAGAATATAAATGGAGAGATGTGATTCACAATAATATTGGGGATGCTATCTTAGATGGCCTGCTTAAGAAAAACCTCTCAAAAAGATAGCAACAGCTGGATGCTGTGGCTCACACGTGTAATCCCAGCATTTGGGGAGGCTGAGGCAGGTGGATCATTTGAGGTCAGGAGTTCGAGACCAGCCTGGCCAACATGGTGAAACCCCGTCTTTACTAAAAATACAAAAATTAGCTGGGCATGGTGGTGCATGCCTGTAACCCCAGCTACTAGGGAGGTTGAGGCAGGAGAATTGCTTGAACCCAGGGGGGGGAGGTTGCAGTGAGCCAGGATAGTACCATTGCACTCTGTCTCAAAAAAAAAAAAAAAGATATAGCAACTAAGCTGTGAGCTGGAGGATGAGAAGCAACGACTATGAAAAGAATCTGGGAACTCCGGTCCAGGAAGTGGGAAGAGCAGGAGCCAAGGCTCTGAGGTGGGAATAAACTTTGCCTGTTCAGAGAAAGAGTATCCAGGGTTGCTGGACCTTCACAAGTAAGACAGAGGTGATACAATGAGGCTTGGGGAGGTCACACCGGCCTTTAGAGATAGTACAGGGGAAGGCTTAGATTTTTATTTTAGATGTAGTCAGATGACAGAAGATTATTGAGCCTGGGAAATGAATAATTGGATTTTTGTTTTTGAGATAACACTCTGAAACAGAAGGATAGGCTGGGCGCGGTGGCTCACGTCTGTAATCCCAGCACTTTGGGAGGCTGAAGTGGACAGATCACTTGAGGTCAAGAGTTTGAGACCAGCCTGGCCAGCATGGTGAAAACCCATCTCTAGTAAAAATACAAAAATTAGCTGGGCGTAGTGGCGTGCCCCTGTAATCCCAGCTACTCCGGAGGCTGAGGAAGGAGAATTTCTTGAACGTGGTAGGCGGAGGTTTCAGCGAGCCAAGATCATGCCATTGCACTCCAGCCCAGGCAACAGATTGAGACTCCATCTCATAAATAAATAAATAAATAAATATATAAATAAAATGAAACAGAAGGATAGTTTAGGAGGTCACTGCAATAGAATAGATGAGAAATGCTGGCAGCTCTGGCTGAGGGGTGGCAGGGGACACTGGAAAGGCTACAGGGTGGAGCTCAGACACACTGCATGAGGTATTCCAGTGGACTGGATGTGGGAGATGGCCTGTCCTCCTTGTAACAATCGCAATGAACAAGCTTACAAAAACACAGTAAAGATAGAAGGAGTAAGTTCTAGTATTTAATAGTGTAGTAGGAAAATTATAGTTCACGATGATTTATTGTATATTTCAAAATAGTTAGAAGAGAAGGATTGTGATATTTCCAACACAAAGAAATAATACATGTTTGAGGTGATGTATATCCTAATTACCCTGGTTTGGCCATTACACATGGTATACAGGTATCAAAATACCACATGTACCCCCAAACATGTATAAGTATTATATATCAATAAAAAATCAAAAAATAAAATGACCAGAAGAAAATGGGCAACTAAAAGATGGCCTGAAGGAGAAGGCTGAAGAAAAGTGCAAAAGAGACTGAGAGAGAGCAGATCTAGAGGTGGAGGACACCAGGAGAGGCTGTGGTCAAGGAAGAAAAGAGGATAAAGAGAATGGCCAATGGGATGGAAGGGCACTGGATGACCCAGTAAGGAAGTCAAAATGAGAAAGAATAAGTGGAATGAAGTAGTAGGGATGAAGATGGAACTACCATGCCCTGTTGAGTGAATGTGTGGTGAAGAAGTGTCCCCAGAGAATATGGAAACCTTGAAAAGTGTGGCTAGCAAAAGGAAGGGGGCAGTGTATGGTAACCAGAGGAGAACATGAAAGCCTGCCAGAAGGACCCAGTGCAATGTTTGAGCAAAGTTCCTGGGGAGGTGGCAGAGTGGAGATTCCAGCTGAGAGCAATGGCAGAAGGACTGCCTTCTGACACTGAGAAAGACCTACCCCCTGTCGACCCCGGACTCTTTTGACCCTGTTCCTCTCAGGAAACTTTGTTCTCTTTCTGACATCTTAGCTCCTCTTCACTCCCTCCCTCCTGCTCACCTCCTTTGTTTGCCATCAAACCCTGTTGTTTGAAGTGATTGCTCAGAGCCAGGTGTGAGAAAGAAAGCACACGGATTGAATAAGTTTGCACTGGAGTGTCATTGAATAGAGGCCTCCTCATACTTCCTGGGGTGTTCAAATTTTAAAAGAGAGCATAAGTAAACCCAAGCTACATTCTAATAAGTAAAGGATTCTTTAGACAATAAAAAATCTGGGGGTGGTAGACTGATTTTGAGTGATTTATAACCAGAGGCTATCTAGTGATCTAGCTTAAAATCACCCCCAAGGGACATCCACTTTGCTTAACTGTGTCTGAGCCTAGGCCTGTCCTTTTCAAAGCTGCTTTTAAAGATTTCTTAATTATAAATTGTGAGTGTCTTTAACACTGGAAAAACCCCACCTAATATAATATGTATTTTATCAAGTGCTCTAGAGATTTTAGACATTGTTGAGGGTGGGAGTAGGGAGGGAGGGTCCGAAAGCAGGCTGAACATGAAAAACAGGAGGATTCAATTAGGAAAAAAGCCTCCCTATAACCCCCTGGGACTATGCTGCCTCATTCCTGCAGGAGATTCCATCTTTGAAATGTCTTCTCTACAAAACTCCCTCCCCAACCCCCCTTGAAATTTCACAGCTGTGATACAGAGAGACTTTGAAGGGCAGAAAGACAGGGGGATTTTTTTCTTCCTTCATGGTTATATTTAACAGCTAGTTTCCACATGGTATTAATAAACATTTAAACTTCAAAAACTTAACCTGACATTTCTACATCCTTTCTATTGTTGCTATGTTTTTGTCTTATGAAATGTCTTACACAAATGATTTCTTATGGAACACACACTACAAAAGGGTTCACATGCTTCTGGATTCAGAAAGATGTCTGTTTTTTGTTAAAGTCTCTATAGGTGCCCCAGAAATACTGGGGTGGTGATTATTATTCTAGGGACAGGCATCTAAGGATATGAGTCCAAAGACTGGATTGAAACTCCAAGATCTGTACATGGGAGCACAAGAAGTGAAAATCCACATATTCTATTGGCAAAAGAGCCAAAGAGGGCAGTGGTACAGTGAGCACTAGCTTACAACCTTTCATTCAAATCCCAGATATACTACAGGCCACCTGTGTGATCTTGAGTAAGCCACTTAATCATTCTGCCTCAGTTTTCTCATCTCTATGATGAGCATAATTATGCTTTCCTTCAGAGAGCATTGAGATTTAAACTAAATAATGTATTTTAAAAACTTGCACATAGGTGTTGTTCAATAATAATAATTGTGAATGATTTAGCAAGAGTATTCACAGTTACAGAAAGAGAAAGCAGAAGAGCAAGTAGTTGGTGGGTAAAGGGCAGTTGAGTGACAGGTGGAGGCACATGGGTCAGTGTCCAGGCAATTCAGCAGTCCCAGAAGTTATCTAGGAAGTGTGGGACTTAATGCCAGCAAACTTAAGCACAGGGGATGGAGTGGAGAGAGAAACCAGCAGTGAAGACTGAGAGCACCTCAGATTTCTGGAAAGCCCCTGTCTGGAAACCTCTGTCCTGCCTGAAAGGCTATGGGAGGACAGATCCAGGGGTGAGTAGCTTTAGTCTTGTGGCTGGGCAGATGCTGGATATGCTGGCTCTGTCTGCTGCTTGCCTGATCTGGGGTGCCAGACTCTCTACCAGGAACTCCTTTGTGGATAATGTCATCTAAATGAAATTGTGTATCATGGTGACCTCCACTCCATGTGACAATGGGAGCTGGCCTGGGGATGAAGGATAACACTGCATTGAGTAGCGTGGCTCCATTCCCTATCTTCCTGAGGACAAGCAGAGCGAGGGAGCCACTTTGGAAACACTCACGTCTCTAGATGATCATCCTAAGGAACACGACCATCACCTTCTACTGGGGGTAAAGGAAGTGAGGTTTTCGTTTTCAGGATGCCATTCCTCAGAAATCTTCATATCTGCTCTTTTGTTCCATAGCAGTGGGTGATTTAGTTCTGAGAGACAGGTGCTAAGGAGAACAGACAGCGTGGGCTAGAATTTGGCCTCTGCCACCTACTACCTGTGTGATTAGAGGGAGTTTTCTCCTTTCTGGATCTCTGCTTCCTTATATGTTAGAATAGGCCTGCTAATCCCCAATTTATAGGATTGGCAAAGGGGTTGCACTGGAAATCATACACACACACTATTACACGTATGATATTATATAATAATGTATATACATTATGACAAGTTTAAGACAATAACTAGCAAGTAGTAACAGGATAGGGCTTTGCTTTGGTAGCTCTTAAGGTTACTGTGGTTGACCAGTGTAGATCCATAAGCTCATGGGCCTGACTGTCCCTCTGCCTGGGTAAGAGATCCTCTAAGTAAGTGGCTCTGTTCTATTAAGGACCTCAGTGTTCAGGGACACAGACAGGTGAAGGGACATGAGGAGGTCACAGACACTTCATTTTTCTAAAACTGCGCTTTAATCATTCTATTGTCCTGATGAAAACCTTTCACTTGCTCCTGATCACTTTCTGTATAAATTTCCACCTTCTCCTCAGAGTCTACAATGATAAGTGGGATGGGTTCTTGCTCAGTTCTAGCCTAGACCACAGGGAAGCCAGCCTTGATGGGTTAAGCACTCTTTCAAATGTAAACTTTTTATTGCCCTTGGCCCAGGACTATGCTTGTTTGTTTTAGGGCTGTTAGCTCAGTAGATTGTGAACCTTCCAGGATAGAGAGGTCAGTGCATTTCATCTCTGCATGTCCCAAACCTAATAGCTAGCCTGGAAAATATTTGTCCAATAGATAAATGATGGAATAACTTGGTTTTCAGCCCATAGCATCATACTTCTCATAGTGTGATCCTCAGACCACCTGCAGCAACACATCCTTGGGGAGCTTGTTAAAACTGGGAGGTTCTGAGCCTCACCCCAGACTCACAGCTTCTCTCGGGTGGGGCTCTGATATCTGCATTGCTAACAGACTCCTTGTTTCATTATAGTCACACTGATGTTGAGAATCATGACTGTAGCAGATAGAAGCAGACAAAGGCTGCAGAGGCAAACACTGGCAAGGAGCTGCAAACCTGATGGGTGAATGCGGGGAGAGTGGGCAGAGTCAGAACCAACTCACTGCAGAAGTTTTGAACTGATGGTCGTAATAGTCTAATAGACAATCATAATAATGACACCACATCATTAAGAAAAGTTTAAACTCATAGTCAATAATCTCTCTTTAGGAAAACAGTAGTTACGTATAAATCCTTTTAGGAAGATTTCCACCCAAACCTGGAAAAGCTAGAATTGGAAAAGCTGAAAAATGAAAAATGAATTATTTGGAACATTAACTTCCACCAAAAAAAAAAAAGCTTACAGGTGAATTTAATAGGGAATAACTAAAATGCAGCATAGATACTAAGTTTATTTTAGGGACTTTGTTTTTTGCCATTGTCACTTTCACAAATTGACCTCATCAATGGAGCTGATATGGTTTGGCTGTGTCCCCAGCCAAATCTCGTCTTCAGTTGTACTCACCATAATCCTCACAGGTCCTGGGAGGGACCTGGTGAGAGATAATTGAATCGTGGGGGAAGTTTCCCCCATGTTGTTCTCCTGATAGTGAGTGAGTTCTCACAAGATCTGATGGTTTTATATGCATCTGGCATTTTTCCTGCTGGCACTCATACTCTCTCCTGAAGTCCTGTGAAGAGGTGCCTTCTGATATGATTGTAAGTCTCCTGAGGCCTTCCCAGCCATGTGGAACTGTGAGTCAATTAAACGTCTTTCCTTTATAAATTACCTATTCTATGGTGTTTCTTCATAGCAGCGTGAGAATGAACTAATGCAGGAGCCAAACAGAGGAAGAGTCCAGGAGAACCAAGTAACCTATGGATGGGAGTGCTTAGCTTACACTACACAGTACCATGAACAGACTCTGCAGGGAACTCAGAGGCTACAAGTTCTGGGTTCATATCTCACCTTCAGCTCTTCCTTATCCTGGGCCCCTGAGTATCTCTTGCACTCGAAAATGGCAAATGATATTTAAATCACGCAGTTTTATAAGAAGTATGTTTAGTAGTAGGTAAATGCCAGGTGCTTTACCTATATTATTATTATTAAAAAATGATTATTTCCTACATGACAAAACTGAGATTTGAAGAGCATAAGGATTTTCTCACGGATGTTAGCCAGCAAGTGTTGGAGTTCAACTTTGATTCCAGGTTTGTTTCCCTAATGCATGTACCAACGCCCGGCGCCTAGTAGGATATTAATGAATTTAAATTCTTCTTTTCCCATTGCTAACAGGATTCTAAAGTATATTTAAAAAAAAATGCTTGGAGCATCTCAGCAGTCTTTCAAACCACGTTTTTGGCTATACCACAGAAACAGCTAGCATCTCTCTTTCTCTCCCAGATTCTCTCCATCTGGAAATATTATACAAGTCTTTTTCAGGGCACAGGTGACTGCCATGGTGGGAAGGGCCAGATGCTGAAAGAGTGACCTCAAAGGTGACCAGGATCAAAGTGGACATGGGCTTTGTAGATCAAAGGCATTGCCTCCCCCGTGGAGGGGCCCAGAGAGCCAAAGTCCGGGCAATCTGCAAGCCCAGGCTGTGGGATCGTCATGCTCCCGTCGGTTCATTTCCTAATTAGGCAGCCAAGTGCATCAGCTGAGACTTCTGGGTGGTCTGAGTGTGGCTCTCCAGTTGCTAACCATTGCTGGTGCTCTACCGGGGAGGTCTCTAGGCATGCAGAATGGTGGTTGGGCCCAGCCTCAGAGAGAAAGGTCTTACCATTCAGATGAGACAGTTAGCTCCCAGCCATGCAGTCATTATGATTTTAGAGACTTCTGTTGTCCTTAGAAGCCTGCTTTAAATTAGCTGTTAGTTTTATAATTCGGGCTTAAAGAGGTGTTCAGATCCCTAAGCCACTTTCACCTCATAGTGCTAGTTTGCTGGCCTTAATAGACAGCATATCTTTGAAAGGTCTATACTGGCAGAACCATAGGATGACTCCCACACCAGAGCAGCATAAATGATAATTAAAGCTTCCGGTTACTGAGAACTTACTAACGGGATTTTACACGTCACTCTAATCCTCACAAAACTCCTGCTGGTGGGTATGATTATCCCCATGTTATAGATAATAAAACCAAGGCTCAGAAAGACAAAATCACTTTTACGAGAACACATAGCTCAGAAGGTGCGGTATTAAATCAGTCATTTGGATCCCAAGCTTGTGTCTATTATCTTGTGCCACAATAATAATGCGTGGCAAACTACCACAAACCCTCAGTGCCAATTAACACTCAATGTTTATTTTTGCTTACTAGTCTGCAGGGGAGGTGGGAAGTTCTGCTGATCTGGACCAGGCTCCACTGATTGGGACTCAGCTCATTCCTGTGTGTTTGGCCAGCTGCTGGGTTGGCTGGGGTCAGGGTTATCCTGGATGATTTCTGCTTGGATGATTTCTCCCTGCGCCACGTGGCTCTCAGCCCCCCACATGCCAGCCTGGGTTTGTTCTCTGGGAATGGCAGGGGTCCACGCACAAGAGCTTAGGCATATAGCCCTGGGTTTGGAATTGCCACCGTGTTATGTCTATCTCGTTCTATTGGCCAACACAAGGTGTAGATTCAAGCACAGAGAAATAGATTCCATTTGTAGTTGGGAGGTGCTCTAATGTCACACTTGCAAAGATGGTTGAATATAGAGGGGGCATTGATTGGTGCCCTTAACGAAATCATTTTATTACAAAAGCTGTGATCTTTTCACTATGCCAGTGTGCCACACATGTAGAATACTGGAGAGTCGTGTACATTCATTTCTTGTAAAGAAGCTAGAATTTCAATAATGCCTTTCTTTTGGTTTAAGTAGCACATATATCTAAGTTCAAAGATATATAATAAAATTCTGATCTAATTAATTTAAATTATAATTGACACCTAATGAGAAATGGAAGAAAATAAAGTGTACTATTCCCTAGTCATGGTGTTTTAGAATTACAGAGCAAGACCTCTCAGCTCACAGAAGCACTGCCATGGTTTCTCACTGATTTTAACAGAAAATGCAAAGTCCTCTGCTTAGTACTTTAGAATGTTACCCATCTCACCCTTGTCTTCTCTCCCATCCTGTCTCATAGCAGGTCCACCCTTCACCTCAGCTTCCTTCCTCCAGCCATAAAAAGTGGTTTGTTTTCCCCCATATTGCCTCAATCTCTCATGGTCTCTATGTCTGTGCACATGCTGTTCCTTTTGTTTGAGATGTCCTTCCTGTTGTCTTTCTTGGCTAACTCCTACTCATCCTTTATAGCTTGAGGGCACCCTTCTCTGAGCATGACACCTGAGTTTGAGCTGCCTCACCCATCACAGCACTCTTTACACTGTGCCGCCTCGCACCTGCTTGAACCCTCTAGACAGTGAGTTCCTTGGGGGCATGGATGAGTTTCCTGTCTATGTTCCCAGTGCCTCCCCACTCACAGTCGGTGACAAGTAGTTATTTGTCAAATAAATGGAAAAGTGATCCACATACCTTGAATATTATTTATCTTTTTATTATATTTTGAGTTTTAGGGTACATGTGCACAACGTGCAAGTTTGTTACATATGTATACATGTGCCATGTTGGTGTGCTGCACCCATTAACTCGTCATTTAACATTAGGTGTAACACCGCATGTTCTCACTCATAGGTGGGAATTGAACAATGAGAACACATGGACACAGGAAGGGGAACATCACACACTGGGGCCTGTTGTGGGGTGGGGAGGGGGGAGGGATAGCATTAGGAGATATACCTAATATTATTTATTTTTTGAGGAAATAACTTTTATAAATAAATGGTTTTAATTTCACAACTCCTCATGCAATTTATGCAATAAAAATGATATTTTTACCTTAGTTGTTATTTTCCTAAATTGTTCTTTCATGTCATGGGTTTTACGGGCCTTTCTTGGGCCCTTTACACTTGTTCAGTTGGCTGGTTAGCCATCAAGGCCGAATGGAGACACCTATTCATGAAACAAAGCCTCAGTCATTCTGTGGGACATCTTTATGAGCCGTTCCCAGAGTCGCCTTCCAGCCCCAGCTTCATCCTCTTTGTCCCATCTCCCGGGTCTTTCTGAACACTTGGATATTGGCCTTTCATTCCAGAACAGACAGCACTGAACAGGTCATGTAGTTTAAAAAATGAGGGGGAGTACTGGCATTTCAGTAAATAGTTCCATCCTGGAGGGTTTACTGATAAAGTGGTGTGGCATGAAGGATGTCAAGGCTACAAGGAAGAAAAACAAGTGAATCAGTACTGAATTTTCAAGTAATTCATGTATATGTCTATGTAGATTTATGCACACATATTGTCTAAGTATAGCATGTATATATGCATGTTCACATGTCTGTGTATTTAACATATATATATTGAAATGTGTGCATTTATTGCTCTAGCTTTTTATACATATGCATATATGTATATCTCTGTATATATGCATGCATCTGAACATGTGCATCTCTGTATACATATGTGTATATTTGATTTGTGTATTACATACATGTCATGCATTATGCATGCACAGCTCTGATTACCTTTCTACATAAAGGCATAGCAAGGCTCATTCAAATGTATGCATGCACATAAATATATTCATAAATATGTGCATGCATATTTACTATATGTAAATGTAGTGATCTCTGTGTATATATGTGTGATGTAGCCATTTCTCATTATTCATATGAGCAAGTATGCATAAATGTTTTTCTACATATGCAGAAATAGAGACATAAGCACTTGCATGTAGCCTTATCAAGCCTTAGTTTTAAAATATATAACATGGATATTTTTGTAGAGGGAACATAATAAGGAGCAAATTTGAGACATCTTTTTTTATTTTCAAGCATGTCTGGGAAAGTCTTTGCATATAGTAGGCACCCATGAATATCCCTGTTGATTATCTCTTTCAAAATGAACAGGATTTGTGTAGGTAATCTAGTTGCTCAAATAAGCAAACTGAAAATTTCATTGGGTCTCTGAAGACTTGGGTCCTGTCCTGCTCCGCCACTGACCACAGTGTACTTGTCAATTTACATTGCTTCTGCTTGGGTTCTGTTTCTTCCTCTTTAACATGAGAATGCTGTATGAAACAGTTCTCAGATTCTTTGTCGGTGGTAACATGCTTTGCCTTTTTATATTTGGCAGTCCTTAACTGGACACCCAGACTCAGCTCTGCAACATTTTCAGAACTAGAGTTGCATGGACAATGAGAGAAGAACTCCGAAGATTAATTTATTTTGAAGACTCCTATTTGAGATTAGTGATTTCTTGAACAACTTCTCCTCTTCCCACATACATTGATCTCTTCAACTGCAATTCATGAGGTTCATGATGAAGAGAAGTCTTAAAAGAATCAACCACAGACATTCACTAACCCCCCATTATTGCCCAAGTCTGTGCTGTTGGAGGGGATGCAGATGCAAAGTCAGAAGCAGAGAGGGGAATTCCATTCCCATTTTGTCCATTACTAGCTCCTTCCTTTTGAAAGTCACTTGTCTTTTCCCCATATGTAAGAGAAAGATAATAGTACTGCTCTACCTACCCCGAGTCTTGTTACTAGAATCAAATGAGATCATTTATAAGCTTGGTAAAATGCAAAGTGATTTTGCTGAAATGATAAAAGAAAACTCAACTGACGTCTACTGTTTAGATTTATCAAATGTACCAGTAAGGCAAGGCAAACACTTGAGCAGTCACTAATACAGCAATAAATCTCACACACACACGTGACTCCACTAGCAATCTTCTGAGGTAGGGCAGAGGCATTGGAGGGGAGAGAACTTGGTAGAAACCGTGGTCTGGTAAGGCTTCCCAAGGAAGCGGGGGTTGATCTGAGCATTGAGACATGGAAACTTCTATCTATAGTGAAAAGATGTTACAATAACCCCAAAGAAAGGAACCCCCAGGCACAGGGACAGACTGTTCATGCAGACGTCTAGAGTGAGTTTATCAGACACGCCACTGCAGGAGCCTCTGGCAGGTGCTGGGCTAGACTAGGAGATGTTAATGTTGGGTCCATGAGTCTCCCAAGAAATCTGTGGCTGGAATTCAGTCGTTTGTAACCGTGGATGAAAAAATATTCCATCTTTGTTTTCACTAGCCTCCAACTGAAATTCAGCATGCCCTTTACTTTGGAATGTAGGCAACAAACCAGAATTGCATTTGCAGTACCTGTAAAATCAATAGCTATCACATATTTTATATTCTGTTACAGTTGTTGTAGAGATCTCAAAATATTATTTACATTCATCACAACTGCAAAATTATATTTATTAAATCACTGTTAGATTTTTAAAAATGTAATGTGTTAAAGAAACACACATAGTACTATGTCATACCTTTATTTTAATATACATAACAGTAATCCAATAGAATTTTTTCCTTTAAAATTCCTGGTTTTGTTTTAC
This sequence comes from Homo sapiens, assembly GCF_000001405.40. Classification (NCBI taxonomy): domain Eukaryota; kingdom Metazoa; phylum Chordata; class Mammalia; order Primates; family Hominidae; genus Homo; species Homo sapiens. Next base: position 12,783,384 of record NC_000002.12, read on the forward strand.
ACATTTAAAATATTCTCAGAATGGCTTCATAGGCTTTGCCACAGTGTCAAAGGAGCTCCTGGAATGGAAAAGCTAAGAAACCCTGGGTAGCATAAAGGAGAGATATTATCCAAGGTGGCTGAGGATGAGCTGACCCACAAGACCAACTTATGTTCAGATTGTGAAGTTGGAGCTGAGTGTTATGTAACAGATATAAGGAGAGAGGTGAAAATGTTGTGGGAAGAGTAGTCAGGGTAGCAGAAGTCAGAAGTTAGAATTGGGAATGGGTGGAAAGAGTATCACCATCAATTTAGATTTGCACTTGTTCAGGATGAGGTTATTAGCAGTGAACACATGGATTAGAAAAGCTTAAAGGGCTTTATAAGATTTTAGTAGCCATGATATCAATATTGATAGCCAACTTAACTGAGCATTTATGTAGCAGGCACTAATGTTCAGAATCTTACATGGGTAAACTCAGTGAACTCTAATGACTCCATATAGCTCATGTTTAAGAAAATGAAGTTCAAAGAGGTTAATTAACTTTGCCACAGTCAAGCAAATGGTAAAGCTAGGGTTTACACCCAGGGAGTTCAAATACACTGGGAGTGATTGCAAATTAAGAAAGTTTCCTCCAATGCTGATCCTTTAGGTAGGCGAAAGACAGAGGCATTCCTAGAAGGCTGGAGCCCATTTCTAATGGCAGTAAGGTCCCCCAACCTGACTTCCCAACTTCACATATTAATACCAATGAAAGTGCTGGAAGCCATGTCTTGATTAATCCCTTATAAAGGGAAAGAAGTTGGAACCAAACATGGGATTACTAAAGGTCACCACATTGCCACTTGTTGAGGGTAACAGTGCCGGCAGAGCCTCTGGGCTGATTTGTTCTATGTGTTTTAAAGTCTTTCCTTGCCAGGGCCACTTTCTACCATTGTATTGACTGTATTCCTGAGTCACTGTAAGGTGGATCTCAGAGCAGCCCAGGTGACTTAGAGAGTTCTTATTGGAATTGACCAACAAGAAGCCTCATTAAAGCTGGGGGTAAGGTGAGAGATGAGGTTCTGTGGGTAACAGAAATCAGAGGGCAATTACCTTGTAATTATTTTCGAAACAAACATAACAGCAACAACAAAATAACATTGGGATTAGGGCACATATTTCAAATTCAGCACAGTCACCTAATCTCATCTGTTTTCCACTTGAAGTTTAAGAGACTGACCTCCTCGTGAGAAGGACACTACTGAGATCTCACCAACCCTTGTTACCTCCAAAAGTAAGTCAGTATATGGTAGACTTTATCCTTAGAAGGCTTTTCCACATATGAATCCATCTTTCTCTCATGTAACATCCTCTTCAGCACTTGTGTTGGCATCTGATAAAATAATTTTAAATAATTTAAAAATATGAGTCCTTACAAATATCCCCTCTCCCTGCCAACACATACATGTAGTCACACACAAACATACTTTTTAGTTATTAATATTGTATTATTCTGTTCTCAAGCTGCTAATAAAGACATATATGAGACTGGGTAATTTATAAAAAAAATAGGTTTAATGGACTCAAAGTTCCACGTGGCTTGGGAGGCCTCACAATCATGGCAGAAGGTGAAAGGCACGTCTTACATGGCGGCAGGCAAGAAAGAATAAAAGCCAAGTGAAAGGGGAAACCCCTTATAAAACCAACAAACCTCATGAGACTTATTCACTACCCCAAGAACAGTATGGGGGAAACTGCCCCCATGATTCAATTATCTCCCACCAGCTCCCTCTCACAACACATGGGAATTATGGGAATTAAAATTCAAAATGAGATTTGGGTGGGGACACAGCCAAAACATATCATTCTGACCCTAACCCCCACCAAAACTCATGTTCTCACATTTCTAATCCATTCATGACTTCCCAACAGTCCGCGGAAGTCTTAATTTACTTCAGCATTAACTCAAAGGTCCGTAGTCCAAAGTCTCATCTGAGACAAGGCAAGTCCCTCCTGCCTATGAGCTTGTAAAATCAAAAGCATATTAGTTACTTCCTAGATACAATGGGGGTACAGGCATTGGATAAACACACCCATTTCAAATGGGAGAAACTGGCCAGAATGAAGGGCTAAAGGTCCCACACAAGTCTGAAATCCAGTAGGGCAGTCAAATCTTAAAGCTCCAAAATAATCTCCTTTGACTCCATGTCTCACATCCAGGTCACAATATTGCAAAAGGTGAGTTCCCATGGTCTTGGGCAGCTCTGCCCATACGGCTTTGCAGGGTACAGCATCCATCTCGGCTGCTTTCATGGGCTGGCATTGAGTGTTTGCAGCTTTTCCAGGTGCACAGTGCAAGCTGTCAATGGATCTACCATTCTGGGGTCTAGAGGATGGTGGCCCTCTTCTCACAGCTCCATTAGGCAGTGCCCCAGTGGGGACGCTGTGTGGGGTCTCCAATCCCACATTTCCCTTCTGCACTGCTCTAGCAGAGGTTCTCCATGAGGGCTCTTACCCTGCAGCAAACTTCTGCCTGGGCATTCAGGCATTTCTGTACAACCTCTGAAATCTAGGTGGAAGTTCCCAAACCTCAATTCTTGACTTCTGTGCACCCACAGGCTCAACACCACATAGGAGCTGCCAAGGCTTGGGGCTTGCACCCTCTGAAGCCACAGCCTGAGCTGTACTTTGGCTCCTTGTAGCCATGGCTAGAGTGGCTGGGACACAGGACACCAAATCCCTAGGCTGCACACAGCAGGTGGGCCCTAGGCCCTGCCCACAAAACAATTTTTTCCTCCTAGGACTCTGGGCCTGTGATGGGAAGGGCTGCTGTGAAGAAGACCTCTGACATGCCCTGGAGACATTTTCCCTATTGTCTTGGCAATTAACATTTAGCTCCTCATTAATCATGCAAATTTTTGCAGCCAGCTTGAATTTCTCCTCAGAAAATGGGTTTTTCTTTCCTATTACATTGTTAGGCTGCAAAATTTCCAAACTTTTATGCTCTGTTTCCCTTTTAAACTGAATGCTTTTTAACAGCACTCAAGTCACCTCTTGAATGCTTTGCTGCTTAGAAATTTCTTCTGCCAGATGCCCTAAATCATCTCCCTCAAGTTCAAAGTTCCACAGATCTTTAGGGTGGGAGCAAAATGTCACCAGTCTGTTTGCTAAAACATAGCAAGAGTCACCATTTCTCCCCTTCCCAACAAGTTCCTCATCTCCATCTGAGCCCACCTCAGCCTGGATTTCATTGTCCATATCATTATCAGCATTTTGGTCAAAGCCATTCAACAAGTCTCTAGGAAGTTCTAAACTTCCCAACATTTTCCTGTCTTCCTCTGAGCCCTCCAAGTCTCTAGGAAGTTCCAAACGTTCCCACATTTTTCTGTCTTCTGAGCCCTCCAAACTGTCTCAACCTCTATCCGTTACCCAGTTCCAAAGTTGCTTCCACATTTTTGGGTATCTTTACAGCAGTGCCACCAGTAGCAATTTAGTGTGTTAGTCTGTCACATGCTGCTAATAAGGACATACCTGAGACTGGGTAATGTATAAAGAAAAAGAGGTTTAATCGAATCACAGTCCCATGTGGCTGGGAAGGCCTCACAATCGTGGTGGAAGGCAAAAGGTACATCTTACCTGGGGACAAGCAAGAGAGGATGAAAGCCAAGCAAAAGGGGAAACCCCTTATAAGACCAATAGATAACTTGAGACCTATTCACCACCACAAGAACAATATGAGGGAACTGACCCCATGATTCAATTATCTCCCACCAGGTCCTTCCCACAACATGTGGGAATTATGGGAGCTACAGTTCAAGATGATATTTGGGTGGGGACACAGCCAAACCATATCAAATATTGTAGTTATTTTAGGTCTTACTTGATCAAACACAAAAGTCTAACAACGTTAGTTCAATTTTTGTGTAATTCAGTCTCAAAAATTACTGTCTTTTGGTTTCTCAACTTGGGCTTCATTTTGAGAAAAATTATACTTTATTATCATTACTCCTCTTCTCTAATGGGATAGGATATGGGTTATATTGGGTTCTTTTTCTCTGGCCATGTTCTCTGTCATTTCATTTAATCTTCATAATGGCAATATGGGTAGAAATTCTTATTCCAGTTTTACAGATGAGGAAAATGGAATTCAAAAAGACTAAGAGACTTGCATGAGAGCATACTTCCAAGTAAGTGTGAAAGCTAGGCTTCCAATTCTGGTTAATTTATCTCAAAGCATATAAGGCTTACACTACTATACCCTATCTACCTCTCACATAATTTACCACATTATTTTGTAATGCTTACTCATTTGCACCTCCTACAAGTTTTTAGTATCCTACTATGCAGAGAATATAATGTATTTACCTTTGAGTTCCTTGTGTCTAACAGAATGCTTTATTAAGAGTGAACATTTAGTGAATAAATGAATGAATAAATTAATACTAGTAAGTATGACCAGTTTATTCTGCTGAATGACGTACATATTAAAACGATTAGAAACCTATTACCGTCTTAGATCCACTCACCCAAATAAGGCATGTAGGGCTGCATATATGGCTAGCTGGAACCATAGGCAATGATGGGGTGGTTGGAGTCTGTTATTCTCTGTCTTGAGGCAAGCCAGGTGATTCATCACATGGGGTGGGAGAGGATTGTTGGAAAAAGGATCTGAGAGGAAGTTAGGGTCAAAGAGAGGATGTGGAAGTTGAACCATGGTTCACACAAGAACCGGGAACAAATCCAAAGGAAAAGGAGTTCCAAAAGAAAAGAATTTATTTCTCTCTCCTTAGAATTCCATTCCATTGTATGAGCAATGTTTGGAGAAAGGACAGAAGAGAGAAAGGGAAACAGAAAGACAATATTTTCCTAAGTTGTTCTTTGTTAGGCGCTGTAATGGAGTGGAATGAGACCTGGATATGGCGTCAGAGAGACTGGGGCTCAAGAACTGTGCTCTGACATTTATTAGCTGTGGGCAAATAACTTAACATGTTTAAATCTTCATTTCTCATCTGTAAAATATGGTTGATACTATCCAACTTAAAAATCACAGTGCAAATTAAATGAGATAATCGTTGTGAAAATGTCTAGCATGGTGTCAGCCACGTATTAAATGTTCCGAGAGTGTTTACATAGATGACTAAGAAAAGCTTTAGTCTTCCTAAATATTTTCCAGGAAAGACTATCATGATGGGAACTGTTGGACAGGCAAGTCAGTAAATAGCAAGAAGGACTTGACCTTCTGTGTCTCCGGGATCCCACAGTTGCATAGACTTGGTGAGAGACTAATATGAAACAAATGTGTACTAGAAATATATTTTCTAAGCAAGCTCTCTTCCTGAGGAGCTGGGGAAGAGATTAAATCCTTTTCTGCCTGCATTCAACATGGATCTCCTGAATGGTGGTTGGCTGCCAAGCACTGTCTTGGACCTGGACAGACAAAGATGCAAAGACAGTGCTCCAGTTCTCTAAGGAATTGTGGTCTGTGGAGTCAGAAGGATATTTAGTGAGTGTTTTTCTATGTTGGGGAGGGCTGCTATATTGATTAAATTATGCATTCAGACACAAGTCACAGTTTTTGAGCTCCTTCATTGTTGTTATTTTTACACACACGTTTTCCAATTTAATTCTCACTAAAATGCCTCATGTTGTCATATCCATCTCTGCATTAGATGACAAGATGAAAACACAGAAACTAGGCATTGGTTTTAAGTTATTAAATTATAGGAGAAATGATCCAATTTAAAAATCAATGTTTTATATGTAAAGGGCAATCATGAAAAATATCCACACAAAATCTTGGAAAATATTAATATAATTATTCAGTTTATTTAGAGAAATGAGTAAGTTTTTCCTAACTGCTCTCACTGCAAACCCCAAAATGAAAAAAACAAAGTTAGAGGCAAATACTTTACATTGGATTGATACTAGGGGATGAATGTGAACCTCAACAATAACACTTCAATAAGTGGTATTTTACATTAAGCAGTTTTTCTTTTGAAAATATCTATTTTGACTTGACACCAAGTTTAAACTGATTCCATATTCAATACCTCTCTTTATACACCATAGATTCCTCACTTTTGACATCTTTAGTTTGATTCTTTTTTAAATTAACTTATTTTTTCTATTATTATACTTTAAGTTTTAGGGTACATGTGCACAACATGCAGGTTTGTTACATATGTATACATGTGCCATGTTGGTGTGCTGCACCAATTCACTCGTCATTTAGCATTAGGTATATCTCCTAATGCTATCCCTCCCCGCCTCCCCCCTCCCCACAACAGTCCCTGGTGTGTGATGTTCCCCTTCCTGTGTCCATGTGTTCTCTTTGTTCAGTTCCCACCGATGAGAACATGCGGTGTTTGGTTTTTTGTCCTTGTGATAGTTTGCTGAGAATGATGGTTTCCAGCTTCTTCCATGTCCCTACAAAGGACATTAACTCATCCTTTTTTATGGCTGCATAGTATTCCATGGTGTATATGTGCCACATTTTCTTAATCCAGTCTATCATTGTTGGACATTTGGGTTGGTTCCAAGTCTTTGCTATTGTGAATAGTGCCGTAATAAACATACATATGCATGTGTCTTTATAGCAGCATGATTTATAATCCTTTGGGTATATACCCAGTAATGGGATGGCTGGGTCAAATGGTATTTCTAGTTCTAGATCCCTGAAGAATCGCCACACCGACTTCCACAATGATTGAACTAGTTTGCAGTCCCACCAACAGTGTAAAAGTGTTCCTGTTTCTCCACATCCTCTCCAGCACCTGTTGTTTCCTGACTTTTTAATGATCACCATTCTAACTGGTGTGAGATGGTATCTCATTGTGGTTTTGATTTGCATTTATCTGATGGCCAGTGATGATGCGCATTTTTTCATGTGTTTTTTGGCTGCATGAATGTCTTCTTTTGAGAATTGTCTGTTCATATCCTTCGCCCACTTTTTGATGGGGTTGTTTGTTTTTTTTCTTGTAAATTTGTCTGAGTTCATTGTAGATTCTGGATATTAGCCCTTTGTCAGATGAGTAGGTTGCAAAAATTTTCTCCTATTCTGTAGGTTGCCTGTTCACTCTCATGGTGGTTATTTTAAGCACGTATTCAGGATCACAAATGTTCTAGTTTTTAAGATCTTTTATGATGAGGATCATTTCATTGTTGTTGTCTTGATGTATAGTGACATTGCCAGTTAAAAAATTTGGGTCTTACAACCTTCCTTTCAAATCTTTGCAGATTTTTAAAATATTGTATGCTCATTTCTAATATTGCTGAAGAGTTATCTAAAGTCAGCACAATTTAATTTCCTTTATTAGTAATCCTAGTCTAGAAACTGTTTTCTGGAAAAAAGAAACTTCTTTATACTTGAAGTTTGCTAACTTCAATCAAAATATGCTTTTTTCTGTTTAATTTTTTTCCTGTAATACTATGTATATTAGTTTTTGCTGCAATACTACAGTAAACTCCAACAATATCGTACAACAACCAAAAGCATTGATATCTGATGAGCTCATAGGTTTCTGACTTTCCTGAGAGTCAGCTGAACTCTGCTGTTCATCTCCCTGCTCATCTCCCACCTCCAGGCTGGGTCCTGTGCTTCATGTGTCTTCATTCTGGAGTGGAGGGTGAAGTAGCCTTAATACCTGGAGTATGTCTTTCTCACCAAATAGTTAGAAGTTCAAAACGGTGAATAAAAACATGTGATGCTTCTGTAGACTTTGGAATGGAATAGGTTACTATCATTTCTGCCTATATTCAAGGCAAATGCTATGATGAGCTTCAAAGTCAGCAGGAGAGGGGACACATTCCTAGCCTATGGTGGTGGGTGGGAGTGTGGTGGGATGGGAGTCAGTCTTCCTTTAGCTCAGTGAGCCTTTTATTATATATTTAGATTTCCCTCCCATGTGCTCTGTTATCTTTTTCAGACCACAGTTAACAAGACGTTGAATCTCTATAGACTATTTTTTATACCTTCCTTTTTATTCCCAAATTTTTTTATATTTATCTTTTTATTTCCCTTCTCTGCCATTTTCAGGACTGAAGAAGTATAAACTAGATGATTAAACAGACAAAATTAAGAGATAGAAGTATTGACATGTAGGAGGCAAATTTATCATTATTTTCTGATGGAAAATTATCAATCTAGAAATCCAAAAAAGGTCAACTGAAATTGCTTTATAAAGCTTTGGTAATTGTAAATTTCCTGGCCACAAAATATTTACAAATTAATAACTTTCACATATGACAATAATTACATAGTAAATGTGAAAGAATTCCTGATTATAACAATATTAAAGATAGGACATAATTTGATACTAGCTTAAATACACATATTTACAACCTATATGAACAAAATTATAAAACTCTTTAGAGAGACACAAAACAAAATTTAAATACATTGTATTGAATGGAAAAAATCTCAATACCATGAAGGTGCCAGTTATCTCTAAATTAATCTTCATATTCAATGTAGTGGCATCATAAATTTTAGTGAAATAGCAAAAAAAATTTCAATTCCTCTCAAAGAATAAGCTAATTAAAGTGCTCACAACATTTTTGGAAAAGTAAGAATAATGAAGGAAGATTTGCTCCATCAAATATGTACACTTAAGATAATGCCATTACAATGAAGAGACCTTGATGTTGAGATGGAAGCTCGTCAACTCAGTGAAACAAAACCCATAATTCTTATATCTGCATGTGTGTGATGAGACTGAATGAGTCATAAAGGTGATACTTGAAATAATGAGAAATCTTGCTTAGTCAGTAAATATTTTTAGGGAAAATAACTTGGGGGAGGCATGGAAAAAGAATAGGTTCTCGTCCTTGATTCACTGCTAATATACATAATAAATTCAAAATTTAATTAAGTTTACTAAAAAAAAAATTCTATAAACCCACTAGAAGAAAATATTGGAAACGTTATAATTAAGGTTTGGAAGAGATTTCTAAATTTCCTACAAAACCCAGAAAGTATAAAAACAAGGTATCATAGATTTTAGTATATTGCAATTCAAACTTCTGAATAACAGAAAACACCATAATTGTAGTTAAAGTAAAAGAGGTTTGATAAAATCTTAGTCACATATATGACATCATGTGTAAAAGCTGTTATAAAATGATAAGTAAAAAGGAAATTAACATTGCAATTAAAAAAGATGAAAGATTTCAGTTGGCAATTTATAAAAGAAGAAAATACAAATGGCCACTAACATTTAAAAACACTCAGTTTCATTAACATATTTTTAAAAAGTTACAGCTTTAATAGAAAATGAACTGGCATAAACAGGTTGGGGAACAAACATGGCAGACATAGTTGTAACAGAGACCAAAGGCCTTATGGCCTGAAAGCCTAAAATACTTACTGTCTGGCCCTTTACAATAACAGTTTGCTTAGGTTTTCCCCTAGAAGAAAACCTAGGCAATACCATTCAGGACATAGGCATGGGCAAGGACTTCATGACTAAAACACAAAAAGCAATGGCAACAAAAGCCAAAATTGACAAATGGGATCTAATTAAACTAAAGAGCTTCTGCACAGCAAAAGAAACTACCATCACAGTGAATAGGCGACAAATAGAATGGGAGAAAATTTTTGTAATCTATTCATCTGACAAAGAGCTAATATCCAGAATCTACAAAGAACTTAAACAAATTTACAAGAAAAAAACAAACAACCCCATCAAAAAGTGGGTAAAGGATATGAACAGACACTTCTCAAAAGAAGACATTTATGCAGCCAACACACATATGAAAAAAAGCTCATCATCACTGGTCATTAGAGAAATGCAAATCAAAACCACAATGAGATACCATCTCATGCCAGTTAGAATGGCGATCATTAAAAAGTCAGGAAACAACAGATGCTGGAGAGGATGTGGAGAAATAGGAACAGTTTTACACTGTTGGTGGGAGTGTAAATTAGTTCAACCATTGTGGAAGACAGTGTGGCAACTCCTCAAGGGTCTAGAACTAGAAATGCCATTTGACCCAGCAATCTCATTACTAGGTATATACCCAAAGGATTATAAATCATTCTACTATAAAGACACATGTACATGTATGTTTATTGTGGCACTATTCACAATAGCAAAGACTTGGAGCCAACCCATCAATGCCCATCAATGATACACTGGATAAAGAAAATGGGCACATATATACCATGGAATACTATGCAGCCATAAAAATGGATGAGTTCATGTCCTTTGCAGAAACATGGATGATGCTGGAAACCATTATTCTCAGCAAACGAACACAAGAACATAAAAGCAAACACTGCATGTTCTCATTCATAAGTGGGAGTTGAACAAGGAGAACACATGGACACAGGGACACCGGGGCCTGTTAGGGGGTGGGGGGCTAGGGGAGGGATAGCATTAGCAAAAATACCTAATGTAGATGATGGGTTGATGGGTGCAGCAAACCACCATGGCACGTGTATACCTATGTAACATGGCTGCATGTTCTGCACATGTATCCCATAACTTAAAGTATAATAAAAAAACTTTTTTTAAATGTGTATTTTTTTTTTTTTTTACCAATACTTGAGTCCCTCCACTTAACCGACAATATAGCAGACTATTCTTGAGTAGGATGGTACTCTTCTCTTCCACCAGCTAAACTGACATTTACCAATTTAGTCATGTTTGTTCCCCAACCTGTTTATACTATTTCCTTTTTTTTTTTTTTGTGATGGAGTCGCACTCTGTCACCTGGGCTGGAGTGCAGTGGAGCGATCTCGGCTCACTGCAACCTCTGCCTCCCGGGTTCAAGAGATTCTCCTTCCTCAGCCTCCCAAGTAGCTGGGGCTACAGATGCCTGTCACCACGTCCAGCTAACTTTTTGTATTTTTAGTGGGGAAGGGTTTTCACCATGTTGGCCAGGCTGGTCTCGAACTCCTGACCTCGTGATTGGCCCACTTTGGCCTCCCAAAGTGCTGGGATTACAGGAGTGAGCCACCGCGCCCAGTCTATTTTCTATTTCAGTTATTTAATTTAATTTCATATATTTAAAACAAGTGAATGCAAAATACAGACCATACTGCTGTGAAGTTGAACGCTTTGGAGAGTTTCTGAATGTGTGAATAAATTTAAAAAAAATATTGAACTAGACATGTGAAAGACAACTATAAAAATGTAGAATAGAATAAAAGAAAGCATTTAGATCCTGAAGTATTCTGTACAAAAATCACTCCACAAGTGCTTTGAAGTTCCTGTATTCTGTAAAGAAATTAAAATTGAAAATGACGGAGAATTAATTACAATTCTTTTCTAGGCCACAAGGAAAATAGTAATTGGACAAAAGTTTTGAAAGGTCCTTGAGCTACATCTAAAGACTGGCCTACCGCAAGTTTAATAGCAAATGTGTGAAGGCTTAGCTGGTGGGAAAAACTTCATGGTGTCTATATATGTCATACTAGAAAGAATGTTTTGGTCTAATTAACCTATTCAAACATTTACAAAAAATTGGAGTCATTTTTCAATGGAGAAATCTTTTTTTTTTCTTGAGATGGAGTCTTACACTGTCACACAGGCTGTATTTAGTGCAGAGGCATGATCTCAGTTCACTGCAACCTCCGCCTCCTGGGTTCAAGCTATTCTCCTGCCTCAGCCTCCAGAGTAGCTGGGATTAGAGGCACATACCACCATGCCCAGCTAATTTTTGTCTTTTTAGTGGAGACGGGGTTTCACCATGTTGGCCAGGCTGGTCTTGAACTCCTGACCTCAAGTGATGCACCTGCCTCGGCCTCCCAAAGTGTTGGGATTGCAGGCGTGAGCCACCACATCCGGCTGAGAACTCTTGATCAAAGAAAAACTCTACGACTAGATAAAACAGGTTTAAATTACAAATTATCATCTGCAAGAAGAATGGCATACCAAATAGAGCAAAAAACCCCGGGAAACCAAAATTCCAAAGAAGAATATTTCATACAAAAAATAGGTTAAAACTCACAAGTTGTCATTTCTTGATTTTAGTAAATTAAAGAATCCTACCTCTTTTAAAATTTAACATTAAATCATGTATCATTATCAGTTCCCTGATGCTGTAAAAATCAGCCAAGAGGGATTCAGAATGTTAAAGGAACGTTTTTTGTTTACTTTTATAGATTTATACATTAAACTTATCTGAACAACTTCCTATCTCAATTATGCTGAACCTAAAAAGGAAGATGTAGAGGCCATGTTTTCGCCAGTTTCTGCAGTTCTAGAATGCTCAGTGAAATGCTACTCAAAAGAGATTTTTGTTGTTTTAGAAAACACAGGAAACATGTCACGGCTGTAAGCCCAGCAGTTTGGGAGGCCAAGGCAGGCGGATCAAAAGGTCAGGAGTTTGAGACCAGCCTGGCCAACATAGTGAAACCCTGTCTCAACTAAAAATACATCCTCATTTATTTGATGTGATGTGGTGGCAAGCGCCTGTAGTCCCAGCTACTCAGGAGGCTGAGGCAGGAGAATCGCTTGAACCGGGGAGGCAGAGGTTGCAGTGAGACAAAATCTCACCACTGCACTCCGGTTTGGGCAACAGAGCAAGACTTCTTCTCAAAAAAGAAAAAAAGACAATAAAACATAGGAAACATAAATATGTGTCTTGAAAAATCATTTAAAGTTATCAACTTTGCTGTTATTTTTTACAATGCAGCATTGGCATGGAATGCATTTTCTAGTATGTCTGTAACCATGACTTCAAGAAACTGTGGTCTGAAGTTGACTCTGCTGCAGGAAACTCTGAACTATGAGACAAAATAAAGGACATAATTTGTTAACGGACCTCAAACCAAATGGATTATTTATTGCCTGTTTCCACCTCTGGAATATAAGAGCTCCAAAAGACAGAATTTTATGTGTCTCCTTCACTCTGGTGTCTAGATTCATATTTAGTCCATTGTTAGTATCAAATATTTGTTCAATAACTGAGAAAGACATTAAAATATCTGATGTCTGAGGTCCTGGCAGTAATATTATTCTATGGGATTATTGTTGTGTACTAGGAAGAGCATACCATGGAATTGGAATAGGAATTCCTACTCTGTACTTTCTTGTTGTGTGATCTTGGTTATTTTGCCCATGGACTTCAACTTTCTCATCTGTTAAACAAGAATGAGACATTTTAGGCTTGTTGATTAGATTAATTGAAATAATACGTGTAATTTAACTAGTATATAGAAAGTTATTAATAAATGGTAGAAATGGTGACCATCACGATGATGATGGTAGTGGTGGTAATGGTCCTATTGCGGGTGTAGGAATCTAAACATTCACTGAGTGTCATTGGTGAGCAGGGTACTTTTCTAGTCTTCAGACAGCACTTCCATGCTCAGAAAAGGCCACGCTCTCAGAGAGGAATTGCTCAGCCCAGAAACAGTTCTTCAGTGGGTCACATTGCAGAAGCACTGCTTTGGCGAGCCTAACAAAGGGGTCATTATTCTCATCCACAGACAGCGCCAAGAAGGTCCTGGGTGGTCTAGAATACAGGAGACAGATAATGTAATGACTCCATTCATCAAAAGTTGAGCATGCACACCAGCTGCCCGCCAGCTGGAAAATGAGGCTCCTCTCCCTTCTGAGGATAATTTACTTCTGCTGGAGAGACTCAGCAATACCCTTCACCTTAAGGGACCAACTGAATTCCAATAGTGTCATGTAACATCATGCTGACCCAGCAATGGGACTCAAAGGGAAAGCAAAATAAAACAACCAAACCAAGGGAAAATAGCAGTTACTCCTCATGTTAGAAAAAAAAAAAAAAAAAAGAACAAACAAGTAACACTGCCCCTTCTATAAATTTGATATATTTTTATTTTGTGAATAGTTGATAGTCTATAAATGAAATTCTATTTCTTTTCTTTGGTCATTAGGAAATATAATGTTAAATTTTGGTCCTCATCTAACCAGAGTACAAGAGACTAGTGCATGCATTTCTTTATGGAGGACTTCTACTACTTTTAGTGTTTTCCCACTTTTCAACTTTAATATAGCCCATGACCCACAATTATTAACTTCAAATTTTTATTTTGGATTTAATGAGACCCTGATTTAACACCTAATGTGTCATAAAACCAATAGCTATGTCTCTCAATTGAACTTAAAAACAATATCTTCTTCTTACGTTTTTTCTGCAAGTTGAAAAATTGAGTTTTTTCATTCAATTTATTAAATGTTTTCTAAATTCCAATCAATGGCAAGCATATTGTAAGTGAATTATCACATGTAATCTTCATGACAACTCGTTATGTGGGCTCTATTTTTTTTTACATATTCAGATGATGTTCCTGAGACTTAGAGAAGTTAAGTAATTAGTCAACTTCCCATAGTTTGAAACTGATGGATCCAGAATTTGAACCAGGGTCTGTCTGAAACCAGAGTCTAAGTCCTGAAACATTTTGTTGAATAACTCCTGTTTCTGCCTAAACTTATTTGTTATTTAGTGATAGTCAAAGCTGAATAGGTCTGTGCATAATCAGATTCCAGGTAAAACACATCTGGAGTTTGTGAGGCTTTATGAGCTAGCCAATGTTATTTGTTGATTTGAAAAGAAAGCTTTAACTCCTCCTTCTGAAAGAACATGTGCCTGCTCACACATAAAAAACACAAAGCAGTTCAGGAATTGGGTGTTGCAGTCCCCAAGGTAAAATAAAAACTACAATAGAACATGAAGAAGCAATGTCATGGAAATAATGAAGGCTTTTTGGCATGGTTTTCTTGCAAGGAGGAAATGATTCATGAGACAGAAATAAGGAAGTGGAAGAAACGAGATTTCACTCTTGGAAAGTAATAGAGGATGAAAATGACCTGTGAGGCGGAAAAAGTTAAATGCGAAAGCTCTGAGCTTAGAATTGTAGAAAGAAAGAAACTCTGAAGAGTAACTTTTAGGATATGTTAACTATGTTGGTATCTGACTCTTTTTCCAGGAGTAGGCTCCTTTCTGCTCATAATATTTTATGATCTAGGAAGAAAGATTATCTGCACCCCAACATGGAAATAACCCCATTAATTAGGAGAAATTCAATCTTTCAGGAAAGGAATCATCTGTTTTAGTTAGTTTCCATAAACATGGATATCTGACCACTGTTTTTGCCATTAGTATAGTCAGGTTTTTATATAAACTCATAATAAGTCATTAATGTCTTATTATTTCCAATACTTTCCTATGGGACATCTCTAACCACCAGCCCATAGGAATGATGCCCTCCTGGACGCCATTAGGACTGTTTCTGTATGTCTGCTGCTGATATTTTGGAGGCTGGTCACCCCTTGTGAGTTGGTCCAGTCTTTGCATCACTTCCATTTTTCTACTTGATCCATGACACCTCCAAATAACCCTGGTGCTAATCACAGGAAACCAGTTACCGAATCCCTTTGACCTTATTCCAATGGCAAGTAGTCAACGAAAAAAAATCAATGGTGCTTGCATCCCTTAGGTAATACTATCACACTGACACTAAAAGGGTTTCTCACCAAACTGAAAGAGCTTTGAAGAAGAAAAGATTTTTATTTAATTGGAAAATATTTTTAATAGTAGAAACTGAGATTGAGGTCATGGAATTAAGAAAAGAGGGTTTGCTTGAAAAATGGCAGATTGGCCAAGACATCTATAAGGAAAATGCGACCAATTTGTGAGGCAAAAATCCTAGTGTGAGATAGACTAACATGTAGTACATTTTAAAATAATGATCAGGCTACAAATTATGGGAGACCCATTAAGGGTAGGAAGCGAGAGAGAGACAGAGAGTGAGAATAAAGAGGAGCAGGAGGAATAACAAGGAGGAGGAGAACATCCCAGAGAAAGTCAGAGAGCTCAGTTTCCTAAGCAATTAGAAAAGGAGGATGCCTGTGTATTTTTTAGTAGCCAGCTAGAGTGTTATCTGCCAACCAGTCTATAACTACATCTGTTTATCCATTTAACAAACTGATCATGGACCAGTATGCTTAAAGACAGGGCCACCAGTGCTGACCTTACTACCTTTCTACAGGCCAACTAATATGAAGACATTTAGTTACTAGTATGTCTCACCTATCTGCATTCTACAGAGCAGTCAAGTGTCAAAGGGGAAGCCACAATAGCCATAGAGACATTGAGCATCAAAAGTCAGAATAAACTACTAATTAGATACGGAGATGGCAGAGCAAGCATTTATGGCAAGTATTGGTAAGGCAAGTAATAGGTCCAAAAAGAATTGTCCCAGCCTTCCACAGGCTTGTCTATCCCCCTACATAGCTGTTTCGTGAACTTGATGACTACCCACTTTCCCTTCAATGTGTGTAAGAGTCATCTGAGGATCCTGTTGACAAACAGATTTTATATCATACAAGAATCAGTAGTATTCCTATACACCAAAACCAGCCAACGTGACAGCCAAATGAAGAATGCGATCCCATTCACAATTGCCACAAAAAATAAGATATTTGAGAATACAGCTAACAGGGAGGTGAAATATATCTACAATGAGAATTACAAAACGGTGCTCACAGAAATCAGAGATGACACAAATGGAAAAACATTCCATGTTTATGAATAGGAAGAATCAATATCATTAATGTGGCCATACTGCCCAAAGCAACGTACAGATTCAGTGTTATTCCTACCAAACTACCAATGACATTCTTCACAGAACTAGAAGAAACTATTTTAAAATTCACATGGAACCAAAAGAGAGCCTAAATAGCCAAGGCAATCCTAAGCAAAAAAAATAAATAAATAAATAAAAATAAAATAAATAAATAAATAAATAAAAAATAAAAGTCCAAGGCTGGAGGTATCATGCTACCTGACTTCAAGCTATACTACAGGACTACAGTAACCAAAATAGAATTGGTACTAGTACAAAAACAGATACATAGACCAATGGAACAGAATAGAGAGCCCGGAAGTAATGGCACACCACACACATATAACCATCTGATCTTTGACAAAGTTGACAAAAACAAGCATGGGGAAAGGACTCCTTATTCAATAAATGGTGCTGAGAAAACTGGCTAGCCATATGCAGAAGACTGAAACTGAACTCCTTTCTTACACAATACCCAAAAATCAACTCAAGATAGATTTAAGACTAAAATGTAAAACTCAAAACTATGAAAGCCCTGTAAGATAACCTAGGAAACATCATTCTGGACATAGGAACTGTCAAAGATTTCATGATGAAAATGCCAAAAGCAATCACAACAAAAGTAAAAATTGACAAATGGGATCTAATTAAACTCTTTAAGCTTCTGCACTGGAAAAGAAACTATCAACTATCTGTATCAACCTACTGAATGGGAGAAAATATTTGAAAACTATGCATCTGACGAAGGGCTAATATCCAGCACCTATAAAAAACTTAAAATAAATTTACAAGGAAAAAACAACCCCATTAAAAAGTGGACAAAGGACATTAACAGACGCTTTTCTAAAGAAGCCATACATGTGACCAACGAGCATACAATAAAAAGCTTAGCATCACTGATCATTAGAGAAATGCAAATAAAACCCCCAAAGATACACCCTCTCACATCAGTCAGAATGGATGCTATCAAAAAGTAGAAAAATAACAGATTCCGGCAAAGTTGTGGAGAAAAGGGGACGCTTATACATGGTTGGCGGGAGTGTACATTAGTTCAACCATTGTGGGAAAGCACTGTGGTGATTTCTTAAAAAGCTGAAAACAGAAACACCATTTGACCCAGTAATACCATTACTGGGTATATACCCAAAGGAATATAAGTCATTCTACCATAAAGACACACACACACACACACACACACACACACACACGTTCATTGCAGCACTATTTACAATAGCAAAGATATGTAATCAACCTAAATACCCATCAATGGTAGACTGGATAAGGAAAATGTGGTACATATACACCATAGAATACCATGCAGCCATAAAAAAATGAGATCATGTCCTTTACGGGAACATGGAAGATCTGGAGGCCATTATCCTTAGCAAACAATGCAGGAACAGAAAGCTGAATACCACATGTTCTCACTTATAATTGGAGCTAAATGATGAGAACACATGGACACAAAGAGGGGAACAACAGACTCTGAGGCCTCCTTGAGGATGGAGGATGAGAGAAGGGAGGGGATCGGAAAAATAATTATTGGGCACTAGAATTAGTACCCAGGTGACAAAATAATTGGTACACCAAACCCTCATGACATGAGTTTACCTGTATAACAAACCTTTACATGTACCCCTGAAATTAAAAGTTTAAAAAAGTACAGTTTCTAATCAAGTAGGTCTGCTGCAAGCCCTGAGAGTCTGCATTTCTAACAATTGATGTCAATTGTGCTGGTCCAGGGTACATTGAAAAGCAAGGTGCCAAAATAGGGCAGGGTCTTGCTCACCTCCATATCACTTGCATTAAGTAAATATTTGTTTAGTTTCTGAATTGTAATGGGCAGCAATCTTTCCTCTCGATGATCTGTTGAAACTGACCTAATTGTTCCACATAACTGATGTTTATGGTTTCTTTGAATAAACATAGAAATTGATCCTTCCTGTCTTAAAACTTGAGAAAGTTACATTTGTTTTATCTGAGTTCCTTTCTCACAAAACAAACCATCAGCCTCCCCAGATAGAATTAAGGAGCTGAGACTTACCAGATCACTGCACCCAGACAATGAGATGCCAGACCCCTCATCCATTATATCTGCCTGACTGATCACCTGCCTCCTCTTGACCAACTCCTCATCTTGACCTCTCCTCGGTTCCTGTTTTTTTAATATATGGTTTATACATGATTACATTTCTTTCCTTGATATAGAAACCCCTAATTTTAGGCAGTCAGGGAGATGAATTTGAGACTGATCTCTCATCTCCTGGGCTGCAGCACCTGATTAAAGTCTTCTTCCCTGACAATACTTGCCTCAGTGATGGGCTTTCTGTGCAGTGAGCACCGGGACCTAGACTGAACCCCTGGCTTTTTATTCACACTGTCATTTCAATCATGTAGCTGCAAATGTGTAAGCAGAGCATGAAGAAGTAGTTAAGTACAGACTGGACAGATAAATCAGGCACAGTCTATAGTTTGTAAGGATAACCGATGTCAACAAGAATTGTCTAGCTCTGGCTGTAGGGACGTTTTCAGATTATGCTATTTGTGATGACCACATGAGCAGCTAAGTGGAGCTTGTTACTGGCATTCACATGGCTGTGGCTTAGCGTTGACCATCCATTTAGTATAACTGAAAAATAAAGCATAAAACTCTGATCTTTTAGGAAATGTACTTTGTGGTAGTAGGACCAGGATGTATTCCAGTCCTACCCAGTACATTTAAGCCAAACAGACCAGTCCTTACACAATGCTAGTTAGTTGGCAGTCAGTAAACAGCAGACCTAGGAACTCTCCTGGAGTCTTTTCACCTCTGTTTCATCTGATCCTTCCCACAGAACAAAGAAGAGGACCATGGAACCCAGGAAAAGTTTTCTACAAGACATGTTTCCTATTCTAAGCTCTGAAGGGTAAGTGGGAATTAGCTCAGTCACATAGACAGTGGGAAAAAGCATTCCCAGCGGACAGAACAGTATATACACAAAGGAATGTGGGGATCTGCATGCAGCTCGCTGTGGCCAGAGTGTAGATTATGGGATAGAATAAGGAGGTGTGAGGTGAGACTGAGAAGCACACAGAAGGCTGATAGTGAAAAAACACAAACTTCCCTATGAAAGGATGACTGTTCCTTTGGAATGCTCTCATTTTCAAGGTGGCACCTGAAGTATGAGGTTCAATGGCACTTCTCCAAGGGTTGCCTGTGAGCCTATAACATATTTTCCCTCATTGGCTCTGATGGACTTCCTGGAAGACCACAATGAGATGGGTGCTGAGAGTCCCTTGACCACTTTTCACCTTATGGCTTTCTGTCTTCCTTTCACAAGGAATGTAGAAAAACAGAGACAACTTACAAATTGGGTATTTCTGTCTTAGCAAAATGGAATTTGAAGATGGGAGGTTTTAAGTCTCCAGAATATCTCACATTTTCTGAACTATTTCTGATATTGAATGCTGAACAGTTGTTAAAGCTGAGTTTCTCATATGTATGATAAACATATATATATAAACACACATATTTATATACATATATATCTTTATCACATAAAACAAGAATTTTTATTTAGTGTTGTTGATTTTGTTGCCTTTTTCCTTAACAGACTTTGAGTCTAATTTGAAACTTTCTCAACATGACTGGTAAGTTGAAAATAAAGAGAGACTGTGACCTGAGTAACAAGAATTTTAACACAAGGAAATTATGTAGTTTATTTTATTTTTATTTATTCAACCAAAATAAGACAATTTCTAGCTATTTACATTAACCCTTTAGTAACATCTGTGGAATGTCTATGAAAGCAATGTAATTAATTCTACATGTGCACATGTGCATCTGAAAGAGTGTTCTATATAACATCTGTTTTCATTCATATGCCTGGTGCATTATTGCATCATGATGTATTCTTTGTGGCATTATTTTAGAAATCTATTACCACAGATCACCAAAAGATCTCTTGTCCTGTCATCTTTGGGATAATGAACACTCTCCATATGTGTAAATCTGTCAAGCCATGCCTTCCTAAAGTGGTAGTTATTAATTTACAAATCAAAGAAATCAATCTTACCTTTTCCAATCAGTGACTGTTTTATTGCAGAAATACAGAAAGGGTCATTAGCCTGAACTATAAAGCATCTCATCAAAAAGCCTACCCATAGAGAGCAAGTTAATCTTTCTCACTTTTTAAAAAAGAGTTTTTTAAAATCAAGACATTCCAAGATAGATTCAATGTTTGGAAAGATAATTGATAAAATAGACTAGCAACAAATTCACTTTGAAATTCAGTGTGAATTATTTTTTATTGTAATTCTTCACACTTCCATGACTAATATCCTCTACAATGTTTAACTTGAGCTCTCATTGGTCTATACCTATTGAAGAATGTCCTTCAGCAAGATATCAAAATAGGCCTAGTTTTATTTTATGGGTGGATTCTCAAGAAACAGAAATGATGGATATGAGATATTCCCTAGAAAGGAGTGGGGCACTGCTGGATAGTTGCTCAATTGTGTTGGATAATGTCACAAGCCTCTCACTCTCTGTTCCCTGAACCCATTAAATCAGCATTTATTAGATATGTGTTCTGTGACAAGCACTGTCAAACGTTTTGAAGAGAGTTATTTTTACTTCCCACTCCTAGAACCTCAAGGTAGTGGTAAAAAAAAATGCCCAAAGAGAGGTGATCAACCATCAAAAATATCTGAGATTTCAGACTCTGTATTCCAGATGCTTCAGGCCAGAATACTCACTGCCAAAATAGGCAGTGACAGAGACGGCCAGAGGGCAGCACAGCACACCCAGAGACCTCAAAAAGAAGAAGAAATCAAAGTATTAATATATTGTAAAGCAAAAATGGAAAATGTGGGTTTTGGATTAAATTAGAAAAGAATACAATTGTCAGTGCCCCAAGAAAATTATTTCTGAATGGTTAATACATTCAGTATTAATCAGCTCAAATTAAAAATTCATAAAAATAGAACAATTAAATTACATTTTTTTTCTGTAATGAAATACTAACCTTTTGATTTTAAGCTAGTTTTCTTCAGATATATATTATGAAAATCTTTGTTTTTGCCAAATTTGGATAGTTTGTAGTTTATTAAGTGCTATTTTGTGCATGTAAAATTTGAAAATAAACACAGTCTCTGTAAAATAGAATGTTTATAGACTTAAAATCTGCTCCTTTGTCTTTCATATCTTTTTTTCATGTTAAATGATTTTTTGGTAGGAAAAAGTGGGATCACATGCTATTAGGTTCAATTTTGCTCAGAAAGGAATCTGTTTTCATGCCTTCATTAAGTTACATCAAAAAGAAAATGCCTAATCATTGCTGAGTCCTTCTGCTGAATATGCAAAGTTGAGAAGGTGTTTGTGGTGCTGATGGCAAGATATCTTTACTAGGCTGGTAACAACCAGAATGTCCTCTAAGGCAGGACTTTGGAGTAAAATGGTGTGTGGTTGGACTCCTGCTTGTAACTATTTAGGACTTTAAGCCTCTTTTCTGCCTATCTCACATATCATTTTGCAAGTCTTCTTGGAATTATTTAATTTACAGTATTTTGATAACTTCAAAGCTGGTAAAATGAAATTAGAGCTATCTGCTTGTGCTCAGAAATCAATTCTCATCAAATAATATGAAATTATGTTATCTAAAAGCATTTACCCTATTAAGTGACAGACAAATGAGAAGTAAGGAGACTTAATACACTGTTTGCCTATTGA
Organism: Homo sapiens; assembly: GCF_000001405.40. Classification (NCBI taxonomy): domain Eukaryota; kingdom Metazoa; phylum Chordata; class Mammalia; order Primates; family Hominidae; genus Homo; species Homo sapiens. The sequence continues at coordinate 12,805,601 of NC_000002.12, forward strand.
TGACACTGGCCACAAACATCCCACTCTTTACAAGCAGTAACAGGGAAGGGAGTCTTTTGAAAAAACAATTTGGGCCGGGCATGGTGGCTCACGCCTGTAATCCTAGCACTTTGGGAGGCCGAGGCGGGCAGATCACGAGGTCGGGAGATCGAGACCATCCTGGCTAACACAGTGAAACCCCGTCTCTACCAACAAATAGAAAAAATTAGCTGGGCACGGTGGTGGGCACCTGTAGTGCCAGCTACTCGGGAGGCTGAGTCAGGTGTGAACCCGGGAGGTGGAGCTTGCAGTGAGCCAAGATTGTGCCACTGCACTCCAACCTGGGTGACAGAGCGAGATTCCGTCTCAAAAAAAAGAAAAAACAATTCGATGCCTCATGTGACACAAGAGAGAGGACAAAGATCAATGGATAAACGATAAGTGAAGTCAAGTCTAGTCTAGATTGAAAAAACCACTTTCCAACATTAACATCTGAGCAGTAGTGCATGGAGTATTTTGAAGGTAGTGATATCACCATCAGTGGAGGTGTGCAAGAAGAAGCTTAGTAACTCCTTAGCAAGGCCATTTCTGGAAAGAAACCCTTATGGGGTCAGTAGCTTAAATGGCCTTTCACATACCTTATAAATTTGTCTAAACTCATAATTTGATGTCTGACTTCTTCTACTCATTCCTTTTCTAAGCTTCTGCTCCACATTCCAAAGTAGCAGACAAATTAAGTTCTCAGAATCTTTTAGATTCTTGCTGGTAGGTTAATTGGGATGCATAGATGGGCTCTTAATTTTTTTTTATTTCTACACTGGCTCATGTGATTTTTATTTATCCAGTGTCTACAATGGCAGTAGAATAGTGGATGCCAGTGTGTTGTGAAAATACAAGAGTGAGCAAAAGCATGTTCAATGAACAACAGTAAATCCTGACTTCATACTGTTTTACAGCTCCATTTATTCTAGTTTATATTTTGAGGCAGAAAATAATTTTCTTTGAACACTTACCACATGTATTAATACCTCTGTCATCCACTTTAGATCCTACTTTCATGGAAAAAACATAACCCTTCCACGCTGATTCCTGGCTGATGTTTCCAGCTGCGAGGTCAGCTCCCACTCCATTGCAGCACTGGAAATGAAGTCAGCCTACAGAGGAAACTAATTGTGTTCCCGTGCTGGAACAATATCTGTATATACTGGAAAAAGTAAAGACAAAGCTCACTTCACAATTCCAGCTCCACCCCTGCTTAGTGATACCACCTTGAGAAAAAATGGCTTAACCTCTCTAAGATAGCACATTTGGTGGTAAAATAGGAATGCAAATACTGATTGGAAAAGGTAAGATTTCTTTCTTTGATTTGTAAATTAATAACTACCATTTTAGGAAGGCATGGCCTGACAGATTTACACATATGGAGAGTGTTCCAGGAATTATAAACCATGTGTAACTGGCACCGTAGCTGAAATACGTCATGTTTAAAATACAGGAAGCTCAGGGCTTTGGAGTATACTGCACACAAACTTAATAGTCAATATTGCTCTGATGAGTTTGGCAAAATGGAAAAACTATTGAGATGATGGAAGCAAAAAGAATAATCTACCACAGATAACTTCTTACTATGGTCAAGGGTTACTTATAAGAAAATAAACTTCTCCAGGCTGTACAAAGTTAGGCAGTCACTGCGCCTTATGGAGCCCAATCTCTTCTCACATCTGTATGGTGAGAGACTTGAGTTCAATGCTGCTATGGTTTCGTCCAGCTCAGAGTCTATGTGAACTCTCAAGAGTGGCTTAGAATAAGTGATTGGAGGATGCACAAGACAAAATTATTAGAAGCTTCGGGTAAATCAATGTTTCTTCTGCCACCTTGTCAATAGCTAACAGTCAGACAGCTAGTACCACTGAGGGAGTGGTAAATCCCAACTAGTTTTGGTGAGAGGGCAACGCTGGTGCATACACCCATGAGTGTGTCTTGGAGCAGGGGCAGACAGAGGTCTTTCTGGAAATATCAGTGATAACACCAGAAAAAGCAGCATTGCAGCCTAGACATTCTGGCCCCACACAAACCTTAGAGAAGATCCCTTATCTAGGAAATATTAATTAACATGGAAGAGGAATCCACCCATACATCCAACTGGATGGTCACCAGGGACGTGGTACCCGCTGATCACAAAACTCATGGAACTTTGAACACAGGCAGAACCAGGACCATTAGCAAACTGAAGACTAGTTGTTACTGTTGTGGTTTTGTTGTATTTTTTTCTTTCAAGGCACGTAAGTCTTATACTTCAAACCTTTCCTGGAGACACATGGGAATACTCAGATTTACACTCTACTTTTCTACTTTGGGGAGAAAAAAAACAGAAGAAACTAAACTAAAACTGTGCAGTTTGTATTTTAAAAAAGACTGGACATTGAGATCTTGCCAAACATCTCTCCATTCAGCAACCACTGAGAGAGTGTGGCGCTACCTTTTATCTGTTGTATGAGCTTGGGGAAATGACTCGGTACCTCTGAGTTTCCTCCCTCATCTGTTAAAAACAAAATACAAAAATGGTGTTGCAATGCAAGAAATTCTTTTAGTTCATATTCTTCCAGCTTCTCTGGGGCTCTGTCAATTATCCTGCACTCTGTTTTTCCTCCTGGGTTGCATGTGTGACCTTAGACATGGATAGCACATGAACACGCTTGCTTCTGCAGGGTGCTGATACTTTCTAGGTGACTGAGACTCATGGAGTGGAAAGAGTGACTGTAGAGGTGACATATCATTAAACCAAGTCACACTGCCTGCCATTTATCTGCCTGAAGGGAAGTTTCCTTTCGTTCGGGGACACTGGGACTCTATCTAGGGTAAAGGGAAGACAAACACACAATACTCCGATGTCCTTGGGAAAATGTCATTGAAATGGGTCAGCCTTTCTATTTCAGAGTTGTGCTCATCTGAAAACATTAAAGAATGTTAAAAATAAGTACACAGTGTGCTCTCAGCTGCTCCAGCCAAGCCAGCTTGTCTTTGAGAAGGCCTCTGGATATTAACAATAGGCTTATAGACATGCCAGCCTCCTGTGACTTCTCTGGGGAGTAATGTGGGCATTTGGGGAAGTTCCTGCATCACTCACTGTCCCACAAACTCTTTGTCAATGAGGTAGAAATTACTTGGGCAATATTAATCTCTTGGGGTGGGGTGGGTATGTAAGCAGACTTAATGATTTCAATGTTTTCTAAATGTGTACTCTGATTCTAAACACTGAATTTCTACATTTTGTCTACGAAAAACAAACAACTTTCAACATCAAATTTATTTCTGTTTCTCAGTCTTTCCTCTTTGTCTTTATGCTAAGATCTCCTACCCAAGCCCGTGGTCTCCATAGATTCAGGGCTAGAAATATTTAAGGGCTTCCTAGAAGACAGAACAGTAGCTTTAGAACCAGGCAAATTTGGTGATGATTCCCAGTTTCGATACCAATGAGCTGTGTAAGTTATATTGCATTCCACTTTTCTTCTTTGTCTCTGTTTCTCTATCCAGACAAAGTAGAACTAACGGATAACTCATAAATGTACTGTGAGCATTAGGGATGCTTAACCTAAATTACCTAAAATAGTGCTTGTTACAGTACAGATACTATTAAATGTCATTTGTGAATATTATCATTATTGCTACTATTATTATTATCACTCTTATGTGACTCAATAGTCTTTCCCTAAATGTTCTCTAAAGCAATAATAATCTGTCCCTGAGCTATGAGATAATCTTTCGTCTGATATCACACCTGGATTTTTGAGTATTGCTTGGCAACTAAACTCAGTTTTTGTACTGTCTCTGATCTTTGGCCAGAGGTCCACTTGATTGTCTTAGAGTTTTACATTTTACCTGCCACAGTACTCACCAGAAAATGCTGTACTCAGGCTCAGCTGAAATGCCTACCTCTGGTGCAACACTCTTTGCCTTGTGTGTTTGAATGGTTGTGCATCTGGGTCTCTAAGCAAGGAGCTCCTTGAGGACAAGGGCTTCTCTGATTCATGTCTTCTTCTTCGGGCCTAGAGCAGGGTGAGTCGTGTGATCACACAGTTCTGTTTGCCTGATTCTTTGGGAGACTGTGTTGATCCTGGCTGTTGCCATTTCCTTTGGAGCTCTGTAGCTAGATTGGGCTTCCTGTCCTCCTGGTCCCCCATCCCATTGGAGGGTGGAGTTTCAGGAGGCAGCTCCCCTTCTCTGCCCCACACGCTTCCCCCTGGCTGGGGTCCCATGGTGAGATCTCTTCCCAGGAGTCAGTTCACAGCTCAGTCACGTCTTGCTTAGGGGAAGACAATGAAACTTGACCTGAGAAGGCTTGGAGTGATTACTACAATCATCATAATTTATATGTAAAGGAACTTACAAAGAAGGAAAGGAAGAAATTAAGGAACAAGTGTGAACAGGAAGGACAAGAGGCAAAGAGGAAGGAAGAAAGTAAGACAGAAAATGTTTTTAAGGATCTGCTTTGGGATGAGCCTGGGCCAGATACTTTCACAAAACCCCTAAGAGCTATCTTTTCATTTCTATTTTAATATAGACAAGAATATAACCCAGGATTAATAACTCCCTAAAGTCATATATATAGGAAGAGGTAGTTAAACCATTGGAAGACGTTGAAATGTATCTGAGTCCCAAAAAGTGTAGTAGAAAATGATTAGAAAACACCCATCAACCAAACACTGCATTGCTGAGCACATGTACCATTTTAGCCTGTAGATTTTAACTCTAGAAAAACTCTCCTTTAAATTTTACAGGAGATATTAAAGGATACAGGAATACAGAACTGGTTATGAGGCTTAGTAGGAGTGATCAGAAAGGGTGCTTTTCTAAGTACAGTATAAGGCTCTGATTGTACACAATTCTGCAAGTTCTATTTTCTCCCATTTTTGATGTTTTAAGAATTCTTTGCCTCCAGAGGGGCATAGCCTGTTTGCTCCCTGCTGAAGTCATTGAGATTTCTCTCCTTCACTCTGTGTGTATGGACACTGGGGTTACATCTTTAAATGACAGCCGAAATCCATAACACACATCTTTTCACATTTTAGTCCAAAAAATGACTTTGCCGCCTTGGCAGCCAACAAAGTAGCCTGAAATGAATGTAAATCAAGAATCACTGGGCATCTTTAATTATAAAACTTGCTAAGGTTTCAATGTTTTATGCACGTTGGTCACTATTTTTGAAGCAATAACTAATTTCTCATTGTAAACAGAATGCAAAACTAGTAGTTTCCCAGCTTTTAGAAATGCTTAGGGCATAGTGATAATTTCAAAGTCAGTAATTACTCCGTGAATAAATGAGCCACACAGTTCTGCATCCTTGGCCCTCCATGTGCAATTGCCCTGGCATGGTCAGTCTCACTTACTATATTGTCTCTTTTCAGGCAATAATTTACTGTAACTACATTAGTTCAAAAAATATTTAGCCAGAAAAACACAATAAGCGATTCATTTTGTCCTTCAATCTTCCGCTAAAGAGCACAGATTCTCCAAATCACCAGGCAATATGGAAAAGGCAAGGTCTGTGTACATAGAGTGGCCCATAAAAAATAGAATTTTGAACAGTGGTATCCTGGTAAATATTTAACATTTGCCTCTCTGAAAAAGTATATCTAAATTTGCTGATATAAAATATACGTAGCATACAATTTACAAGTAACTAACAGTAATATACAAAACATTTTGCTTCAAATTCCAAATAGGCAATTGCTTCTTATTGAATGCTTTTGCTGGTTTTTGCCAAACTCCTGTATCCCTAGACAAAATATGGATTCAATTGACAGACAAATATAGTTCCAACAAGAATGTTAGTTGATACTTTTGTTTATCTTAACAAGAAATATCAAAGTAAAACAACAAAGATGCATGTCTGGACTTCACCCATTTGTCAATAATGTGAGCAACTTTTTTTGCCGAATTGAATTATTGTTCTCAAATGCTGGAAAAATATTTACTCATAGTACTCACAATGCTTATTTGTAGTGTTTCAGATATAGACATGTCACACATTTAAGTTTAATCTACACGAACATCTTTTCCACAATTTTATTAAACCTAGATAATCAGCAAAACAATAAATCAAGCCCTATATTGTAGTATTTGCAAATTTTCATGGTATAAATATAAACTCAATGGCTGATTTCGATCTACCAACATGACTGCGCTGAATGCTGAGTTGGGAAGAAACTGTTAATAGCACACCATTTTATGATATTTCCAACATGAAGTTACAACCTCAACCTTAACAATGTAAATAATGGTAAGATGTAGTAAAGTAACTAGAAAGTGACAATTTTTGAGTGTTTATTCCTTTATTTTTAATATAATTTAATTATAAATTTATGTAATTTAATTTTTAGCAATGACTGTGTTTAATAATCAGTTTGCAAAATCCCTAAACATTTAAAAATTGGTCCTTCCAAGCTGGTACAAGCCAGTTCCAGAACACCAATGACATTGGAATTGGAGGAAAAAATAAATTGATGATTTAGTGTACAGTTATGCATTGCTTAACAATGTTCTGAGATGTTCTCAGATGTTCAGAAATGTTCTGAAAAATGCATCTTTAGGTAATTTCATCCTTGTGTGAACATCAGAGTGTACTTGCACAAAACAAATGAATTGCACAAAACCTAATAAATTGCACACACAAATGAAAGACAGTATTAACATAATAAAAAACTATAGACTGGGAGATAATATTTGCAAATCACATATCTGAGAGTGATATACAATAACACACACACACAAACACCTGTATATATCTCAAAACTCGATAACAAAAAGACAACCCAATTTAAAATGGTAAGAGTTTGATCATTTATGTATGTTCAACATATTTGGATGGCAAATAAGCATCTCAAAAATGCTCAACATCTTTAGTTATTAAGGAAATGCAAATTAAAATCACAAGCTACTACTATGCATTCATAAGAATGTCTAAAAATTAAAATGACTGACTATACCAAGTACTGGCAAAGCTGTGGAACAACTAGAACTTTCATATACTGCCTGTGAGAATGTAAAGTGGTTTGTATACTCTAGGACTCCCACTGACTCTTTCTGAAATAAACATTCACTCACCATATGTCCCAGCCATTTTACTCCTAGGTATTTTCCCAAGAAAAATGAAAGCATATGTCCATGCAAAGATTTATACAAAATACAAACATTAATCACAACATTAGTTGCAATAGACAAACACTGGAAACAACCTGAAGGTTTATCAAGAAGTGAATGGATAAACAAATAGTGCTATATCCATAAGATGTAATACTATTTAGTGGTAACAAGGAATGAACACAACCACACAGATGAATCTCAAAATAATTACACCTGGTGAAAGAAGCCAGATAAACATACTATAGTCATGCACCGGATAACAACGTTTCAGTCGATGATGGACTACATGTACGACAGTTGTCCCGCAAGATTATATGGAGCTGAGAAATTCCTATCACCTAGTGCCTTCCTAATGTGTGAGTGCAATGCATTGTTCACATGTTTGTGGTGATGCTGGTGTGAACAAATCCACTGTGCTGCTAGTTATATAAAAATATAACATAATTATGTACAATACATAATACTTGATAATTAATGACTATGTTACTGGTTTTATCACTGTTTTAGAGTATACTCCTTCTACTTGTATATTTTACAAAGTTAACTGTGAAACAGCCTCAGTCAGGTCCTAGAGGCAGTATCTGGAAGAAGGCATTGTTCACATAGGAGATGACAGCTCCATGTGTGGTGTGTTTTCCCTGGAAGACCTCCCAGGTGGACAAGATGTGGAGGTTGAAGACAGTGATATTGATGATCATGACCCTGGGTAAGCCTAGACTAATTGGGTTTGTGTCTTTGTTTTCAACAAAAAAGTTTAAAAAGTAAAACAATAAAAAATAAAAGCATTTAAAAATAGAAAAATGTGTTTAGAATAAGAATATAAAGAAAATACTTTGAACAGCTGTACTATATGTTTGTGTCTTAAGCTAAGTGTTATTACAAAAGAGTCAAAAAGTTAAAAAAATTGAAAATTTATAAACAAGTTACATTAAACTAAAGTGAATTCATAATTGAAGAAGGAAAAATACATTTTATAAATGTTATGTAGCCTAAACTGTACTGTGTTTATAAAGTCTAGAGTAGTTCAGTAATGTCCTAGGCCTTCTCATTTGCTCACCACTTACTGACACAGCAACTTCCAGGCCACAAGCTCCATTCATGGTAAGTGCCCTATACACGTGTACCCTTTTTTATCTTCTATGCCATATTTTTACTGGGCCTTTTCTATGTTTAGATACATAAATACTTACCATTGTGTTACAGTTGCCTACAGTATTCAGTACAACATGCCTCACAAATTTGTAGTCTTAGGAGCAATAGGCCATACCAGTTAGCCTAGGTGTGTAGTAGGCTATATCATCTAGGTTTGTGTAAGTACACTATAATGTCTACTCAAGGAAGCAATTCTCAGAACATATCCCCATTTTTAAGCAATGCCTCACTGTATTTGTGTATCTAAACATAGAAAAGACACAGTAAAAAAAGCACAGCAGTATAATTTGATGGGACCACCGTCTTACATGCAGTCCATCCTTCACTAAAACATTATTATACAGCACATGACTGTATATGAATCCATTTTTATTATGTCCTAGAAAATGCAAACTAATCTGCAGTGATAGAAAACAGACCAATGGGCTGGGCGCGGTGGCTCATGCCTGTAATCCCAACACTTTAGGAGGCCGAGGTGGGCGGACCACCTGAGGTCAGGAGTTCGAGACCAGCCTGGCCAACATGGTGAAACCCCATCTCTACTAAAAATACAAAAATTAGCCGGGCTTGGTGGCAGGTGCCTGTAATCCCAGCTACTCGAGAGGCTGAGGCAGGAGAATCGCTTGAACCTGGGAGGCGGAAGTTGCAGTGAGCCGAGATGGCTCCATTGCACTCCAGCCTGGGGAACAAGAGCGAGACTTCGTCTCAAAAAAAAAAAAAAAAAAAGAAAAGAAAAGAAAGAAAACAGACCTATTTGAACAAATAAATTCATGGGAAGCCTTATTTTTTTTAAATTATTATTTATTTATTTATTTATTTTTGAAACGGAGAGTTTCGTTCTTGTTGCCCAGGCTGGAGTGCAATGGCACGATCTTGGCTCACCGTAACCTCTGCCTCTTGGGTTCAAGTGATTCTCCTGTCTCAGCCTCCCGAGTAGCTGGGATTACAGGCATGCACCACCACGCCCAGTTAATTTTGTATTTTTAGTAGAGACAGGGTTTCTCCATGTTGGTCAGGCTGTTCTCAAACTCCTGACCTCAGGTGATCCGCATGCCTCAGCCTCCCAAAGTGCTGGGATTACAGGCATGAGCCACCTTGCCAGTCCGGAAGCCTTATTTCTTATTGTAAAGCACTATGCGTTTGCTAGCTACCAGTGCATCATTTGCTTGGACAAGGGCCTCTGGCTTTTGTTTCTTTGTAGCCCCAAGTATAGGCCTAACCCATAGGGCCAGCCACTGGGCAATGTCTGTAGTGGGGATGATGGCATTGTGATGACACACTGCACCAATATATATTAAGTGAAAGAGTACCCAATGTGTTCCGTGTAATTACCATCAACAGGGACCATCCCAGATCTGAGCAGTTTAAGCCCTCTGGGCCTTGGCACAATGTGCAGCCTAGATTAATTAGTTAATGTTCATAAGACACTTTGAAGATGGAAAACCTTGTAGGAGTGCAAAGCCCATGTATTAAGGATGATAATTATATACATTTGAGCTTCAAATTCAGCAATCATTGTTGGAAAGGGTAAACCAGTTGCTGATTTATAGCACAGCAGTGTCCTGGACCTGCAAAACCTCTTGAAACGTGTCAAGAGCAGCTCTGGCATGTGCTCTGGGGCATAAAGTTGCTCTTGGAAGCAGGTGGGCATGTATCCCTTCTGTCATCCCACCAGAAATGGCTCAGCACTGTTACCTGGCTGCAAAGTGGATCATTCAATTTTCAATAAATACATGCTGAGAACTTGCTCTGTGGGGAAGACCTATTCAAATTCATATCAAGTAGAACTCAAAGTAATTCCTCCTCCCTCAGACTACAGAGCTTAGGGGTGACATAGAGGTGGTTTCATATCACAGCTCTGGCAATTGTATTGAGTGTGACTTGGAGAAAGTTATGTCGCCAATGTAAGCCCAGGATCTTCATGTTTAAAACAAGTAAACTTTGAAGATAATAATATCAGCCTTTCAGAGTTGAATCTGCAAAATATCTGGTAAGAAACTGAGACATCCTGGGTGCTCAGTAAATGGTAACTGTTGTTATTGTGTTGCCAAACTGTGCCCCTGATAACCAAAAAGCAGTTCTCTTGTGCTCACATCCATTGATGTGGGTTTTAGTTGCATTTGCTAGTTATACATTTTTTAGGACAATTTCTTCTTTTACCTCCAGGGATCCCTCACCCTGTGTCCCCTGATATCAGTGGTCTTTATTAGAGGAAGGAAAAGGAATTCTGTTAATGTTTTCATCTGCTAGCTGCAGTTCTCAAGACACTCAATAACTCATTGTCAATGACCTAGTTACTGACAACTAATTCCTCATTTATGGAATACGTCACTTTTGGAATGAATTTGATGACCCTGAACCAGAGCTCTGAGGACTCTGAACACAGAAGTGGGATCAAAGTGCTGCTAAACCCTGGCACAGCCACCTGGCCTCAGGGAAGGCAGTTAAAGGCACATATTTTAAAGGCCATCAAGTGTTTCTCTTCTTGGTCCTAGAAGAACATTCCCAGAGTGCCCTTCATCAAGTTGTCCCTAATAAATATCAAATGCAGGAGCTGAAGCTGTGGATGCCATGCTCCTCCCACCCACATTCCTCAAGACCTTCTCCCTTGGTGGCCCCACCAGGAGCCCCAAGTCCCACCTTTACTGCCAAACTCCACTTCAAAAGCTGAGGACTGAGTCCTCCACTGGTGCATCAGGGGAAGCCTTTTGAAGATGCAAGGGTTGTGAGTCACTGATAATCATCATGATTCATCCACGAACTTCAGAGACCAGGTTCTCTTTAATACTCATTATCCCTTCAATAGGCCAAGTTGGGCCAATAGTTAATTTGCAAATTGTAGGACTCAGTAAAGTGAGACTCTAAAGGCAGGGTAATTAATAAATTATTTTTATAGAGAGGTTGACTTCATTCAATTTTCCATATTTATTACTCATACGAGACAATCTTTCTAGTTTTCACCTCCCACAGGGCTAATGAGAGTTGATAGTCATCTCTCCTTCCACTATTCTCCCCTCACCTTATTCTGTGAGGCTCTGAGGCATTAAACACACACTTTACACTGCCAGGTCACTGTGGTCACAGTGTGTAGCTCAAAGACGGCCTTCAACAGGCATTTGTTTATTACAAGACACTTCACTGGTGCTCTCTTTCTGTGCCCTTGAATCAGGCCTCACCACTCAGCAGGAGACCAATCAAAATGAGTCCTAAAAACCATTGACAGTAACTTCTTGGCCTCTCTGAAGTCACTCCACCCTCTGTTCCTCTCTTGTGGTTCTGATGTTTGTTTCCTTACCTCTTGGCCTTCTTGGCTTTGGTGTACAATTCAGTGAGTTACAGATTGAATTGTGTTCCCTTTCAAAAAGATATATCGAAGCCCTAACTCCCAGTACCTCCAAATGTGATCTTATTTAGAAATAGGGTTGTTGCAGGTATAATTAGTTCACGAGTTCATGTCATAGTAGGACAGGCTCTGTACCCAATATGACTGCTGTCTTCATAAGAAAACGTCCATGTGAAGACATCCATGTTAGAGACACACAGGGAGAATGCCACGTGAGTACTGGAGGACGAGCATGATGCAGCTAAAAGCCAAGGGATGCCAGACGTTTCCAGCAAACCACCAGAATCTAGGAAGAGGTGAGGAAGGATCCCCCACAGGTTTCAGAGGGAGCATGGTCCATGGATACCATGATTTTAGACTTCCGGCCTCCAGAACTGTAAGAGACTAGATTTTTGTTGTTTGAAGCTATCCGATTTGTGGTACTTAGTTACAGCAGTTCTACCCTCCTTACACACAGGGCTGAGGCAGAAATGCTATTTCCTAAGGCAGGGCCTGAGGCAAGGCCAGTGCTGGGTAACCCAATCTGAAGTCCAGGAAGCACTTACAATTCTCTGTCTTCACTAGAGGTGCATCTTGCAACATGGTGTCTCAGTGCGGGTGTTAACTGTTGATTCCATTGACAGAAAAATCTATCTCCTCTGTATAAACATCTGGATGACTTAACACGTATTTGAGGCCCAGTTCTATGAACCACTGGCCAGACAAGGACTCCAGCCTCCCAAGACTGAAGAGTATAGGTCATGCCAAGAACATTCTTCTCAGAACTCTAGTAGTAGGACTTACAGAATAACGTCCTGGGCAGAGATGATTCGGCCATGAAATAGACTAAAAAGTGGAATCATTGAAATTAGTCATTGTGTGGCCTAGAGTAGTCAAGAGGGGCTCCCCCAAAGAAGCCACAGTGCCAACTATTGTAAGATGAGGAACTTTGGAAGAGCTAGTGATGAGGATGGAGAATATCCCAGGCATGGGGGCCACATGAATAAAAGCATGGTGACAGAAATAGAATGGCAGATGCTGTTCAGTGAGGAAGCTCAGCTGGTTAGAGTAGTGTGGTCTATAGAGAGTAGGGGAGAATCAAGTGTTGAAGGTTAATCCATTTACTCTAACCCTAGTTTGGCTGACTGCTTAATCATGGGTTTTCCTTCCTTCCTTCCCTTCTCCCTCCGTCCTCCCTCCCTCCTTCCCTCCCAGCCTCCGTCCCTCCCTCCCTCTCTCCTTCCCTTTCTTCCTTCCTTCCTTTCTCCTTGTTTAATTCGCCCTCTCTTCTTTTTTCTTTTTCTTCGATATTCAATGCAAATGCCTGATTGCCTGATTTTCATACCCTCTGGTAGGCTCCGGATGAAGGCACGCACTGCTACTATGTTAGAAGAGCGTGCATACACAGTTACAGCACACTACGCTAAACGCTATCACAGAACACAGGACTGGAAACACAAACATTGAGGCAATGCTTGACAAATATCCAGCACACATCAATAGCATTTATTGATGGGAAAATATGGTCCAAGGGTCACATCATCTCATTTGATCATTTCAATAACCCGATGAAGTATCTATTATTGTGTCTAACTTAAGGATGAAGAGACTGAGGCTTAGAAAAGTGAAGAAACATCTCGAATCACACAGCAAGTGGGTGGCTGACACAGGGCTCAAGCCTCATTTTTCTAAACTTTCACTTGTGTTCTTTGTACTACATGATGTCAGTTGTGTATTCTTAAGCTGGAATGACGAATTGGTCACCCAGATTTTTCTTACTGCCTTCAGTTGCTTCTTGACCATGGAGTTTCACCATACCACACTTTTTGGTAATAGGGGCTTGGGATAAAGCCTGTCCTCTCTAAAGATCTGTCTTTCCTTCTTTCCATAGGAAGAACTTGCTGCTCTGGGTATGGACAAATTGGATAGGGTAGAGCAAAACAGGAGAGCCTTGGCTGACAAAAGGAGACACATCAGCTAAGGGTGATGTCGGCTAGCTGAAAATACACACTAATCTAATCTGGCTGTTCTAGATGAATCTCAGGAATGTGGGAGGCTAGCATGTCAGATAGGCAATTATTGGCCGGACACAGGATTGCATAATGCAATGATGACTGGGGCTTCCTGCTTCAGCTTGAATGTGGCGAGCTTGCCAGAGAGGATTTATCTTCCCAAGAGAAACATGCCAACTTTGAGAGGATATGAAGTAACTGTTATTATGGGAAAAAAGACAGGCTTAATTTGAAAATAGTCAAGGTCTCTTTCAGTTGTACTCTGGATCTGCCTTCCTTTGGTTTTGTTTGTTTGTTTGTTTGTTTGTTTTTCCTTTTCTGCTCTTCTGTCTCTGTCACTAGGTCTTTCTCTCTGAATTTGTGTCCTCGTTACCTTTCTTTCATTTTGCTTTTATTTTTACTTAAATCCTTGCTTTTTGTTCAAATCTTTATATCAGTTTAATGTTAGAGAAAAGTGCCTTGATTGTTTTCCTATCAAAGAAGAAAATGCTGATTAGAACCAGTGTCTGTGGTGGTTTTGTATGGGAGGGGTCTTTTAGACTGAAGATTAAGTAGACGAGACTCCTCTATTTAATATGCAACAACCTGGAACATTTTGTTTTTGATAACCAAACAAGCAAATTGCCCACATACTTCCTCTTTCTACACAAAAACCCACATCACATTCTTGCAACTGGCTTTGCCTTAATTGCTTCACAAGAAAAACCCTGGCTATCATTTGGCCTCCTTTGAGACACTGGCTCTGAATTCCTCAGGGTGGCCAGTAAAATGCTTCAGAGAGAAAAATGACGTACATAAACAAAACAGAATATAGGAACAACAGAAAGGTCTTTTCTAGATATTTCTGTGTACTTTCTTTTTTTCTTTCTAGATGAGAATATGACATACGGAATGCATGGCATTGGAAGCCAATGCTTGCAACTCTCAGTCTAGTTTTTCACTAATACACTGTGTTTCCTCTCTTCTTACTCAGTAAAGTATTCGTGTATGAATATAAAAATGTAATGTTGGAGCTAAAATGTCATAAAGTCACAAAACATAAGTGTCCAAAACCCTGAGATTATTTATATTTATAGTGAACTCCTCCATAAATATTTATTATTTTGCAAGATGACCCTGCACCATAAAGAAAATGTGGTGTTGTTTAAGAAGACAGAAAATTATGTAACAACACTTAGACACTGTTTGATATTGAATTAAAATTCTCATGGAAACTCTTCTTGGAACTTAAAGGGATTAATCCGCATTAATTTTCTAGAAAATACACCTGGTTCACTTAAACAAATTCATATTGAATAATGAACCACTTATTGAATATTGTTTGCCAGACTCAATGGTAGGCATTGGAAGCAAAATGATTCATATCTTACACATTCTCAGGATGTTTTATTGTCTTATTTTACATATATGAAAATCAAGTTCAGAGAGGTCAAGCAACTGGCCCCAAGCCACACAGTCAGTAAGTTGGTAGGTCAGCATGAAGCTGGGATGGAAACAGGTCTGTCTGACCTCCAAGTCTGTTCTCTTTGTACTGTATTCTCTCTTTGTTATGTGCCAGGAGCTCTTCCAGGTGCAGATGAATACAAAAGCTAATTTCATTTTGGTAAAATCACCCTTTCCTCCTATGCCCTCTATGGAACTTTGACAATATGAAAGAAATGCAGGGTAAATTTTACATGACCACAGCATAATTAACAAAGACAACAGGTTTATTATTAAACAATCATAACTACTAAGTTAAAAGTCCTGATTTTCCTTACAAATAACATCTACTCCTCTACTACTTCCTGTGACAACTGTCAAATAAAGGCTTGAAATGTAGAAACAATATTTTAAAAGATGAGTTCTGTATAGCAAGGGTATGTCAACCTCTTCCTTAAATCTATTTAGCATTCAACACTTGCAGTAAGACTTATACTTTTTTTCAATATGTTCTTATAATATTACAGAGATACATAAATGCCCTGAGTATTAAATTAAGGCTAATCACATGTCTCCATGCTTTATTTTATCAGTAAAATATCTACATTGTAAACATTGTCTGCCTCTACCTTGCAGTTGGATTCATCTTTTACTGCACAGAGTTCTTGAGCCAATCCTGAGCTGGAAGAGAAAGTATCTTAGAATTTCTACCCTGAGGATGAGGTGTGAAGGTGGCCTGAAATGTGTCCTGCTGACATTCACTGTGTCACTTCCCTACCTAGGTTGAGCCTTGGTACCATGTAGACCCAATCCACCTACTCCACTGCCACAGCTATACCATCCTGCCTCTTCCGCCTTCCTTCTCCTCCACCTCCTGCCCTTCCTCCTTCTTCTTACATCACTTCACACAAACACAATGGTGACCAGTCTTTAAACTCATCCCTTTTAGATGGAATAGATATTAATTTTCTGGATGAGAAAATCGTGACTTAGAGAATTTAGATAACGCACCTGAGATCATAAGACAGGTTCCTGGGTTTGAATTCTGCCTGTATGAAAAATGACATGGGCAGAATTCAAACCCAGGGTCCTGCCTGCCTGCAAAGTCTGAAGCATTAGTCATTTTCTTAACACTAAGTCATTTCTAATCCTTTAGGACGCACCAGCCTTCAGATGGGCACCTTTACCATCATCCTCCCCCACCCATCTAGGACTGACATGTTCTGAAACCACATCTTTTGTGAGTTGGACATTGGTCATACCCTGCTGGGGTGACTGTCATGATCAGCTCAGCCTCCTTACCCACCATCCTACTCTATTTAGGTTTCCTCACCCTTCATTTTCTGTCCTTAGAACCCAGTTCTAGTTTTCATGGCTAATGTCCCAGAATGTTTTGAACCTGAACATCTCAGAGTTAAGACAGTCTCTGCCAACATTCTCTATATTAAAATAATACTAACCATGCCTTACTTACTATGCTAAATCTCTTGCCCCATAACACGTCGCTTCACTGAGAAGTTGCCTTCTTGAGTTGATCCCTGCTGCCACTGGCCATTTCAGATAACTCCACTCACCAAAGACCAACTTACCTGTCAGCCCTTGAAGATATCTGCAGACACCTGGTGGTGCCCAAGACCTACTGAAAAAATTATTTTTTCTGGTTCCTGATGTGCTTTCATCCCAAACCCAGTTCCACCTGAGTCTGGGATCTTGCTCTGAAACTGCTACTGACCCCTTTGGATTGGTTCCTGTACACTGAGCCCTTATGATATCCAGAACTGCTGGCATTGGAAGCCAATGCTTGCAATCCTAGTGTAGTTTTCCACTACTACTCTGTGCTTTCTCTCTTCCTATTAAAGTATTTTTGATGAATACAAAAATGTCATTTTGTAGCAAAAATGTTATAAGGTCACAAAACATAAAAGTGTCCAAAAACCTGAGAATATTTATATTTATAGTGAACTCCTCGATAAATATTTATTATTTTCTAAGATGACCCCACACCAAAAATAAAATGTGGTGTTATTTAAGAAGACAGAAAAATGTGTAACAACACTTAGACGCTGGCTGAAATTGAATTAAAATTCTCATCGAAACAGTTCTTGGGACTTAAAGTGTTCAGCATTAGTTTTTTAGAAGATATACCTTACCCTCGTCAATAGGCTCTTGGAAACTGAGACTTTAAGCTCAACCACTTACACTGAAACCAATTTTCCCATGGGTTAATTGATATAAATAAGAATTAAATTTCTATGATTTATTTCTGGTCACAAAAACATCACCGACTTGTAAATAAAGGCCAACGCATGTCCATATTAAACATGAAAATAAATGTGAGCTATGCATATGTTTAAGAAAGATAAACAAAAACAAGTAAGAGAATTATTTACCCACTAATTTCAGTTTAGGTTCATGACTGGCCAGAACCTGTCCTGGAAACAGGGCTCAGGATGGAAAGCAGCCCTGGACAGGACACCCTCCCATTGCGGGGCATACTCACACACACCCCCACACGCACTCACACTAGGACCACGCAGACACACCAATCCCCACCTCAGGTGCACATCTTTGGGATGTGGAGGGAAACCGAAGTACCCGGAGAAAACCCACGCAGACGTGGGAGAACATGCAGACTCCACAGAGACAGTGGTCCTGATGAGGAATTGATTTTTTTTTTCTCATCAATATTATAATAAACAAAATGACATTATTCAAGGACCTGCTGTACTTGGTCTTTTCGGAGTTGGCAATGCCTCTCTCTCTTGTTGCTCAGTGCCTCTCACAGGGCTGGAAGAGCCTCTGTGCCCTGACATTGGCTGTGTTGCTGTCAGGACAGCCTGTCTAACCCCAGCCCAGTCCCCTCATGGAGAGGGGAATTTAGAAGGTTTGTTTTTCTATAACAGGAAAAATAGAAAACGTCTTGTTTCTGCTACCAAGCAGCAAACACCTCTCAGACCTCTTACCTACCCTTGCATCAAATTATTTGAGCTTCTAATAAACCACAGCGTCTGAATTCCTAAACCCCCATAAAACAAAACAATTGTACAAAAAGGACAGGAGTTGAAAGAAATAGATGGCACCCGATGAAGTCATGTGTCTTTCCCAGCCCCCTCCTACTCTGTTGGTTTTCAAATAGTTCTTTTCACTTGTTCACTCCATATGGAGGAAGATATAAAAGCCTTCCTTGATGCCACGGAGAAAGGCTGGCTCTGAAAATCCCAGATCCGAAACCTGATTGGCAGCTATGGAAAAGTCCAGCACTCTCTAGGAGAGCAGGCGAGTGCCTCACCGTGAGGCCTGGCTGGGTGATGAGGCCAGTCCTGGGGTCTTTGCTCTGACAACACCTTGCTGAGCTGTTCTGGGCAAATCTCTTAACTTCTCTGGGTGCTCTCAGAATTCTTATTTATGCAATGAAATAACCTCTATGGGTCCTTTCCAGGATCATGATGTGAAGGAAAAGGTGGAATATTGGGCTGCATTTGTGGTGCTCTGCCAGTGCAGGTGAGGAGTGTGTGAGCATCCTAGGAGTGCATCCAGGTAGTTAGGAGGGAGAGGACAACACATAGTCTCCTAGGTGCAGGCGGCGGGGGAAGTCCGGTGGACACCTGTGAAGCTAAGTTCCAGGACCTTCTGGGGGCTGTGGAGAGGAAGGGGACCTTCTCCAGAGGGGCCGTGTTGATTGACTCATTCTTCTCTGACTCCTCAGAAGCCAGTTCATTGCAGTAGAGGGGCTGTCCTGCAAGTCATATGCTTCTCCTCCTTGCCTTAACTACAGGAATTCCAAGATGTTTACACAAACTTCAAGGAGTGAACCAAGTTATTAAAAGAGTAGCAATTAGGGTGGCCCATCCCAGCAATTTAGTTTCCTGTCTAAGGAAGCATGAAGGGGGAGGGGTTTCCAGGGAGGGGAGAGGGAGGGAGCATTCTTGTCTCCTGATTGGACCGCCCCAGGATTTCCATTTCTGAACACAGACACAGAAGGAGGGAAGAAAGGTTGCCAGATGCCAGCTCCCAGCTCCCTGGAGGAGTTACTCGCCGCCACAGATGCTCCAGCAGCTGGTTGGGCCCCTCCTCAAAGTGTCTCTCCTGCTTCCTTCTTTTGGGGGATTCTGGCTCAGCTTTGAAAGCCTTTTGGCATCTTTTGCCTGCCTCCAAAAATTAAGCTGTGTTGGAAGCTGCCTGATAAATCACTCTTTGCACCGTGGCTGCCATGGGGCTTGCAGAGAGTGGCTGCCTAGTGATTTACCGCGGCTGTCTGAGAGGGCTTTTCCAAGCAGCCAGCGTAGACCAGGGAGTCATCTCTGGCAAAAGGAGCATTTTGTCTAGCTCAAATGGACACTACAGAGAGGAAGTGGGATTGCTTTGTTCAAAACTTGTTGGTCATCCATTCCTCAAGCCAGCCGGAATCTCCAAGTTCATTTCTTCCATGCAACTTGAGCTCAAGAAAAGAGGTCCAGAAAAGTGGTTTTTCATGACAGGCCTGCTGGAGCCTTTCCTAGGGGAAGGAGAACTTTCTGGTTCTGAACTGCAGTTACACAATGCTGGGCAGGCCCTCTGATTTGTGGTCATAGTTTCCCAGAACCCCAAGGGACCCATCCAGGAAAACGCCCATGTCCCCTCGCCTGCGTTGTCATCTGCTCCCTCCCAAGGGGATTTTGTTTCCTTGATTGTGTTCCATAGTGGCTGTTGGAAGTCAGGTGCCCTGGACGCAGCTTGGACAGGAACCATGTGGTGTGAGGACCTGAGCCTTGTGCATACGTGGCTTTTGCTTCTGGTTCTGGCTTGACAGTGTGACGAGTTAATTAACCTCTTTCACCTCTAAATCTTCATCTCCATTATCAGAATAATAAGCTCTTCCTTGAGAAATTGTTGTTTCGACGAAGCCTCATATAGTTAGCACAAAGTAGATGGAAGAGTAGATCCAAATAAAATATTTTTAAACAATATTTTGTTGCTTGTTTTCTGTTCTTGTTTTTGTGGGGTTTTTTTTTGTTTTTTGTCTTTTTCCCTACAAACAGGTTTTCAGCCTACCATTTAAATAGGAACCCAAAAGGAACCCTTCAAAAATATGGGAGTTATAATTTAGTACACACTTGCAAAAGATTTGAGTAGATACTTTCAGCTACATAAAACTCATAATGTAAGGGTTAATGGAGATGCTATTAGCAGTAGTACTTTGGGACAGGACATAGATCATTAAAAAAAAAAGTGGGTTTCTCATGGCAGAGAACATAGGTTTTTATTTCTGGGGTAAAAATTCTCCTTAGGAATGTGTAATGCTAAAAGGTAAATGACAGGCTATTTGAAAGAAGAGAAAAAAAATGTGTTTACTTTTGCCTCCCAATAATAGAGTATCTCTCGCCCTTCTGAGAAAAATGGGAATTAATTTTCTTTAAAAAATGCACTGCATTTATTCTGAAATACAGATCTTCTACCTCCCACTCCACATTTTCTTGCAATTCCTTGTTCATGCTGCTACTCCAAGGGCAAAGGAGCAAAGCACAGTTTTATTAACACAAAGTGAAAATTGTTCCTTTGTTTTCCTTTTCTGATGGGTCTGTGATTTGGTAAAGAGCAACATTAAGCGTGCCTAATTTCATGCCAAATCTAAAATCTCATCCCAGGGATTCATCTGAGATACTTATGCTTCTCGATACTACTTAGAAATTTTGCGTGAAAGAAGGGGGAAGAGGTAAAGCTATTTATTATTATTATTTTTGAAGTTGTCTATCTTTACAGACAATAGCAGGCTGAGGTTCTTCCATCTGTGTCCCACACCCTCATACACCCACACCCCGCCCCTCACCCCAAACATACATACCTCTTGTCCATTCCCTAGGTAAGCTGACATCCTCTGTTTTCCCCTTTCCTCTGGGAAGAGTTCTCATACTGTAGTGTCTATATGAATCACATTAGGATATTGCCAAAATGCAGAACCTGATCAGTAGGTCTGGGGAAAGGGCTGAGATTCTAAGTGTCTAACAAACGCCCAGCTTAGGCCAGTGTGGATGGTCCATGGACCACACTTTGAGTATCAAAAGTATAGGGGACAGGACACTAGAATTCAAGAGACAAACATATTCTTTGGATTTTGTTACAAACAGCCTGTGTGACTCTAAGGAATCCTTTCTTACGTGTAGGTTTCTGGCTTGCCCATTTAGAAATTGAGGGAACTGAACCAGCTAACTTCTAAAATCTTTCTGATGTTGCTATTTGTTTTACTTGATTTTAGATTCTTACAACTTCTAGTCCATACAACAGCTCCATCCAAGAAAAAAGAACAAAACAAACCTCAAGTTTATGACGTAAAAACAGTGTGAGAACACATTAAGGGAAGCAAAGAACAGAGACTCCTTTCTCCAATACTGGAAGTCCTGCCTACCGCATGGTTACATTAAAATCGCTCATTTCCCAAAATAAGGCATATGAATGGCCAAGAAGAAAAAGAAAAAAAAAATGCCCAACATCACTAATCAGCAGAGAAATGCAAATTATAACCATGATGAAATATTACCTGTTAGAATGTCTTTCATCAAAAAGACCAGAAACAACCAGTGTTGGTGAGGATGTGGAGAAAAGAGGACCCTTATATACGGTTGGTAAGAATGTCAATCAGTACAGCCATTGTGGAAAACAGAATGGAATTTCCTCAAAAAGCTAAATATACAACTATCATGTGATCCAGCAATCCCCTTTTTGGGTATACAGCCAAATAAAATGAAATCAATATGATTGAGAGATATTTACACTCCCATGTTCATTGTAGCACTATTCACACTAACCAAAATATGGAATCAACCTCAGTGTCCATCAGTGGATGAATATGGAATGGGAAAGCTTCCCCTGTCCCCCTCACACGGCATGTGGCTCGCTTCTTCAGTGCCTTGCTGCTCAAACCTCTCGGGGAGCATACAGAGGGGCAG
The DNA here is from genome assembly GCF_000001405.40 of Homo sapiens. Lineage (NCBI taxonomy): Eukaryota > Metazoa > Chordata > Mammalia > Primates > Hominidae > Homo > Homo sapiens. The sequence continues at coordinate 12,827,554 of NC_000002.12, forward strand.
GCTTTGGGGATCCGGCACCACGGCAGCGTCTAGGGGCGAATATCATAGCTCCCAGTGGGTGTGGGTTACAGGGTGCTCTTTTAGTTTCGCTCTTTGTTTGCCATCTATAGGTGGCTTGTGTTAACCAGCTCAGTTAGACCCTCTACCTTGTTACAAGGACAGAGGGCTTTCTGTATCCTGAGTTCTTGCCTTGGTGTACTGGAACAATTAGATCACACGTGGGCTTGGAGAATGAGTGCAAGGTTTTATTGAGCGGAGGTAGCTCTTAGCAGATGGGGGAAGTCAAGAGGGGATGGAGTGGGAAGGTTTTCCCCTGGAGTCAGGCGCTCAGCGGCCTGGGCTCTCCCTCTGACTGCCCCAGGCAAACTCTGCGTCATTCTGCTGGTTGGTGGCCTGCCGGGATGCTGGTGCCTGTCGGTGTGTGTGTTCCTCTGGATGTCCAGCTGCCTGCCTATTCCTCTGCTGATGTGCTTCTCTCCATATCCATGTCTGCCTGCTGGGGTCTCAGGGGGTTTTATGGGCACAGGATGGGGGCATGGCAGGACAGGGTAGTCTTGGGAAATGCAACATTTGGGTAGGGAATGCCTGTCCTTACCTAGGTCCGTGAGAGTGAAGCCCTAGCCAAGGACCATGCCCTCCTCTATCCAGCACTTCCCTTCCCCACTTCCATATTATTTAAAGGGACCATGTTCTTCCCTTCCCAGCACTTCCTTATCAAATAAATAAAGAAAATATGGTGTGTGTGGGCCTGGCACGGTGGCTCACGCCTGTAATCCCAGCACTTTGGGAGGCTGAGGCGGGCGGATCACGAGGTCAGGAGATGAAGACCATCCTGGCTAACACGGTGAAACCCCGTCTCTACTAAAAAATACAAAAAAATTAGCCGGGCATGGTGGCAGGCGCCTGTAGTCCCAGCTACTAGGGAGGCTGAGGCAGGAGAATGGCGTGAACCCGGGAGGCGGAGCTTGCAGTGAGCCGAGATCAGGCCACTGTACTCCAGCCTGGGCAACACAGCGAGACTCCGTCTCAAAAAAAAAAAAAAAAAAAAAATTGAATGAATGAATGAATTCGGTGAAAGAATGCATATAAAATAAAGGAAAATATGGAAGAGTTAATGTGAAGTGGAAGGTATGAAAGAAGAAAGCCAAAGAAAAAAAGAAACCCTAAGCATTAGTAACAACAACAGCATAATAAAATTACCTTTCCGTATTTATGAACATACTTGCATTCATGCATGTACTCTGAAAAATGTCAATAATGAATGGAAACCCTCAGGCATGTAATAGGTGTTCTGTAAAAGTCACTTGCTTTACCCTTCATTTCCATGTTATCTTGGATTTGCAAAAGAGTGACTTATTGGTAATACTGGCGCTGGAATACCTGTCTCTGCATTCTCCCCGTATTGCTACCACTGAGGTGTGGGGCCTTAGGCGAGTAACTTCCATCCCCTGGGCTTTCACTTTTTATCCTCAAAGTACAGCTAATGGCACTGACCTTGGTACCCACTCAGGTTTTCTTGCGAAACAACCAAGATGGTACGGCCCTCCTCTCCCTCTGTTACTCTTCTCTTAGATTCCTGATCCACTTTCTACCGCCTGCTGTGCTTACAAATGCAAATGGTTACTTCACATTCAAGCGAATGTGCATCAATATGCAATGACACCATCTGCCTGATCTGTCTGTGAAGCATCTTCACAGTCCGAGCAGGGACTGTGTCTAATCTTTGAATTGTCGACGCTTAGCCAAGGACCTGGTTCAGGGTGGGGGCCCACAAATGTGTGCTAAATAAAAGTGTTTTGCACAGTATAAAAAGCTCTATGCATGTGCAGCCCAGATGTCATTTGGAGTCATCTTACTTGTCTGGGGTTTAGGTGAATTTGGCTCAAACACCCAGTCTCATAACTTGTATGAGTACAGACTCCTGAGGACAATTCTGAGAATTCCAGTCTTTCTTCTTATGTTCACCTTCATTTCTCCAGTATTACACGTACCTTCTTGGATCTGTGTCCCCAAACTGGGTCCAATATTCTACCCCTTAAATAATTTTCATTAAAAAAAAATTCACTTGAACTAATCCTATTCTGTGTCCAGCCAATGTTTCTCAGGAGTCAGTGTCTCATCACCTTGCATGGCTTTTGAAATTCTTGCAGGCACCACCTCTCCCACTGGACAGCCTTCTAATCCCAGTGTTCTCAGCATTTGACATTCTGACTCTATCTTTCTCCCAGGAAGTGTCTACCTCTTGCCAGGCCCTTGTGCCTCCCTACCAATCTAGAAATTCCAGCTAATAAACTTTTCTTAAGCCCCGATGCAAGTATATCAAATCATGATGATGCTCTTTTCACAGTTGTATAGTAACCTTAACAGCATTCCAAACACTGCTTTAGATATAGTAGGTATGTTACTACACTTAGTTCTTATGGATGCAGGGAGATTTGCATAAATAATACAGACCTGACATGCTACATTAAGTGCCATCACAGAGGCAAATGAAGTACTATCTATCTAAAGCCAACAAGCACTAACCCTTGGGAGCAACACTTATCAGCGAACTCATTAATGTATTTAATATCCACTTATTAAGCATCTGTTAGGAGCTTTGATTTCTGCGCTGTAGGCTGGCCATCTCAAAGTGAGTTCACCTTCTGTTAGGAGAAAGGACAAGCATTCAAATACCTGTAATACAGGTTAGAGATGGTCAGAATCATTGGAGAGATGGAGATGGTTAATATCATAAAATGCAACTGGGCTCATATACAGAGAAATTCCATTTCATGGACAGTTTTATGTTTAGGTTATAGGAGATGGATGGCATTTAGGAAAACTTCTTAAAAGGATATCTACTGGTAGCAGCATTTTAAGCAGAGGAAACTTTAAAAAGATAATAATAACCGCATGTTATGTTCCTGTGAAGGACCCTATCCATATCACCTTCCAATTCTAACAGCAATTTCACTAGGTCCACCTTATAGAACCCACTTAACAGATAAGAAAACTGAGGTTTCTAGAAGTGAATTTTATGCCACATGACCCCTCTACTTAATTGGTAGAGACAAAGTTGGACTGGAGTCTGATTACCATAAATGATTATTGTGCTGTTCTCTTCCAAACTCTTTGTGTACAAGTGTCAAGCACAAGCCGGCCCTGAGTTTCCCAGAACAACTCTGGAGTCTTAGCTTTTGGGAGCAGGCAACAAAAAGAGAGCTTTTCTTGAGTTTTTTCAAAGACTTTCTACTTAGACTTGTCGAAGAGTCAATTTATATAAAACCTAAGTATCTCCTCTCAATTTTACTTTCACACCAACACAATAGGCAACAGAGCTTTCTACTGTAGTCTAAATAGCTTTGTCAGCCCACAGGCTTTTAAGCCAAATTTGCACTTCTAGAAGCAATTTCCTCAGGCTTGGTCTGAGTGGAGGGAGACAGCTAAATGCTCTACCTTTTCTTATCTGACAAATTGAATGTCCTATGAAAAGAAAAAGAGAAATCCTAATGATGAGTGATCCATCTGTATTTTTGACTATATTCCCAATTTTCTGGGGAGTTGTTAGTGTCTTTTCTCCTCCCAACTTTTTTCCTACTGTGCATTTAAATTCAGCATGAATCCTATGCAGATTTAATGGTTTTCCTGGGTGTGCCTGGGCTGAAACCATGTTAAAGCAAATCAGTGTTGATGAGTGTATATTTCACAAATAGCACAGATGACGCTGTGTATCCTTGAAACATTCACTTACACTTTGAAGAACAAATTTCTCCTTCTGTAGCAGAGAGATAACCATACTTCCCTTAGAAGATTGTTTTGTGGAAAGGGATACTGCATATAAAATACATGGTCCAATAGGCACCAGGTAGATACTCAAAAATTGATAGTTAGTATTTTAATTTCCATCTTTGCAACTTTAAAGTATTAACAGCACTAGTAATGTATTCTATGGTCTACTGGTGGTGTTCAGAGGCTACCACATAAATATGTTGTCTGATCTGCTCACAGCCTGCTGGTAATGGCCGTAAGGAGAGGGGTTAGGCTATTATTTACTGAGTACCGCTAGATAAGATGTTATATTAATTAACTTCACATTAACTTCATAAAGTATCTGTTGTAATCTCCGTTTCACTGATAACTGTGAACTCCCTGAGTTCAAGGCTTATGTTCTGTGCTCCCTGCTCCTGGTAAAAAAACAGGCATTCAGTAAATATGTGCAGAGTGTTTATGTCCGTTTTCTCCAGTGATCTGTGAGCTCCAAAGCATGGACCACATCTTCTCTAGCACAGAAACTGGCATGTGTTAGGCGCATTATTAAAAGGCAAGACGCACTTCAGTGCCAGAAATGTGCTGGTTCCTGAGCACAGATTTTTAATGTTAATCTTTGCATGTCTAGGGAAGACCAAAATGGAATAGACTGAGACTCAGAGAGCCTATGTTCTACTCCTGGTTCTGCCAGTGACAAGCTGCCTTTCCCTTTCAGGAGGCTCAGACTCTGTAGATGTCAGACTCAAAACTCCCTAAGAATTTCTTCCAATTTTAGTTCTGTGGCACTAAATATTAAAGTTCTATAAGAATTAGTAAGAATGAGTAATACGGAATCAGTAAGAATTAAAATGTGATCTTCATGTGATCCAGTATGGCTCCAGTCATATCTGACCTCTGCCTATCTTCACACACAACAGGCAACCTCTGCCTCCAAAAGTCTGCATGGGCTGCACCCTCTACCTAAATGCTCTTTCACCAGACACCAACATGGCTCGTTCCTCAGCCTCTTCAAGGTGAGCTTAACTTACCCTATTTTAAATTGTAACTTCCATTTGCACTCATGGTTCCCCTCCCCATGATGTATTTTCCCCATAACTTTCTCTTTTCTAACAAACTCTTGGTTGACTTTAGTGTTTTACCATCGAATTCCTCCTAATAGTATGGAAGCTCCATGGCAACAGGATTTTTTTTTCTGTTTTGTTTCTGTATTTCCAATTGCTTGAATAGTGCTTGACATGTGGTCATATCTCAATAATTTTTTTTCAGCAAATAATTGAATCTACATGTGATCTTGCTGCAAATTAAGTTCAAAATAAACAAAGACATGTTTTAGGGAAGAAGTACTTGAACTCTTCTGTGGGTTACAGAATCACATTAAAATGAATGGGTAGAACACAGATACTTATTCAACTGGATGTTCATATACTTCCTGTACGAACAAAGCTTTGCCTAAATTACTTTTTAAAACATCATCACAATAGATGTATTAGGAAGATATTCTTCTTTCTCTTTTCCGGATAAAGAAATTAAGTTTTCAAATCACACATGGGGCTGTGGTGTTAAGACTCCAGCTGTGTGTGATTCCTGTCCTATCTGTCTGACTACAAAGCACATACTCTTTTGTGTTACACAGTGTAACTGTCAAAAAATGTAATATCAGAAAAACTTCAGTTTTCAGAAGAGCCCTCTCACACTTTGTGTGGAGGTGGTCTGAATGGTATAAAACACCCTCTTTTTAAGAGTCACAGGCTGGGCTAATAGATATGACTGCTGCTCATGTGGTGACCTTAGACAGCCCTTTTCTCCTCTACAAAGTGAGAAGGTAGAGTTAGATGACTGCCAAGGTCTTCTCCAGCCCCAATGTGAGGACCTTATTGAGCTCTTCTTGACTCAAGTATCCATTGGCCAACGCAAACTTGCCTAAGGCTCAAGGACTCTTCAGTTTCAGAGTGTGAGTGAAGAGGAAAAACACACCCTGACAGACAGAGAATGAGCCACTTTTGTCCCAGCACTGATGAACTCCATCACGGTCACTCAACTGGGGGTGCTGGCATCCTCATCTCAAGCCAGTTTCCTGAAAGTCAAAACTTGGAGATCATCCCACGCCGAGAGCATTTTTTAAGGGGCTGATGAAGCAACAGGGCCGTTCTTCAAAAAAAGGGGATGGCCTAGGTCTGGAAATTACTTCCTTCTTTCAGTAAGAAGGTTACCATGATGGTTAATCAACTGTAAGGTCTTATGAAAATTAATCAGTAGATCCAAGTTGGGCAATATGCCTTGCTTTATGAAATTGATCATGATAGAATGGGAAAACCATGGGATTTACAGTCAAATGCAAGTTGTTATCCTGGCTTCTTGTCATCTTATGAGCTGTGTAATCTTGGGACAAGGTAGTGGACTTCTCAGATACTTCATTTATATATTTTTATAATATATAACGATATTTACCCTGCATGATTTAAAGATAAAATATGTAAAATTAATACATATAAAGCTCCTGACAAAATTTGGCTCAATGAATATTAGGGCATGTTGAGAAACAGTCAATCTGTAGGGATTTTATATGGCAATAATTGTCCATGTGGACACGTCTACCTATCTCTTTTCCACTTCCTCTATATGACCTCTGACCTTCAGCCTCCTTAGAATTTGTAGAGTTGGAAACTGAGCTAGCCCAACGTATCACTGGGGTGAGAGTAAGCTGGAGCTCGGGTTCTGAAATGTCCGTCTGGAATGGGTGAGGCCCTATGGAGAAGAATGACCATGAGCTGCAAATCTACAGAATGGGACAGGGCAGGGGTCCTATGATTACAGATCTGAGATGCCAATAGAAGGGGAGGAGGAAAAACAAGCTGAATGTCAAGGGAACAAAACAAGGATAAGGCTGGAAAGACACCAGAGAGTGAGAAAGTTACAGTCACAGATAACTCTCCAATGTGCTTATAATTCTCATGGTGTTATTTTATAACCTCCTTTTCAAGGTTTTCATGGCGGAGTCAGACCCTCCCCTAATATTTCAGTGACTTCTTTCTTCCTAAGTCCCCTGTGTTCCCTGCCCTCTGAAACTCAGCCTCTTTTATCAGAGAAGTACATGGTCTGACTCTGTAACTTCATCACTTGAAGTAGTAAGGACTATTTTAGCTCCTTGTCCTGATGGGAACCCGGTGTGGCTTTTCCATGGGGAACAAGGCTTCTAGCAAAAGTTGTCCTTTGGGAAATACTTTAACCTAGAATGTTTCTATCTTGCTATATTTAGAGCGAGTACAAGCAGATGTATTCTTATCTTAGATAAGCTGGGTAAGACATGAGCAGGATCTTAATTTGATGTGAATCATTTTTTTCTTTTGATTGTATCTGATCTACATGCCTGTGGGTATGGTTGAGTTCTGATTTACATGGGCTGGGTGGGTTCCTCTATTGTTTTTCTGATGTTCTCCGTGGAGCTCTAAATTTTAAAAGGCATGTCTTAGAGGTAATATGTGGCAAAGATCTCCAAGTCCCCCTACTCTAGTTCAACTGGAGGATTTCACTTATATCCATTCTGTATGATAGCCTTCCATAAACAATTTCCTTGAGAAAAAGGTTTAAAAATCATTGCCCTAAATGGATTCTAGATAGTACCCTCCAGTATAACTTTCTGTGGTAATGGAAATGTTCTACTCTAGCTAATAGGGTAGCCACTAGTCACATTTAGCTATTGAACACTTGAAATACAGCTAAAGTAAATGAGGAACTAATATTTAATATTTATTTATTGAGAAGGAGTCTCACTCTTTAGCCCAGGATGGAGTGCAGTGGCACTATCTTGGCTCACTGCAACCTGTGCCTCCCTGGTCCAAGCAATTCTGCCTCAGCCTCCCAAGTAGCTGGGATTACAGGTGCCTGCCATCATGCCTGGCTAATTTTTGTATTTTTAGTAGAGACGGGCTTCCACCATGCTAGCCAGGATGGTCTCGATCTCCTGAACTCAGGTGATCCGCCTGCCTCAGCCTCCCAAAGTGCTGGGATTACAGGCATGAGCCACCGCGCGCAGCCAATTGTATTTAATTTTAATTAATTTAGATTAAAATGGTCCCCCATGGCTAGTGACTACTGTATTGGGTAGCCTATTTCTAAGAAATGTTGATGGATTTTGCTTTGACTCTGTGAGCAGTCACTGGAGTGTCCTAAAGTGAGGAGGTGTGAAACAACATGGTGTTTAGTGTTCAGGGAAGAAATGCAACTATCTCAGTAGGACTGGACCAAAGGATGATTGTGGATCACAAGGTAGTTGTGGACAGAATGGTAAAGATGAAAGTCAGATTATAGTGGGTAAAGGGATGAATTTTCATAGAGGAAACAAAGGTAATTAAGTCACCTTTTCAAGTAAAAATATAGCAGGTTATATGTTTCAAACATAATCATAACCATGCTTCTCATCCCACATGTTCTTCTTAAGATGTAACTGTGACTCTTTTCCCACTGAGGAGGTGGGGTTTGTGCTCCCTACCCTTGAATGGAGACAGGTTTCTCACTGAAGTGGAGTGACATCAGGTGACTTCTGAGGCTAGATCACAAAATGCCATACAGCTTCCACATGGCTTCCCTGGGACATTTGCCCTTGAAATCTAACTGTCATGCAGAGAGGAAGTCCAGACCTTCCTGTGCAGAGAGACAACATGCAGAGGTAACACGCAGAAATTCCAGCTAACAGCTATGCTGAGGTCCCAGCCCACAGGCGGCCTCAATCCATAGACATGCGCGGCAGGATATGGTTCCAGGTGATTCTACTCCTCCAGCTGCAGAGTCAACCCTCCTCCCCCATGCTTCCCCTAACAATTCAAATCTTTCCAGCCAAAGTACCAGACATTGCAAAGCAAAGACAAAACCTCTCCAATCTGTCTTGTCTGAATTCCTTACCCACTGAATCCAGGAGCATAATGAAATCTGTGTGTGTGTGTGTGTGTGTGTGTGTGTGTGCGCACACGCGCTGAGGCCACTGCATTTTGGGATTATTTGTTACACAGCTGTGGTAACTAGACCTTTAATGTGCTTAGAATAATCGAGGGAAGGTAATTTTAAGCCATGTCTTCTTTTTGGCAGAAGGCAGTCTAACTCATCCTGAAAATCTTCCCATTACTCTGTGAGTTCCAAGCAAGGAAGAATGACAAGATAACAGAGGCAAGAATGAGAGTGAACATTCTTGGGCTTGGAGAAAGTGTGTAGTCACTGGTCCCTTTGCAATGAAAAGGGATTCTTCCTCCTCTCAGGCGGGTGGGAGGGAAGAGAGCAAGCAGGAAGGCATGGGGGAAAGAAGAGAAAACTCCTTTGGGAAGGTGGTACAGCCACGGATGGAGAACTCAAGCTTTGCGTCACACAAAACTTGGTTAGAATCTTGACTAGCAGCGGCTGCGTCATCTAAAACCTCTGGACTTCAGTTTTCTCATCTTTAAAACTGGTATAGTAAAATATATATATCACATTATGTATTGTGATACGTATATGTGAAAGTGCTTTATACATTACAAAGGGTCATACACAAATAGTTCTCAATATACTTAGAAGAACAAGACCTGGCACTTATGAATATTGCAGAATGAATATGTCAACTACTATTGATATACAGAATAGTGCCTTTTCTTAGTTTACCAACTCTTACAATAAATCAGTACCTCCCATATCTTAGAATTAAATAAGTAACTACAGATAGGGATTTGACTCATCTTATTTTTTTCTTTAAAAGCTATGAACAATCATCTGTCAAGGAATTAGTTTTAAAAATTCAGAACGAATTACAGAGAATTGAAGTCAACTAAGACGTCTGACTCAATTGTTCATACAAGTGATAAAGTGGAAACAAAACAATTGGAGTGGGCTTGTTCTTCATGTGGTGTAATTCACCAAATTCTGGAGTCAGTTAAATTGGAAGAATAGAAATGTGAGATTTGTGCTTATATTTTTTGTTTAGTTTTTGCAAAACAAAACAAATCTGTGTATTTATGATATTGTATTTCTGAACTGGGTGGGGGGGCTCCAATCTTTTATTTCCACTTATTTTCTATACACGCCTTTGAAAGTAGCTTGGTTTTGTATATTGTATACAAAGGCAGAGAAGGGCGGCCCGCTTTCCTTCCTCGCCTCCTCCCACCCAGCCTCTAAATAAGTGTGAGCTAGTCACTACCATACATGTGGGTGGTAACTCTGTTCTTGGTTCAGGGAGAAAAAGAAGCACAGGCAAGTAAGAGAGGCTTTTTAGCAAGTTGTGGACTTGAAATCTTGCATCTGTAATAATCCAGGGAAAATGTTAACAAAGTCAACAATGGTTAACATATAATAGAGACAATCATACTTGGTAATTGCTACATGGTGTTTTGCACAGAGAAGGCACCCATTGCAAACTCTGTAGCCATTTTGTGAAAGGCTTAATTTCTAACTGTGAATGCCAAGTGATACCTGGAGTGGCAATGTTTTTTTGTTTTTTAAATAATTTTTTGCTTTCCTTATGCTTGCTCTTCAGAATTTCTGCAATGATTTCAGAAATTAGAGCATTTAAAAATGCATATCATGGACGGTAAAGAAAAAACACCTGATAATAAATATTTGCAAAACATTTTCAAAACTATATATTTTCGTAATTGCTGACAGTCTTGTGATATATATAATTTTATGAGGTATCAATAGGGGAAAAAAGGAAATCTAACTCAATTTGGATGTTTGATCTATTCCCATTGAACTTTGCTTGCTCAAATTTTATTTATTTATTTATTTTTAAATTTGTATTTATTTATTTTGAGTCTGAGTCTCGCTCTGTTGCCCAGGCTGGAGTGCAGTGGCCCGATCTCGGCTCACTTCAAGCTCCACCTCCCAGGTTCACACCACTGTCCTGCCTCAGCCTCCTGAGCGGCTGGGACTACAGGCGCCCGCCACCACGTCCTGCTAAGTTTTGTAGAGATGGGGTTTCACCATGTTAGCCAGGATGGTCTCGATTTCCTGACCCTGTGATCCACCTGCCTTGGCCTCCCAAAGTGCTGGGATTACAGGCGTGAGCCACCACGCCCGGCCTCAACTTTCATTTTAACATGTACAAGCATTGTCCTATGAGGTACTCTTTTACTTACTACCATTAAATTGATTTAGTAGCTCTATTCCCTACTATTCAAGCCTATGGGTTCATTGGTGACTACTTTTTGCCACCACAAAAAGACAAAGTAATAATCAAAGGGCTGCAACATTCTCAGATGTCATCTATATTTACAGATATTGGAAGTAGACTAAGTCATTTAGCAATGCAGGAAGTACTGAGGGTCTCGGACTCAGACAATAATATCCGTATTTCGTGAAGGGGCTTCCTTTTGCCTTCTGTCTTGGCATGAGAAAATAGAAATGTTGCCTTTGGCCCTGGAATCTTTATGAACATATTTCTTGAGAAGTATCAGGGATATTGAGTAGAGTCAACTACTATGCGTTAGTGTCTGCGCATGTGTTCAGTAGGTGTATTGACTAGGTATGAGGCTGAATGGACACTTTAAGTATCTTTAAGAATTGTGGCCGGGCATGGTGGCTCACACCTGTAATCCTAGCACTTTGGGAGGCTGAGGTGGGCAGATCACCTGAGGTCAGGAGTTCGAGACCAGCCTGACCAATGTGGAGAAACCCCATCTCTACTAAAAATACAAAAAATATAAAATTAGCAGGGCGTGGTGGTGCATGCCTGTAATCCCAGCTACTCAGGAGGCTGAGGCAGGAGAATCGCTTGAACCTGGGAGGCAGATGTTGTGGTGAGCCGAGATTGCGCCATTGCACTCCAGCCTGGGCAACAAGAGCAAAACTCCATCTCAAAAAAAAAAAAAAAAGAATTGTATTTACTGAGCATCTATTATACTCCTGAGTCTACTACATTCATTATCTCTTGTATTTCTTAAAACTGCTTTTAAAGTGAAACATATCCTGTTGTACTAATAAGGAAACCAAGCTTCAAGGAGACTAAATAATTTATCTTAGTTTAAATAGATAATAATTAATAGAGCCAGAAATCTTAAATCTGTCTGACTGATCTGCATATATAAATAGAAATCAAATTGACTGAGCAATCTTTGCACATTAATACTATGGTGAACTACAAATATCTATAGTGCAACTGGCAGAATACTAGCTTTCCAAAGATGCCCACAGTCAGATCCCTGTGAATACGTTACAGTCTATGGCAAAGGAGACTTTGCAGATGTGATTAAGGTTATAGATTTTCAGGTAGGGAAATGATCCAGGTGGACTCAACCTTATCACACGAGACCTTGAAAGCAGAGTGCTTTTTCAGTTTGAGGTCAGAATGCAACAGAAGTCAGAGAGATTTAAAGTGTGAGGGAGACTTGGCCCACCATTGTAGAAAGGGTACCCTATGGAGAGCATGAGAAGGTAGACAAACAGCTTCTAATAGCAAAGATGGGCTCCCAGCTGACAGCCAGCCTCCAGGAAACGGGACCTCCAGGGGTACAGTTGCACAAACTCAGTTCAGCCAGCAATGTGAAGGGCTTGGAAGTAGATTACTTTCCAGAGCTTCCAGAAAGGAGTACAGTCCTGCTGGCACCTTGGTTTTGGCCTTGTGAGATTCTAAGCCGAAGACCCAACTAAGCCATGCTGCACCCAGACTTGTGCCATACAGAACTGTGGGATAATAAATAGTTCTTGTTTTAAACTGCTGCATTTGTGGTAATGTGTTATGGCAGCAATAGAAAATGAATACATGAAATCTGAGATTTGGGTGAGTGTGTTTGCGTGCGTGTGTGTGTGTGTATCCACTACATTTTTACATTTAAATGCAGTCAATGAAATATCCATAGAGTCTTTTCTCATTTCCTCCTAGTAATACAATTCTAAGATTCCATTTTACCTTTATGTAATTTTAGCTCAAAAAGCCCAAAGGCTGTAATTACTGAGGAGGGATAATAAGGTATCTAATATATGCTACCTAAAGAAAATTGGACATGTTAATTTTCATGGAGAATCTCCAGTGAATTTCCCAAGAAATTTCGTTTTCTAGCACCTTTCAGCCCACAGCAATTTGCATTTTGGGAATTTGTAGCTGGAACAATCAAGAGTGTGATGGTTACACAATCATTTTTCAATGAAAAGTTCATCACTGCCTCACCTGCAGTGGGATGCAAGGAACTCAAGACAGCCTATCTTTCTGGAAAAGTAACTGTCCAGTTTTGGGATTAAATGATAACCTTGGCTTCATTGACTACTTCTGGCCACGTGGGAGCTACTTCCCCTCTACCTTTGTCCTTTCTCCCATGCAGTCTTGTACTGAAGATATTTGTGCAACTTTACCTCTTCTTCTACATCATATGCTTCTTGGTAGCAGAGAGTGTCTCTCCCAGTTGTGTATATGCCTGCAAGAGCCTAGAATCTGGCCTTTTGGTAAATGCAAGGCAACTTATATAAAATATTGAATGCTTTGCCCATGCAGCCATCCAGTTCTCTTACTATATGCCTTTGGCTTTGCTAGTCTCTAGGGATGCGTTGATGAATCTGAGATATGTTTTCTGCTCTCAAGGCTGTCTCAGGTAAATGAGGGCACAGATGCAAAAACAAAAGTTTATGACCCAATGGGACAAGTGTTATAACTTGTGAAAATGCAGAGTGTTTAAAGCACAGAGAGAAAGAATCGCTACTTACTAGAGGGAGAAGGGACTGTCATCTAAGGAGTTGCAGCAGAAACAAAATTCAAGCCTCACTTCGTATCTTAAAGGATGAAGAAGTAGGAGCCACGAAGCATAAATGGACATAGCCTGAGTAGTTTGGTGAACATAGGGAAGTGGTAGGAGATGAACAGATTTTGGGGCATGAGACTTTATGCTGAGAACCATAGGACTGGAGAGATAGGGCCGTATCTACACATCAAAATCTAGATGGATGGAACCAGGTGGCTGTGCAGGAAAGATCCAAGGGAAGCCAGAGGGGTCATGAGAACCACTGGGGAGCTGCTGCCGTATTGTAAGGGAAGAGATGGAAGCTAAATACAGGTTGGTGACCGCAAAGCCAAAACAGAGTATTTGTGGCCAGGCATGGTGGCTCATGCCTGTAATCCTAGCACTTTGGGAGGCCAAGGTGGGCGGATCACAAGGTCAAAAGATTGAGACCATCCTGGCCAACATGGTGAAACCCTGTCTCTACCAAAAATACAAAAATTAGCTGGATGTGGTGGTGCGTGCCTGTAGTCCCAGCTACACGGGAGGCTGAGACAGGAGAATCACTTGAAACTGGGAGGCAGAGGTTGCAGTGAACCAAGATCACACCACTGCACTCCAGCCTGGCGATAGAATGAGACTCTGCCTCAAAAAACAAAACAAAACAAAACAAAACAAAAGTGTTTGCCTTCAAAAGAATTGTGGTGTGAGGAATCTAGATATGTAGGTGAGAATCAACAGGAAAATATTAAATTTTCAATGGGAAAGTATAATTAAGCATTTTGTTTGGTGACACAAAATAAAAGATGCCAAGCAAAGCCGTGGCTATCTTTATTGAATTCAGCTCAGTTTAATGGAAACTCCTTGGTGATTGAAATAAACCAATTCTGTCTATTATAAAAACAAACAAACAAAAAGGGACACCCCTGTTTTACCTGAGCTTCTCAGTGCCAACAGAAGCGAATGCATTAACTGAAAGCATTCAGAGACCAGAAACAATGTGCATTGGCTGGAAATGAGCTAAGAGCTCTCCACTGAAAGGATTTGCTTTCACCGCCACCATTAGGAACTTGCTCCTGAGTCAGAGTGAATGTGAATTTGAATAGAAACTCATTGTACCTGAACATGATCTCTGGATGGGTTTTACCACAACCAAGATGAGGATGAAAAGGGGATATCTGAAGATTGCAATGAAAGGATAGGAATAAAAACAACAACAGGAAAAATTTATGGCATTGCAGGTCAGATCTGACCAGAATTCTGTTTGTGAAAGTAATTCTATAGAACCCAGTGAAAGTGGAGAAGAGGGGACCGAGCTTCCTGCTCTTGGGCTGTTTTATAGTAAATGATCTATATTAGTACTTGATTTTTTAAGTATTATTCATAACGGACTAGCTGTACCTTTAAATGTTTCTTAAACCAGAAAAAAAAGATGTGTTCCTGTAAATAAAACTATCACTCCCACCTGGAGAGTGGGGAAACCACTTCAGTTCCATTTCAAATAAATGTACAAATGAATGAATGACTTCCCAGTTGTCAAGGATCACTAAGAGTTAATTCTTCATGAACATCAGGTATCACCCTCCAAAAAGTGCTAAGACTTTTAAATTACTTCATTTTTTTAAAGCATGATTTTAAATTTCCTAGTTGATAGAATGTGTCTTCTTACAAAACAACTTACAGCTCTTTTTCTCCATATTTCAAGGCTCCTTCGATAATTTTGCTTGAAGTTTTGTTTGAAAATCATAAAAGTTATGAAGTGGTAAAGGTCTCAATTACTACTCAGTCAAAAAACAAACCCAGATACCACTTTAGTTATTTTGAAAAGAAAGAATTTAACATAGAGAATTGGTTTCAAAGGTACTGGAAGAAATGAAGGAGCAGAAAGGGAAGGTTAGGTAAATAATTCTTAAAACTCAACAATAGGAAAGAAAAAAACCTGATTAAAAAATAGGCAAAGGATCTAAACGGACACCTCATCAAAGAAGATGTATAAATAGCAAATAAGCATATGAAAAGATGTTCTGCATATAACATTGTGGAACTGTAAATTAAAACTGTAACGAGAAACCACTACACACCTATTAGAATAGTGAAAATTCAAAACATTGATGACAAGTGCTGGTTAGAATGTGGAGAAACAGGAACTCTCATCTATGGCTGGTAGGAATGAGAAATGGCACAGACAGTTTACAACACAGTTTAGCAGTTTCTCTCAAAGCTAAACGTACTCTTAACATAGGATCAATCTAGCAATCATACTTCTTGGTATTTACCCAAAGGAGCTGAAAACGTATGGTCACACAAAAATCTACACATGAATGTTTAAAGCAGCTTGATTTATAATTCCTAAAACTTGGAATAAACTAAGATGCCCTTCAGTAGGTGAATGGATAAATTGTGATGTATCTAGACAGTGGAATATTATTCAGTGCTAAAAAGGTGAATGGATAAATAAATTGTGATATATCCAGACAATGGAGTATTATTCAGTGCTAAAAAAAAAAATGAGCTATCAAGCCATGAAAAGACAGGGAGGAAACTTAAATGCATATTAAAAAATGAAAGAAGCCAATCTAAAAAAGTTACATATGTATGATTCTAACTATATGAAATTCCAGAAAAGGCAAAACCATGGCGACAGCAAAAAGCTTGGTGGTTGTCAGGGTTTACGAGAGAGGGAGGGGCTGTGAGCGGTGACTCACGCCTGTAATCCTAGCACTTTGGGAGGCCGAGGCAGGCGAATCATGAGGTCAGGAGTTCGATACCAGCCTGGCCGATATGGTGAAACCCCGTCTCTACAAAAATACAAAAACTAGCCGGGTGTGGTGGCATATGCCTGTAATCCCAGCTACTCGGGAGGCTGAGGCAGGAGAATCGCTTGAATCCGGAGGCAGAGGTTGCAGTGAGCCAAGATCGCACCACTGCCCTCCAGCCTGGGCGACAGAGTGAGACTGTCTCAAAAAAAAAAAAAAAAAAAAAAAAAAAGAGGGAGAGAAGGACGAATAGGTGGGTGGAGCACAGAGGATGTTTTTGGCAGTGAAATTACTCTGTATGATGCTGTAGTGGCAGATATATGTCATAGTACATTTTGTGAAAACCCACTGAATACATACCACCAAGAGTGACCCCTAATGCAAACTACAAACTTCGGATGATAATGATGTGCCAGTGTAGGCTCATCAGTTGTAACAAATGTACTATCTGGTGCGGGATGCTGACGGTGGGGAAGGCTGTGCAAGAGCGTGGACAATGGGTATACAGGAACACTATGTTCTGCTCAGTTTTGCTGTGAACCTGAAACTGCGCTGAAGAATAAAATCTATTTTTACAAAAGCGGGGCGGGGTAGACGACCCCAAATTTGTAACTCTAGGAAGTTGCTACCATTCCTGGGGTTATAAGAAGAAAGTGGAGATGGTTAGGATAATGGTACCCAGAGCCCACAATCACTGTGCAGC
The DNA here is from genome assembly GCF_000001405.40 of Homo sapiens. Classification (NCBI taxonomy): domain Eukaryota; kingdom Metazoa; phylum Chordata; class Mammalia; order Primates; family Hominidae; genus Homo; species Homo sapiens. Next base: position 12,844,428 of record NC_000002.12, read on the forward strand.
CAAGGAACAGTGTGACTGCCATCACCCCTGCTAGAACACTGCAGAAGCCCACATAGTCATGGAAGTCCCCTGCTCTGGGCCAACCAGCACCTTGCTGTTGTTAGGATCATTCTGTGAGGTCAGGCATCCAGGGATTTCATCCAGGGACTGTTGTGCCTCCAGCCCCTGTGGATGCCTTCACCACCAAAGATGCGGCTGGCTGGCAGACAGAAGGAATCTAAACACAGCGCGACCTCTCCCAGCCTTCCAATCTGCAGGCAGCGCCCCAGCTTGGCAGGAGCTAATGGAAAGCCAGCTGGAACTGGAACCCGGAATTGTAATTTGCAGACTTTCAGCTCTCCGCAGAGGAGAATTTGAAGGATTGGAACGGGGCTGAAAGCACACAATCAGTAAGGTCAAAGTTTGCGAGGATCTCTCCCTTTTTATTTCCGTTATTCTTATCCCTTCCAGACTCAGACTAAAAATTAATCAAAAAAATAAAAAGATTGGGGTAGCCACCACTGCCTGAGGGCCCACGATGCCTGCTGCCTTTTAAGTATTTTGCATTCATTATCTCAAATTTTTATAGGAAGGTAGACTTTGTTTTTACTTTTAAATCTTCATTAAAAGGGAAACGGTGACTGCAAGAAATTAAGTCACTTCACCAAGGTCAAAGTGCTCTTAAGTAGAAAATGGGGTAGGTGATCTGCCTTTCATCTGACATCAGGTTCTGTGCTGTTTTCATAACTTTCATAGCTCCAACCTAATCAGACACAGAATCTCATCTTTTTAAAAATATTTCCTAATGTTGTCACAAGAGTAGCTCCTGTTAAAAGATGTAAACAAAGACTAGCAAAATCAAAGCCACAGAACAGTAGTCTTGGGTGCAGTTATTTGGCTATCGACTCCCTTTTTCCCTGGAAACTTTAACTTAATCTGACTATTTTTTCTCCCACCCAATATCGAGGGAATAGGTGACTAAAAACCTATATCAAAGAAATGAGAATGAGTTAACCCAGATTCGGTTGATTGCTATTAGCAGTTACCTTTACTTCCTTTTCTACCTTAGTCCATCCACACACCCAAGGCCAAATGTCTAAAATTCCCTACACGCACAAAACGGGCCCGTTGCTCTGCTGGGGTTCTTGCCCTTCACTACAGGAAACATGGGTAGGTCTTCTCAATTAAATAGATGCATATGACACTGAAGGTACAGCGAGGGACATTGGATGTGTTGGAAAATCCTGTAGTTCTATGGAAGAGGGCTCACTCAGCACATGAGTCAAAGACTTGCCGAGGGTGTATGAGGAAATTTTGCCACTAAATAGCAAAGGTCACTCTGCAAAATCCTGCAGGGGCTGGCATTTTTGGTTTCATGTATTTGTATGGTATGAGAAGAAGAAGGAATGAGTAGGGTGTGTGAATGGTTCTTTATAGTGGGCTATTGTGACTGTTTTAGAAGGAGGCTAAGAATGAAAGAAATGTATATAATGCATTAGCTAAGGCCCTGATTAAAATGGGTGGAATATTTGTGTTTCGTGTGGGTGAGAGAGGCATGGGGCTTTTTTCTTTTATTTACCCCTCAACCAGTGTCACTGCGAGACCTGAGAACTTCAGATTTCTATTTCCTTTCAACCCCAATGTCCCTATCTGGCAATGGCAATATGTATTATGTTGCTCCATTTAATTCATGCAACATTACTGATCTCTTTCTATCCAATTTACACAATGTTATACGTCTCTTTCTCATTATAAACTACTGTGGAGTTATAAAGTTGGATAAAGCAACTTGCCTGTCCTCAAAGAGCTTATAATCCTAGTAGTGGAGAAAAAGAGGGATGGCACAAAAAATTATGTTGCAAAATAAAACAATGAAAGTGCCACAAAAGAGAGGAGGAGAAATGAAACCGTCAGCTGCTAAGAATTTTATACACCAGACACTTTTATAGGGTGTCTCATTTAAACCTTATGGCATCCATTAATGTAAATAGTGTCATATCCTTTTCACAGAAGAGGAAAATGGGGTTCAAATAAGCAAAGTAACTTGTCCAGAGTTGCATAGCGAGGAGCCACTGGAGCTAGGTTTGAGGGCGGGTCTTCTGACCTCCACATCCAGAGTCATACTACTTCCAACATAGTGCTCCAAGATGAAATAAATGACAGAAATTTCACCTAGAAGGAGGAGGCAGGGGTTGAAAGTGGGAAAAGGAAAATGCTGGAATTCAACCCATTTGAGACAAGATTTGAGAGATATGGAGGTTAGAGAGTGAGAGGCAGGATGTTCCAAGAAGAAGCAGCAGCAATGTGAGTAAAGAAACAGATTTTAAAGGACTCATGCAGAAGGCCTATTTAAAAGGAGCACAGGGTCCTGTTTGAAAGAACCAGCAATGTGAAGACCAAAGTCCAAAGAGTAAGAACCGAGGACCGGCCCAGAACAAAGAAGAGGGCAGCAGTGGGAAGAAGCGAGGGATAGAATCCATTTGAGGCTGCCTAGAGAAATTCTACAAGCCAAAGGGTCGTGATGAACTACATCTGTTCACATTTATTCTCATGTTTTCTGTATGGTGGCCATTTATATTTCTCTTCTATTTTTGTCATATTAAGTCCATAGTTTTGGAAATTGAGAGTTCAAAAGATAAACAAATGCCCAACTTGTTTTGTCCATGGAATGTAATTTAAAAATCTACCTCCCTGGGCCATCAGTCTACTGATTGTGTTGAATATGGCAGGTGAGAGGAATTATAATGGTATCCCCTCACCTCAAATTTTATCTGTGATGAGATTCGGACCAAGAGTCTAGCCCCAAACAATACAGAGCCTTAATAGTGAGCCTGTTTGGGATCCCAGGCCTTCTAACACCAGATCTAATATACTTTGAGGTTCTCACCTGGTTTTTCATTATAAAAACAAAGTCATATATAGTCATGTGTCCCTTAATGACTGGGAAACGTCTAAGAATGGCATCCTTTGGTGATTTCATTGTTGTGCAAACATCATAAGGTGTACTTAAACAAACCTAGGTGGTATAGCCCACTACACACATAGGCTGTATGGTATAGCCTATTGTTCTTAGGCTACAAGCCTGTATAGCAGGTTACGGTGCTGAATACTGTATGTAATTGAAATGCAATGGTAAGTATAAGTATTTGTGTATCTAAACATGTTAATATAAAAAATACAGAAAAAATATCATATTATGATTTTATGGCACCACTGTCATGTTATCTATGAGGTCCATTTTGACCAAAATGTCATTATGCAGCATATGACTATAGCTTATTTCCGTCCGAAAATGAGCACTGCTTTCTTTGTTTATAGTGCTCTATTTTGGGGGATATTCAGGTGCCTTTCCAGAGCAGATAGAGACAATCAAAGCAAGAGCAGCTTTCTGCATTATAGATGTGCCCTCTGAGGCCTTTGTTTTAGCTGCTGTGATCCAGCAACAGACAGAGATTGTGTGCCCATAGCTGGCTGCGTGTGACAAGGATTGTTCTGTCTCCGGGTGAGAGCAAGGCTTCCGTGAGCTGCCAGTTGGCAGTCCTGACAGCTGCCTATAGCAAAAACATCAGGGATAACATGTAGGGAAATTACTGATTCATCTCCCATGAGCAAATCTCTGCACAGACAACACCAGAAACATTACTGCAAATTGCCCTTTATAATTCTTCACTTTATAATCAAATGTAGGCTTTTAGACATTTTCTGCCAATGAACACCTCGTGTAACACATTAATTTGGGTGGGAGAGATAGATGGAGGCACAGCCCCCTACAGCAGCTGACATAATATGGTATCCAGAGGCACAAGATTGCAGTTTATGTGAAAAACAACTTCATAATAAGAATCATAAGCCTGATGTTCATTAAACCTTCCAGATTATCATACATACAGATGGAATGTTTGCCTTTGAAATGATTTTCTAGGAAAGCCACCACTAAAATGTTTCCACATTCCTCTTCTGTGCATACACCATGTCGCAGTCCTGCCAGGATCACCCCAGCATAACCATCTGCTGCACTATATGGCCCCAGACTGGCAGTTCCAGTGGCCTCCTCTGGACTGGCCAACTGCTTGTCGCTCAAGCCTTGCCCCTGGTGACTCTGCTTTTCTCAAAAGGCATATCCACTCCAGAGGGCTTAGGATTACTGTGAATTTCCTTATTGGTGAGGAGAAGATGGCTCTAGGGTTCTAGATGTGTTTTTCAAGTAGGATTTCCAGCATTTATTTACTCATCCATTGAGTCAATCAATCATACATTCACAAGCATTTTTCATACACTTCTGCCACAGTTTGAATGTCAGCACAAAAACTCACGCTGAAATTTAACAGCCATCTATCTATCTCCCCCACGCAAATTAATGTGTTACATGAGGTGTTCATTGGCAGAAAATGTCTAAAAGCCTACATTTGATTATAAAGTGAAGAATTATAAAGGACAATTTGCAGTAATGTTTCTGGTGTTGTCTGTGCAGAGATTTGCTCATGGGAGATGAATCAGTAATTTCCCTACAATATCAAGAAGTGGGGCCTTTAAGAAGTGAGTGAGCTATGAGGGCTCTCTCCTCATCTCCCCATGAATAGATTAATGCCCTCAGCTCGGGAGTGGGTTAGTTATCTAGGGAGTGAACTTCCTTTTCTTCTTCTTTTTTTTGGGGGGGGGATTGAGTCGCATTCTGTCACCCAGGCTGCAATGCAGTGGCGTGATCTCAGCTCACTGCAACTTCTGCCTCCTGGGTTTAAGAGATTCTCCTGATTCTCCTGCCTCAGCCTCCCAAGTAGCTGGGATTACAGGTGCCCACCAACATGCCAGGCTAATTTTTGTATTTTTAGTAGAGATGGAGTTTTGCCCTGTTGGCCAGGCTGACCTCCAACTCTTGACCTCAAGTGATCCACTCACCCTAGCCTCCCAAGGGAAAGAATTCTCATAGAGGGATAAAGTTTGGTCCCCTTCCTCTCCCGCCGTCTTGCATGTTCACTTTTGCCTTTTGTCCTTCCACCCTGAGATGGGTTCCCTAGATGCCAGTGCCATGCTCTTGGACTTTTCAGCCTCCCGAATTTTGAGTGATAATTGCTTTTCTTTATAAATTACCCAGTCTGTGGTATTCTGTTATAGCAACAGAAAACAGACTGAAGTAACTTCCATGCAGCAGGTGCTGTACCTGGTGCCACTCAGGCACTAGAGACACATGAGGAGCCCACACCAGACAAATTCTCTTTTCTGATTACATTAGAGGAGGGAGTAGAAGTTTTTGGACAAATAATTACTCAAAGGATTCTGTAAGTTCAAACTGTGGTAAGTGACATGAAGAAGAGGCAGGCTCTGAGGGAGATCAACATCTAGATGCAAAAAGAGAGAGGGCCACTTCAAGGACAGGATGATAAATCCAAGAAGGCTGAATAGGTCTTAGCTAAAGGAAGAGTCTGGGAGGGAACCACAGCAGAGAAAATGATGAGAGTGAAAGCTGGGGATGGGGTCTTGAAATACTCATCACACCGAAGAAGGCTGGAGTAAAATGAATGAGTCGCAGTCAAGAAGAGTTTTCTGGAGGATGCTTTGGGGCTTGGCTATCCCTGACCAACAGGGCTTGGTATCATGTTAAATGCTCTTGGATTTTATCAGAAGTGTGAAATTCTTTATCAGAGAAGTGGTGTAATTACATTAGTGTTTTAAGAAGAGTTTTCCGATTGTAGTGTGGGTGGAGACTGTGCTGGTATGTAGAAGGGCAAGTCGGGCACAAGACATCACTCAGGGGGCTGCCATGAACATCTAGAAAGGAAATGAAAGGCTTTGACTAGGGCACAGGCAATGGAATGGAGGGAATTGGATGCAGTTGAGATATATTTTGGACTTAGAAATGTTAGGACTTCGTGATGAACGTGAGCAGGGAATGGCAGGATATTTCAAGGATTTCGGTATCTTCATTCCATTCTCTACATCATAGCCCTAAGTGGGGGTAACATTATTAAACACGTTTTTATAGATAGATAAAGTGCACTTGAAGGTGATGGTCTGAAGCCTTTTGTGACATGAATCCAACTGTTTTAAGGACAATTTTCCTAACAACACCTATGTAACATCCAAAACATCCCAAACACCCTAAGTTCCTGCCACATCCACTTATTACTTATTATCAAAGCTAAACCTATGTTTGCTTATTTTCTCATTGTGACTCTCAGGGATGCCATTCTTTTCTATGCTTTATTCTCTCCCCATTCTGATTAAATGCCTTATCCTTTTTACTGCATATATCTGTGTGTAATACAAGAGTTAGCAGCATGGACTGTGGTCTCAGACTTGATTTCAATCCTGGCTTTACCTCATATTAAGACTTAGGGCAAGTAACTTAGCCCCTTTTAACTCCAGTTACATTACTGATATAATGGGAATATTAATAGGGTATATCTCTGGAAAAGAGTTTGGAGGTTCCTCAAAAAATTAAAAATTGAGCTACCATATGATCCAGCAATCCCACTGTTGGGTATATACCCAAAAGAAAGGAAATCAGTATATCAAAGAGATACCTGCAGTCCTAGGTTTATTGCAGTGCTGTTTACAACAGCCAAGATTTGGAAGCCACCTAAGTGTCCATCAACAGATAAATGGATAAAGAAAATGTGGTACATATACACAATGGAGTACTATTCAGCCACACAAAAGATCCAGTAATTTCCAACAACATGGATAGAAGTGAAGATCATTATGTCACAGAAAGACATATATTGCATGTTGTCACTTATTTTTGGGATCCAAAAATCAAAACAATTGAACTCATGGACATAGGAGAAAGATGGTTACCAGAGGCTGGGGGGCTGGGTGAAGGTGGGAATAGTTAATGGGTACAAAAATAGTTAAAATGAATAATGAATGAGGCCTACTATTTGATAGTACAGCAGGGTGACAACAGTCTATAATAACTTGATTGTACATTTTAAAATAAAGAGTGTAATTAAACTGTTTGTAACTCAGGGGATAAATGCTTGAGGAGATGGATACCCCTTTCTCCATGAGGTACTTATTTCATATTGCATGCCTGTATCAAAACATCTTATGTACTCCATAAATATATACACCTACTATGTATCCACAAAAACTAAAAAGAAAAAAATAGTGTATATCTCATGTGATTGTTCTGAGGATCAAATAAGATAATATAGGTCAATTGTTTAGCATGGTGGCTGGCACATAGTAAACACCCAATGAATATCAGCCATCATCATCACCGAGCCATTACCATCTTTTTTGTAAATAATATTTGCTCGTCTTTTTTCGTACATGACTAGATTGAACATTCGTCATGAAAATGCTTGGGCATTCATTTTGGTATCCCTGACACCTAACACAATGTCTAGAACAGCATAGGTACTCAGAATATATTTTTGAATGAATAAAAAAATAAGGACGCAAAATACTGTATACTTAAGAAAGGGACCAGTTATTCTTTTTTAATCCAAATATTTTAAAAATCATATAACCTAAAATTACCAGGGAGGTGAACATACATCTCCTATTCTGAAAAGCCACTGCATATGGGAAACAGGAAATCTCATTGCATTAATACTTTTTTTTTTTTTTTGAGACGGAGTCTCACTCTTGTTGCCCAGGCTGGAGTGCAGTAGCGTGATCTCGGCTCACTGCAACCTCCGCCTCCCAAGTTCAAGCGATTCTCCTGCCTCAGCCTCCCGAGTAGCTGGGATTATAGGCGTCTGCCACCATGCCCAGCTAATTTTTTGTATTTTTGTAGAGATGGGGTTTCACCATGTTGGCCAGGCTGGTCTTGAACTCCTGACCTCAGGTGATTCACCCGTCTTGGCCTCCGAAAGTACTGGGATTACAGGCGTGAGCCACTGCGCCCCACCCTCATTTCTACTTTTAGAATGGAATTCCTGATTTCCCGTTGTGAACTGAAAAGGAGTTGATTGGGAGGCTGTAATCTAGCGATGGGTGTGGAGGGGGACGGGGCAAGTAGATAAGACTGTCTTAAAAATGAAGATAAACTGTGGCATTCTCCAGAAATGCAAATAAGGCCAGAAAAGCGGAACTATCTTGCCATAAACATTACACTGAATGGCAAGGTCACGAACAATGGTTTTACTTATCTTTCAACAAAAGACTATGCTTAAAACATTATACTACCTGTTGAAAGTGCATGTTTATCCAAACATCATTGGACAATGTCCGATTAATAAATAGGCATTTTCGAACATTTAGCATAAGAGAATATAATACGTTTTGTCATTTCAAGCTCCTTGTTTCTAAATAGAATAGGTCCTAGCAAGGGGAGGGGGCTTTTGTTTTGCCAGATAATGAGGTGGCTAGATAGGCGAGTTTCCAGATAACATTAGAACAGAGCAGAATTGCACGACCTATCATATAGAACAGAAGGATTGGGACTGCCATACTGTTTCCAGAATTGGTGGGTTCTTGGTCTCACTGACTTCAACAATGAAGCCGCGGACCCTCACGGTGAGTGTTACAGTTCTTAACGCGGCATGTCTGGAATTTGCTCCTTCTGATGTTCAGAGGTGTTTGGAGTTATCTTGTTTCTGGTGGGTTTGTGCTCTCCCTGGCTTCAGGAGTGAAGCTACAGACCTTCACGGTGAGTGTTACAGCTCTTAAGGCCATGCGTCTGGAGTTTTTCATTCCTCCCAGTGGGTTTGTGGTGTCCTGGGCCTCAAGAGTGAAGCCACAGACCTTCATGATGAGTGTTATAGCTTCTAAAGGCAGTGCAGACCCAAAGATTGAGCAGCAACAAGATTTATTGCAAAGAGCGAAAGAACACAGCTGCCAAGGTGCAGAAGGGGACGAGAGCGGGTTGCCACTGCTTGCTGGGGCAGCCTGCTTTTATTCCCTTTTCTGGCTCCACCCACATCCTGCTGATTGCTCCATTTTACAGAGAGCTGATTGGACTATTTTACAGAGAGCTGATTGGTCCGTTTTGACAGGGTGCTGATTGGTGTGTTTACAATCCCTGAGCTAGACACAAAAGTTCTGCAAGTCCCCACTAGATTAGCTAGACACAGAGCATGGATTGGTGCATTTACAATCCCTGAGCTAGACACAAAAGTTCTCCAAGTCCCCAGTAGATTACCTAGACACAGAGCACTGATGGGTGCATTTACAAACCTTGAGCTAGACACAGAGTGCTTATTGGTGTATTTACAAACCTTGAGCTAGACACAGAGTGCTGATTGGTGTATTTACAATCCCCTAGCTAGACATAAAAGTTTTCCAAGTCCCCACCAGATTAGCTAGATACAGAGTGCTGATTGGTGCACCCACAAACCCCAAGCTAGACACAGAGTGCTGATTGGTGTGTTTACAATCCCTTAGCTAGACATAAAGGTTTCTCCAAGTCCCCACCAGATTAGCTACTTACAGAGTGCTGATTGGTGTATTTACAAACCTTGAGCTAGACACAGAGTGCTGATTGGTGTATTTATAATCCCTTAGCTAGACATAAAGGTTCTCCAAGTGCCCACTAGATTAGCTAGATACAGAGTGCTGATTGGTGCATTTACAAACCTTGAGGAAGACACAGGATGCTGATTGGTGTGTATACAATCCTCCAGCTACACATAGAAGTTCTGCAAGTCCCCACTAAACTCAGGAGCCCAGCTGGTTTCACCTAGTGGATCCTGGACGGGAGCTGCCTGCCAGTCCCACGTGGTGCGCCCGCACTCCTCAGCCCTTGGGTGGTTGATGGGACCCAGCGCCGTGGAGCAGGGAGCAGCGCTCGTCGGGGAGGCTTGGCCCCGTGGGAACACACCGCGGGGGGCTCGGGCATGGCGGGCTGCAGGTCCAGAGCCCTGCCCGAGGAGAGGTGGCTGAGGCCCAGCAAGAATTCGAGCGGCATTGGTGGGCCGGTAGTGCTGGGGGACCCGGTGCACCCTCCACAGCTGCTGGCCCAGGTGCTAAACCCCTCACTGCCTGGGCTGGCGGCACTGGCCGGCCACTCTGAGTGCGGGGCCTGCTGAGCCGCGCCAACCCAGAACTCGTGCTGGCCTGCCAGCACTGTGCGCAGCCCTGGTTCCTGCCCACCCCTCTCCCTCCACACCTCCCCGCAAGCAGAGGGAGCTGGCTGTGGCCTCGGCCAGCCCAGAGAGGGGCTCCCACAGTGCAGAGGCAGGCTGAAGGGCTCCTCAAGCCCGGCCAGAGTGGGCGCCGAGGCCGAGGAGGCACGGAGAGCGAGTGAGGGCTGCCGGCATGCTGTCACCTCTCAATATGAAGACTAAAGATAGAATAAAGAGAGCAGGCAAGGCAGGGAGAGGCTCTGGAGAAGGAAGAGAGAGAATCACCATTCAGCCCCCACTATGGAAAATTTGTGGCACCACAGCAAAGTCTAAGGAAGATTTCAATTTGTTATTGGCTGGGCCAACATAAACCCTCTGCTGGCTCGATGCAATCTCTAGTAAATTATATATTGCTCATGAGTGCTTTTGTGTGAATGGATTATTTTAGGGGAAAGCAACTAACTGAAGGAAACTGGAAAAGACAGTTATTTTTTTCTCTTTTGAGAAAGTAGTAAGACACATTTTTAAATGAGAGGAAACAAGAGATTACAGGGTTTAATGCTTCCCAAGCAAAGAAAACTCTATGGGTTTCTTTATAAGGAGAAAGAAATAAGAAAAAGAGATAAAACAAAAGAGAAAAACTATATATGTGCACATTAATCATCATCACATTTGTTCTCCTTAAGATCAGTTTTTTAATAAGCTATCTGTACTGGTAGATTACATAGGGAAAGAAAAATCCGCATGCAAAATCAGTGAGAAATGATGAAAGAACATTGACCATCACACTGGCCTGAAACGTAAGATCCTCTCCTTTGGTGCTGGACTAACTGTGAAGGAGTTGGTTACTAAAAGAAAGAAAAATTCTAATGGATATTGTTGTGAAAAGCAAAGTTATATTAAGATACTCTGATGATATAACAATGAAGCCTTAGTGAGAATCCTGTGAGTTCCTGGATATAGGGCTAATCGTCCCATTTTTTACCCACTGTAATCCATTTTTACTGATGGGTTCATTTTTATTCTCTTGCTAAATTGCTTGATGAATATTTTAAATATCCTGCCTGGGTATCTTGGTTTTAAAGCTTATTTTATGTCAAGGTACAATTTCTCAAGTTACTTGGGATTTGGGCCCCTTCTTACTTTCCCTTGTCACATCTTTTTTAGCCCCAAGGGTTTTGACATTAAAGTGACATCTAACACTCAGCAAATTAGGGTTGTCTAGTTTCACTATTAATGTTGCCTACCTCTTATGCTTCTCAAGATAACACACACACACACACACACACACACACACACATTCATGAATCAGATAATAAAGGATGCAAGTAGAGACAAGGCTCACCATTTGACCCCTACTTCTTTGAAGTAGTTAGAACATTTTACTTGCAAGTGACAGAAACCCAGTTCAAGCTGCCAAACCAAAACCAAACTGAAAAAAAAAAAAATAGACTTTTGAACTACCAAGGTAGGCAAGACTGCATACAGATCAGGTTCTTCCCTGTGGCAACGCCATCTCCATAGGGGCTATTTGGAAACACATGAGGGTGCTTTATCACAACTGGGTGGGGGGTGGCGTTCAGGGCATCTGCCAAGGATGTGCAGGTGGGGCAGTGGGCAAAACATCCCACCCAAGGAGGATTTTTAAAAAATTTACCCAGAATGACAGTAGCTCTCCCTTTGAGAAATCTGAAGCAGGTGATGAAAGCATTTCACCAAGAATCTCTCTTGGTTCTGCTTTGCTTATGTGATGATGGCTGTATTCTCAGGTGGGGTTACTGCAGGTATTGGCAAAATAGCCACCTACAGCCTCAGGCTACCCTTTTAGCGATGTCCACAGAGCAACAGTTCTTCCTTCCCATTTGCTTTAGTAGGGAATCCTGATTCCATTGAGTAGGATTGGTCCTACTTGAGTAATTTATAAACCTGGAGAGTGGAGGGATTCAGTGCTGTGGCTGGCCGGACTTGGGACACACATCTTTCTGTAGAGACCGGGGGTAGGGGTCAGGCTAACCCAACACACAAGCCTGAGAGGGATGGAAGAAGTTCCCAGAGAGATGAAGGGATGTTAGCAGAGAGGGGAACAGACAGCAGATGGGCAAATACAAAACATGTCCATTGTCTGTATGGTCTAATTTCCTGAACATCTCTTCAGTCACCCCACATTTCAGGATTCCCTAATATACCAGACCCATATACCTCAAGTTTTTGTACTAGATTGTTCTCTTGTCCTCAGATGCCTTTCCTCATCTCTTTTTGTTTGTCAAACTTCTACTTATGCCTCAGGACTGAAATATCACCTCTTCTGTGGAGCTTCCTTTTTAGCTGTCCCTACTAAACTCGTACCTCCCTCCTCTGTGCACGCATAGCATTTTGTCCATGAAAAGAAGGAATTGAATTAATTAGCAAGGATAAGGAGCTGAACAATCCACATCCTTTTTGGAAATGGAAAGCAGATGATGCTGTATTAGATAAGATCAAACAACATCAAATAAACAAATGTTTATTGAGTGTGTACCATGCACAAGGCTTTCCAAGCAGAACCTTGCTGATTGTGTGTGTGTGTGTGTGTGTGTGTGCACGTGTGCTTGCAGATGCTTAGAATCACAGGCTTTTATGATCTGGGTTTCTTAAACCTTATCTGGTTCAACCACTTCCTTATTCAGATCAGGTAACTGAGGCTGAAGTGGGTTTCTTTCTAGCTCTAAAAAGTATATGATCTGAGTCACTAAAAGGAAGGAAAGGTTGGCCCAATTCTAGGCCAAAAAACCACAGCTATGTAGCTTAAACTTCCTGTTTTAAATGCCATGCCAGGATAAAATTCTTGTCTACAGGGTAACAACCACTCCAGAGAGAGAATCAAAATTAACACCAACCTCTTTCTTTCCCCTGCCTCTTTCTCTCTCTCAATTTCTCTCTCTTTCTCTCTCGCTTCTCTTTCTCCCTTTATTTCTCTGTTGCCTCTCTTAAGGAGACATAGGAAACTAAGAGGACTGAGTGGCAGGGCCAAGGCATTGGGAGCACGATTCATACTTTTTTTTCTATCTTGCTGATGTGTTTATAGAAGTACACTATTTATGACTCAGTACATAGTGAAGAGACATAACAAATTTTTCTGGGAATTCAAAATATGCAAACAGAATATGTATCAAATGCATGAGAATTATGGGGACATATGTTTTAAAACAAAGGGATAAAGGTGCCTACTCTTTGTGACAAAGTCCCTTCCATGTTTATGACAATGTCTGCATAGCCATTCTCTTTTGAAGAAGCCAGAATTGGCTAGAAATAGAATTGCATGAACCCTGTCATATTCAAAATGGAAAGTAGATATTTATTTGCATTCCTGCCAGGGATACTCAGGCACAAACATATAGAAATATTTCCATAAAATATGGTTTAAAAAAAATGCCAAGGCCCATCCTTCCCACTGCCATTGCCCCTGTTGCCTGCAATCCCAACTCTGCATTCGGGCTCTCTCCAGGTTTTGCCCCACTAATCACTCTTCCACCTGCTTCCTGGTGCCTTTAGATCTTTTTTTCAACATATTATACCCAGGTTCAAAAATGGCCTTATAAAACGTCATCCTGCCTCCCCAGCCTAGCATCAGGGCCTTCTTCCTTGACTCAGACCATCCATAAACTGTTCAAGCATGTTTGATGTATATGTAGCATGTGTCTGGCACTGCTCCAGGGATCAGGTCACTAAACTGAACAAGAATGGGCATATATTCCAGTGGAAGTACCTAACAATAAACAAGTAAATAGGCAAGTGAAGAAAATGAAATTAGGTAATGTGATAAGAAGTGGCCAGGGGCAGTGTAACAACCTGAGGATATCTGGCAAAGGTCACTCTCAGGAAGTGATATTGAGACCTGACTAATAGAAAGGAGGTAATTTCTGGGGACATCTGAGGATGATCTCTCCAAGCAGAAGGAGAAGCAAAGACAAATTTCCAGAGTTGTGGAAGAATTAAATATGTTTGAAGAATAAAAATGTAAAACAAGGTGATATGGTGGAGGGCAGTTAGTAAGCTAAAGAGGTGAGCAAGAAGTCTAATCATGACATGTCTTAAAACCACAGAAAAAGGAAGTGTTGGTTTTATTGGAGGACCATAGAAAGTTATGATCCACTTTTCAATCTGGGAGGAACATGATTGCCATTTTTAAAGAGTTTACTTTGGCCTTTCTGTGGACAATAAACTGAACGATATCCTCACCCTCATATATTCACACCATGGTGTAATCCTCTCTCCTTGAGAGTTGACTGGACCTACTGACTCACTTCTAATTAACTGAAAACAGCAAATAAATGAGATATCTCTTCTGATATTAGGTTGTGAAAAGACTTTGGCTTTCATCTCTCTCTTTCTCTTATTCTCTCTTTTCCTCTCCTGGTCCTTCTCTTCCTTTGCTCTGTCATACATGCACATATGGCAGGTTTCATGTTGTGAGCTGCCCTATGGAAAGGCTTACCTAACAAAGAAAAAAATGTCCCTTCCTAACAGCAGTCTACAATCACTGCCCACAGCCATGTGAGTGAGCCTGGAAGTTTTATTAGTTGGCTGGGGCTGCCATAACAAAATACCACACACTGAATAGCTTAAACAACAGAAATTTATTTTCTCTGGAGACTAGAAATCCAAGGTCAAGGTGTTGCCAGGGTTGGTTTCTCCTGGGGCCTCTCTCCTTGGCTTACAGACATCTGCTTCTTACTATGTTCTCACATGGCCTTTCCTCAGTGCATGTGAGCCTCTCCTGTCTTTCCCTCTTCTTATAAAGGCACCAGTCATAGTGAATTAGGACCCCACCCTGTGGCCTCATTTGACCTTAATTACCTCTTTAAATGCCCTATCTCTAAATACAGTAACATTCTGAAGTATTATAGGTTAGGGCTTTAACATATGCCTTTTGGGGACACAATTTGGCCCATATCAAAAGCAGATCCTCCCTTAATTGAGCCTGAAGATAACTACATTACAGTGACACTTCAGTTTCTAACCTTGTGAGAGACCCTGAGTCAGAGCTGCTCCACCAAGCCATGTCTAGTTACTACCCCATAGAAATATGTGAGATAGAAATTAGGTATTGTTTAAGCAGCTAAGTTTGGAGGTAATGTTTTACACAGAGGTAGATAACTAATAACAGATATTGGTATCAGGAGTGGGATGCACTTTAAAGATATCTAAATATGTGAAGTTGGCTTCAGAAACAGGCAGAAGGTAGAGACTGAAAGGATTTTGAAGAACATGTTACAGAAATCCTAAATTGCTTGCACTAACAGATTGTTAGTGCAAATATAGACTTTGAAGATGTTTCCAGTGAGGGTTCAAAAGGAAAAGAGGAACATGTTATTAAAAACTAGAGGAAAGGCAATCCTTGTTTCTTTGTTATGTAGTGGCAGAAAGCTTAGTAACACTGTCACCTGAAGTTATGTGGAAAGCAGATGTTTGTAATGAACTTTTTCATTTAGCTAATAAGCTTTCCAAACAAAGCGTTTAAGGTATTGCCTGTTTTTATTTTGCTATTTAAAGTAAAAGGTAAGAGGAGAGAGATAAATTGAGGAAACAACTATTAAACTTAAAGGAGCCAGGACTGGATGGTTTAAAAATTATTTAGCTTTTTCAGACACCAAAAGATGCCAAAATTAATACATGGCTTCCAAGCAAAGTTCAGAACCATAGCACTGCCAGGAAAATGTAATCTACAGGTAAGGCTGAAAGTGGGACTGTCAGGCTTATCATTAGGATGTCTGAAAGATCAAGTGTGGCACCTCAAAGTATCCATCACATAAAAATCCATTTGAAGAGATCAAGGTTGCACATCACAGAGCCTGTCAACTTGACACAGGGCAGGCGGGCTGCAAAATTGGGGCTTAGCCTGAGAGGGTTCTTGGCTTTGCCCAGGAAAGAATTCATGGGTGAGTTGGTGGTGTTAGATGGCAACTTTTATAGAAGCAGCTGTGCACAGCAGCAGTGGAGGTACTAATCCTAGCAGAGCAGGGCTACTGCATAGGTAGTATGCCTAGAGTAGCAGCTCAGAGGCAGTTCTGCAATCATATTTATACCCACTTTTAAGTATATGCAAATTAAGGGGCAGAGTATGCAGAAATTTCTAGTAAAAGGGTGGTAACTTCTGGGTCATTGGGTCATTGCCATGGAAAGGAGCAGTAACTTCCAGGTGTTGCCATGGCAATGGTAAACTGACATGGCACTGGTGGGCATGTCTTACAGAGAGCTGCTTTTGCCTCTTCCCTGTTTTAGCTAGTCCTCAATCTGGTCCAGTATCTGAGCCGTGCCTCCAGAGTTGAGTACCACCTCCTACCTCAAACTGAACTACAGGGTCTCTAGGAAGCCTAAGGGCATTGCGCCCCAGCCATCTCACCAACAGCCCAAGATAGGAAAAAAAATATGGATCTTAATAAGATTTGTGGGTGTGGCTTTTGTCTAATGAAGAAAATATCAATGATATTTGCAGGATGCCAATTGTTTTTGATAAAACAATATAAATACTGTCAGCTTGAACTGAAAGGATATTGCCAGTATAAAATCAAAAAGTGTTTCTTGGATTCCCCATTAGTTTTCTGGCAGGAAGCAGGCTGATAAAACTACTCTGTTTCAAATATGTGCTAACTTTGACAAAAAAGGAAGGGCGGCTGGGAACAGGGAGGTAAGAGTCCAGAGAATAGAGATGAAAGCCATAGATAATCATTCCCAGAGATTGAGACTTAATTAACAAACTATGACCATTTGCCCGATTAGATATCCTAATTCCTTCTCTGTATTTCCTGTTTTTCCCCTTTGTGAAAAGAGGGTTTATGGTGGCTATCCCTTGTTCATTTCATCATTATCTGTTGGCTGTGTGAGGACAGATAACCTTATAGACTGAGAAGAACTGTACTTGAAGAGAAGTACTTACTGAACAATACCTGAAGGGGTCTCAGACATAAATGAACCTGACCCAAATGATGAGATTCTAGACTCTGAGCTAGTGCTGCAATGGAGTAAGAGTTTAGGGCACCTTGAGAGGCAATATTTTGCATTTGGGAGTGACATGAATCACTGAGAGGCAGAGAGCAGTCTTCTGCAGGCAGCCTCTAAGATGGTTCCCAATGATTCATATCTCCTGGCTTTTATGCCCTTGTGTAATCCCATCCTGTTGAATAAGGACAGGATCTAGTGCCTTACTTGTTGTAAATTGAATATAGTGAAAGTAATGGATGTCATTTAGTAAAAAAGATTGTGAGTTCTGTGTTGCTTTCTCTTTCTCTTTCAATATCAATCTTTCTCCCTTCCACCGAAAACTCTAAGGGCAGGGAGAAGCAAGTTGTCACACTGTGGCTAGCTCTAAGGAGAGGTCCACCGGGCAAGGAAGTGATGTCTCCAGCCACTTACTTTCAGAGAGAAACTGAGCCTGCCCACAGCTGTTGAGAGAGTTGAAAGTGCATCCTTCCCTATTCAAGATGTGGGATGGCTGCAGCCCTAGGGAATATCTTGATTGCAGTCTTTTGAGAGACCCTGTGTCATAAGTGCTTAATTAAGGCAGGCCCGGTTCCTTTTTTCTTTTTTTTTGAGACAGGGTCTCGCTCTGTCACCCAGGCTGGAGTGCAGTGGCGCAATCTCAGCTCACTGCAAGCTCTGCCTCCCGGGTTCACGCCATTCTCCTGCTTCAGCATCCCAAGTAGCTGGGACTACAGGCACCTGCCACCACGCCCGGCTAATTTTTTTTTTTTTTTTTTTTTTGTATTTTTAGTAGAGACGAGGTTTCACTATGTTAGCCAGGATAGTCTCGATCTCCTGACCTCCTGATCCACCTGCCTTGGCCTCCCAAAGTGATGGGATTACAGGTGTGAGCCTCCACGCCCGGCCCAGGCCCAGATTCTTGATCTATGGAATTTATGAGATATTAAGTGCTTGTTTTAAGTCTGTACATTGTTAAGTAATTTGTTATACAGCAACAGATAACTAATGTAGACTGTAACAAGAATAGGAGTGGAAGCAGAAAGACCTGTTAGGAGGCGGTAATTCACCCACCATCAAACATTACAAACACATGTGTCGAATCAGTTACAAAACAATGTAAGATGTTCTCTAGGCTCTGGCTCTTTTTCTCAAGCAGTCTGTTTGATGTGGATAACTCTTTTGCCCAGTTTTGTGTAATACACACTCTACAAAATTTAGGTCTCATGATTCATCTTCTGCTAGCCTTTTTCAACTTCTGTATATAATAATTGAGATATTCAACCTCTACAATACCATAAATCAAGGTATTTCTATATATTCAGTTGTACTTGTGTCTATATCCTGCCAAATTTTGAGCCCCTAACATCTGGCATCCTGTCTTACCCAATTTTGTATCCTCTCAACATGTGTAACAGAGCCAGTTACAGAACAAGTATTTCTGTTGCAATTTTGGTAAGTATAACATCTGTGTAATCTCCAGTGATGTCCCCTCTTATGTTACTGATATTGCTAATAAATTTTGTCTCATTTTCTCTTTATTAATGTAGCTGAAATTTTATAGATTTTATCAATCTTTTAATGCCAAAATACTTTGGTTTATTGTTGTTTTTTCTCTTGCTTATACATTTCTATTTCATTGGGTTCCACTATTTTCTTTCCTTTTTTTTTTCCTTATTATTTGGGCATAACTTGCTCTTTTTTTTCTGTACTCTTAAGGTGAAGCTTAGAACATTGGTTTTAGATCTTTTTTATCATATAATATAAACACTTTAAGGTATAATTTCCTCTAAGCATTGTGAGAAGTCCAACTTCATGCTAAAACCCTACATATGATTCTTCGGGCCTGAACACTGACAATTAAAAAGGCTTCAACTGACACACCTCACAGGGAACAGTTACCATCCCCACAGCAGTCTTGGTACACAGTCAGTGCACTGCAGTTTCTGAGGACATTTGCAGTCCAGAACTCAAGCCCTCTGGGCCCAGTCATACTCATACACATCATGGTATTCCTAGCCCAGGTGCCTCCATTCAGAAAACTTCTTACCATGGGGTTTCAGCTGAGATGCTTTTAGTCACCTGTACTGAGACTTATCAGGGAGACTTGACTAAGACATTTTCCCCCTGATTCAGTCTTTTACAGTTCTACTTTTTCTTCCTATCCCTCTCCTCCTATCCCAGGTCTATAGAATGGCAGGGAACTTTTGTTCAGAGCTCCTTGGCAGTGAGACAATTTCCCTTGCCTCCACTTCATGTCACCTGACCCTTGCCTAATGCCATTCCAAAGGGCAAAATGGAACAGTGGGGACGTAGCACCTCTTTAAATTTTGGCCCCTTGCTGATCTTATAATACATCACAGTAAAAGTGAAACTGGCTCTATTGTCACATAGAACTCATGTTTATGGTTTCTTTTGAATAAACATAGAAATTGACCCTCCTAGTCTTAAAACTTGAGAAATTTACCTTTGACTTCTCTGGGTTCCTTTCTTAGGAAACCAACCATAAGCCCTGCCAAGTAATATCAAGGAGCTGAAACTCACCAGATCACAGCATCTGGACAATGAGACATCAGACTGCTCACCCGTCATGACTGCCTAACTAACCACCTGTTGCCTGTTTACCAACTCTCCTTCATTTACCTCCCTAATTCCTGTTTTCCCACACATAGTTACATTTCTTCCCTGTTATATATGCCCCTAATTTTAGTTGGGTGAGGATACAGATTTGAGACTAATCTCCCATTCTCTTTGGCTGCAGCACCCAAATAAAGCCTTCTTCTCTGGCAATACTCAGTGTCTCAGTGATTGGCTTTCTATGCAGCAAGTGGGAGGACCTAGACCGAACACCAGGCATTTTAGTAAGAAGTACCCAAAGGCTTGATGACTCCTTCATTTGGACTCATGTCCTAATTGACCTCCTAAACACCTGGCAGGTTTGACACACTGCTTTAGCTGAATTCACAATTTTCATGTTTTGTGTTTTTATTATCATTTAGTTCAAAACATATTCTAATCTCCCTGATTTTTAGGTCTTACTTTTTTTAAAGGAAAAATGATAATCTTTGCTTTTCTGCTTTAAATATTTAGCCCAATTGATATTACTGAATTTTAGTATATTTGTTTTCTGATGTCCACCAAATTTTAATTGTCTTTTACCTCTTCTTCTGCATTAGATTTAGTATTAATAGTATTTCATTACTTCTGTACTACTAGAGATAAAATATTTGTCTCATATATTAGAGCTTGCTCTAAGATTTACAAAGCATGGTTAAATTATCACTCTCTATCTTTAGAGACTTCTATAAACTTAACAGACAATGCAAGGACCTTACAACAGTAAGTTTCCATTTTCTTTGTCCATCTTTTATGCTACTTTCTCCACAAATTTTATTTTTATATATTTTATGAGTCCAATGATGTAATACATTTTGCTTCAAGTAGTCAAGTCTTTCATATGAAAGTCTTTAAAGGAGAAAACAAAACATATATTTAACATTTTTTGCACTCTTCTTTCCACTGCATAGATTCAAAGTTCTAACTGAGATACTTTTCCTTCATCATCATGAAGAACTCCCTTTAACATTTCTTGTAACATTCACACTGCTTTTGACAATTCTTTCAGGTTTATTTATCAGAAGAAGTCTTTATTTCAACCTTTCTTTTTTTTTTTTTTTCTTTTGAGATGGAATCTCGCTCTGTCACCCAGGCTGGAATACAGTGGCACAATCTTGGCTTACTGCAACCTCCGCCTTCCAGGTTCAAATGATTCTCCTGCCTCAGCCTCCCATGTAGTTGGAACTACAGGCATGCACCACCGTGCCTGGCTAATTTTTTGTATTTTTAGTAGAGATGGGATTTCACTGTGTTAGCCAGGATGGTCTTGATCTCCTGGCCTCATGATCCGCCTGCCTTGGTCTCCCAAAGTGCTGGGATTACAGCCATGAGCCACTGCACCTGGCCTCAACCTTTCTTTGAAAGATATTTTCACTGAGTATAATAAAATTTCATGTTAACTGTTAATTTTTCCCTTATCTTTTCCCCTTCTTTGCTCTTCTTTCTCCTTCTTCTCTTTTCAGCATTTAAAAAATGCAACTCCATTATGTCCTTTCTTTCTCTCTCTTTCCTTCCTTCCTTCTGTTTCTCTTTCTTCTTTCTTTCCTTTCTCTCTTTCTCTCTCTCTTCCTTCCTTCCCCCCTCCCTCCTTCCCTTCCTTCCTTTTTTCTTCCTTTCATCTTTCTTTTTCTTTTTCTTTCTCTCTCTTTTCTTTCTTTCTCTCTTCTTTATTTCTTTTCTTCTCTCTCTGTCTCTCTTTTCCTTCCTTCTTCTTTTTGTATTTTTTTAACTGACAAGGCATCTGTAGAATATCTTAAACTCATTTCCTTATATGCAAAGTGTGTTTTTCTCTCTGGCTGCTTTTTAAGACTTTTTCTTCATCACCAATTTGTAAAATTCTAATTACTATATGCCTTTATGTGATTTTATTTGGGGTTATACTATTTAGTATTTGTTGAATTTCTTGGGTCTCTGACTTTATAATTTTCATCAAATCTGGAAAAATTCTGCCCATTATTTCTTCAGATTTTCTTCCTAATCCCCCTTCCTTAGCTGGGATGACAGTTAACACATTAGACTGATTTTTACTCTCATACAGATTATAATGGCAAAATTACTTTATTTAAGTGTTTTTTCTTTCTGTGATTCAAGTCGAAGAATACTTTCAATTTTCTGTATTTAGTTCAGTCACTTTCATCTACATTGACTGATATTCTATTAATTCCAGAGAATTTTTTTTTTCAAAAGTTCAGATAATTTTGTTTCATCTCGAGGACTTCCATTTGGTTCTGTCTGAAGCCTCACTAGGATTATGCTTAATTTTTATCCATGAGCATATTTATAAGAGCTGCTTTAAAACCTTTGTCTGCTAATGCCATCTTCTCTTCCATTTTCACATATTTGGTCATATTTTTATGCTTTGTTTTGCATCTAATAACTTTATTGCTAAATATTAAAAAATTGCCGTATTTTTTGTCTTCCTTTCAAGAGTGTTAAAGTTTATCTGGTAAGATCATTTAGTGACATGTAGATCAAATGGATTCTGTTGAAACTTGGTTAGACTATTTTTTCATCAGGCAGGTCGAGAGACTCTTTACTATGGGGCAAGTTTAGCCAAGTAATAAATGACAAACCTTTTGTAGTCTTTAGCAAATATCTTGGGTGTTGAAATGGTTGCTCCACTCTGGCTATCTGAATTCCAGTCTTTTAGATATTTTCACTGGGTTTGTTGTTTTCATCAAGAAGTTGAGCTGGAAACATACATTTGAGAATCCTTCTAACCTGGGTTTATAATCATGTAAACCAGTTTTAAATGTTTTTACTGTATCCCATTTGTGAAAACTGTTAGTATAAACATCTACTTTCTAATCATTAAAATGGGAATGATACCAACAATAGCTGAATTTTTTTTTTTAGCATTTACAATGTGTCAGTTTCTGTTCTAAGTGCTTTACATATATTTACTCATTCAATATTTACAGTGATTTTAAGAGTGTGTTAGTTTCTGGGGGCTACTGTAAAATTAGCACAAACTGGGTGGCTTATAAACAGGAGTTTATTCTCTCTTCATTCTGGAGGACAGAAGACCAAAATCAAGGTGTCGACAGGGGCACGCTCCCTCAGGATGCACTCGGGGAGAGCTCATCCCTTGCCTCTTCTAACTTTTGCTAGCTGTCAGCATTCTTTGACACATGACCCTATGACCACCTCACTCTAATCTCTGCCTCTGTGATCGCAATGCCTCCTCCTCTCTTCTTGTCTGTCTCAAATCTCTCTCAGCAATTCTCTTATAAGGACACTTCAGCATCTGGGTAAACCAGGATTTTATCTCAAGATTCTTAATTACATTAGCAAAGACCCTTTTTCCAAATAATGTAACATTCATAGGTTCCAGGAATTTGATATGGACATATATTTTTGGGGGTTCGTGGAGGCACCATTCAACCTGCCACAGTGAGTAAACTACTAGTGTTATTAGCCCTTCTTTTCCAAGATCATAGAGCCAGGATTCCAACCAGGCAGCCTGGTTTCAGCATCCCTGCACTTAAACTCTTCATGATGTTGGCTATGTTATAGACTCATTGTCAGGGTTAAAGCTCATTCTATAAAGCACCAAACATTGTGCCTGACACATAGTGGAGCCACAAAACTTGTAACTCTTATTGTTATGAATACATATTTTATTGGTCAAAGTTAGGATGACTATTTGATTACGGTGTGGTATTCAGTTTGCGCGGTGGAATTCCTAACCAAGTTCAGACTGATCAGTAAGCTGAAGTCCTTGCTTACTTCCGTGAATCCTTCAGTCAACACAACTTCCAATTAAAGATTTATTTCTCACAATTAAATTCAGATCCCTGTGCTGAGAGAAAAGAAATTTAAAGCCAGAGAAACAGGATAGCCTCCAGGATGGCATGAAAAGAATTCTAACTTAGGGCTTCCTTGCTTACTTTTTGGAGACACAGATGAGCTGGCACAATAAATATTTAATGTGACATGATGTTAGTTTATACCAATTAGGAGTTGCAGGGTCAGATAGCAAGGAGTGAGTGACTAGCTCTCCTCTAGACCAATGTGAGTTAAAATAGTTATGCCTTTAGCATCCTTATTTCATAGGGTTTAGAAACCTTGGGGAAAGAACATTTAAAGTAAACATTTACAGCTATTATCTTTGCAGCTCTACACTGAGCGTTCTCAAGCTATGCTACACACACACACACATACACACACACACAAATACACACATACACACACACACACACCCCTAAAGGACAGGCTGTCCCATATCTGGCTGCTTTTGGAAAATGTTTCCCCTTGGCTATGTCAGTGCTCTATGAGGTATTGCTCACTGTAGATATGCATTAGCTATTTATTTCTTGGCCTATTCAATTTGTTGGAATATGGAGGGACTTGAAAACTTTAGAAACTCTATCCATCTGTGCAATTTGTGTCTATTATTTTCCAAATTGTGGTACTTGCTACCTCAGTACCACAAACATCTGTAGGCTAGGGACCAGCAGCTCCCCTTTCAATGGAGTTAGTTCCCATCATATATCACTGAGACCGGCACTCTTACATATGCCATTGTTGGCAGCACTGCTGGCTATTGTACCTTTAACAATACTCTGTAATTGTTGGTGCCTCTCTCCTGGTACCAAACTCAACTGCAGTTCTGAGGACTAGATACCAACCCAACTATTTGCTACCTGGATCAGTTTTATCTGTTACTTAAGACTCTCCAATCTTTATCCATAACTTATAAATACTACTAACAATATTGGCTCTGTCTAATTCATAGAGCTGTTGGAAGGGTTATGAGAAAATAATTTACTTTATAAACTTTAAAGCTCTGTGTAGTGAATTATTATGTTATTTGCTTGAGAAAGACATTGAATTAATGAAATTCCTTTGTTCTGACAAGTTTTCCTTGCAAACAAACAAATAAACCAAAAGAAACAAAAAAATAGAAACAATAAAAACCAGAAAACAAAAAAATCAGTATACTCCAAAAAAATAGAAAATGCCACAAAAATAATCTAATCACCCAACAAAACTGCATGAAGGAATGTCTCTTTTCCTGGTCTTTCTATCCTTATGTTTATAATTCCTTTCACAGATGAGCACATTTTACTCTTTACTTTCTAATTATTTACCTTTCCTAGGGATTCTTACTTTATTAAACTTCCATATTCTCTGAAAAAGATGGCCTTTGGCCTACATTCGGACTGAAATATAAGAATAGCTTTTGATGGTAATGGAGAGGACAAAGTTTGTTGGTTTAACTCAGGGATTGACAAAATAATCCATGTGCTAAAAGTGTTTTTACATATTTTTAAATAGTTGAAAAAAATCTAAGGAATAATAACATTTTGTGATGCTTGAATATTATATGAAATTTGAATTTCGGTGCCAATAAATGAAGGTCTGTTGTAACACACCCACACACTTTCATTTGCCCTTGTCTATGGCTGCCTTCAGGCCACATGGCAAAGTTAGCAGTTGTGAGAGATACTCTATGTCCTTCAAAGCTGAAAATATTTTTTACTTTCTGGGCCTTCATAGACAAAATTTGGACAAACTAATTTCTTTTCTCCCTTCAGCCCACATATTGATCATTTATTTAGTTCTAAGCTGGTAATAGTGAGTTGAGTAAGACACGGATGCTGTCCTCAAGAAGCTCATATCCATTAGCAGGAAAAGACAAGAAATCAGAACCTTTAAAAGATTCCACCCAGGCTGTGAAGAGGTAGAGGCAGAAAGGAGTTTGTGTGGCCACATTCCCAGCTCAGGCAAATCAAGGTCGACCCAGTGGCCACTGGGGCAGCCTGTCTACCTGCCTGTGCACCTATACCTTCCTCTGTCCTGCTTTTTCCCAGCGCACCTTCCTCTAGACACTAGGTTTGGCTCCATTATCAAGGCCAATGACTTCTAGAACTACCTTTTGTGCGTCAGGGACAATGTATGAAAGAAACATCTGGGGAAGGCCACCCCACTTTCTTACAGATGGGAGCTCCCTCCTTCTGAATTTGGAGGCAACTTCCTGGAGCCGCCTCCCATCTGTGGAGTTCTTGCAGAAGCTTGTTTTGAAAGTGGCTGTTGGAGATACCACACCAGGCGGCCCTGTGACCAGAAGCGCTCCTCGTGTGCACCTGTATTTGTGGTCCTAGAGGAGACCACCTCAGGGGTATCTTCTGCCTCTTCCTCAGAAGCTTTTCTATCAGCTTGTCCCATGAGTTTTCCATCCTCAGTCCTTGTGCCCCAGGGGAGTCAATTGTCAGCTGCTTCCCTGCTACTCTACATGAAGATGCCACGGAACTTAGACACAGGGCTGGGATTAGGATAAGGGAGGTGATGCTCTTGTCTCAGACACAACATGGGAGGCACCAAAAACTCAATAATCAACATAAGTAAGATTTGAATGCAAAATTTAAAAAATCAAAATCAGTGCAAATATCCATAATGAATAGAAGGTGGGATCAATAACAGTGCTGGGCAAAGCTATGTTTGAGTTTGAGGCAAAAGTTGAGATGCAGAAAAAGGAAGAGTTAAGTTCTGGCTGAAAGCTTTCTTCTTTAAATTATTAATTCTGGGGAAATACACAGATGGAGAAGTCATTCTTGAAGCTGTGACCGTGTGGAATTTCGGAAAGAGCACTCAAATTTGAATGAGATAACGGTTCATAGTTTTGGCCCTCTCATGCCTTACCATGTGACTTTAGAAGTCACAACCATTCCCAGGGCCTCAGTTTCCCCATTGCAAATGAAAGAGGATGGGTGAAATGATTTAGATTTACTTTAGCTATGGGATGTTTTGTGTGCACATCTTTCTATAATGTACCAGCATGCAAGACTCATGTGGGTCCTCCTCCTGGATCCAGCCAAGGTGTGATGATGGATATTGCACAACCTTCTCCAAAACAGCACTCTTGTTTGTGGAGTCTGGAAACTGCCTGGAAGTCATTTCAGTGACTTCGACATGAGCTCACCACTTCCAGACAAGCAGTTTCTGTAAGCATGTAGTCTGCATTGACTGTGAGGTGCTGATAGAGGGATTGGCCATTGAGCAGCTGAAAGGTTGACTGAAGTTTCCCAATGGGGATCATCACTCCACTAAAATATTAAAGTCATTGTGTACAAAATACTTGCAACATCCTGTTACAGTCCGAAATTCACGCCCTACACCCAACTGGCCAGCCTTAGCCCATTGAAAGAAGTGAATTTAAAGACAGATTTTGGATTTTATGACTGGCATATGTTGAAACAGGATACAGTAGCCTCCAGTGAGCATTCTAGGGGCTTACTCTGAAGTTTTAATCACAGATAAAAATACTCAATGGGGCAAATACAGACAAATGATACCTTTTTTTTTTTTTTACCTAAGAACATTGAATTTACTTTATGAAAATTATGTTTTCAGATCTACCTTCCTCTTCTGAATTCAAGTTTCTCAAGAGCAAAAAAATGAATGTAATTTCTGTAATCTAGTTGCTTATCACAATGCCTGGTATGAAATTATATATATATTATCTGAGATGCATTTAAACTCATGTAATCACAGAGGAAGGACCTTGGAAACCAAATGGTTTATGCAATATCTATATTATAAACCAGGAACCAGAAGCTGAGTTTTCAAAGCAATTTAGTGGAAGAAATGAAGCTTGAGAACAACATATTTAGCTTTTTACTTCTAAGTCCTGAGGGGAGTAAACAGACAATAAAAATCACCTGGCCCTAGAAGGAAAATTTCCTTCATCTGGAGACTGTATTGAAGATGGGTATACCTTTTGAAATATTCAGAAATATACAGGCTGGGAATACTTCGCTTTTAAATTGAATATGCATGATTTTCTAGAAAAACAAATAAACCCACAAGTTTAGACAGACAAATAAGCAAGGGAGAGTCCCAATACACTCCTATGCATCAGTGTGACCTTAGGCAAGTGATCAAACCTCCCTGGGTCTGCTACTTATTCAACAAAATGGGAATCATCATCCTCAGTAATTTATAATTCTGAGATTGCACATTTATAAAATTTAGTATGAAGTGGCTCTAAGGGTCAGCAAGTAATATGGTTCATTTTGAAATATGAATCCTTAGGAGGGAGAAAATGAGCAATGTGTCAAAATGCTTAATGTTTTCTCATTCTAAAGGCTTCTGACCTCTTGAAGCTGTCTTCCAGGCCCAACAGGAGGAGGGAGTGAGAGGCCATAGGAGTTTGAGGCTGCTGCATTAGCCGCACAGCGTTGGGGGCGGGTGGAGCAGGCAGCATACTTTTCTGCCTTTGTCTTCTAATCTTCCAATCTCTCCATTCTGGTTTAGGCAATTCATAATTTTAGTTTTACCTTATCTTTCCTCTCCTTTCGGGCGGATAGCTTCAACTTTGGAATAGTAAATGGCAAACTTTGCTTTTAGATCTTGCTTCCAAACTCAGATCTGTCACTTCCTGTGTAACCCTGGGAAGATCACCTACATTATTTGAACCTTGGTTTTGTTATTCATAAACTGGAGAAATTCCGTACTTTAGTATAGATTAATGATTTAATTTTGCATTAAAGTGTCTAACCCATAGTGGATGATTAATGAATACTAACTGTTAAAAGCATTCCTCCTTCCTACTAAAAGAGTTTTCAGTTTAGGATTATCACTCGGGTTTGGGTTTGTTTACTTGAAAATGGCTTTTTGTCTCTCCCATTCTTAAGTATGTACGTTTATTCAACTCAATCCTTATTTTTCTTGACTTTCAGCCTGTATAATTATTGGTTAATTTCAAAGGAGTTACTTTGCTGGATACATCCTTGAATGAGAGGTATGCAGAAGATTTGGCTGATGCCAACCTTTTTCTACCTGTTGCTTATAATTAGGGATCTATTAGGGATGCTTTCTTGGAAGGCAACGTTGCATGGGTGTGTTTTATCTTGTATGTAATAGAAAAATAGCTGCAAAAAAATCAAATGGTGGATTTACAAGATGTAGGAAACAGTAGCAACTATGATTAATCTTTGAAAAAGTATCAGAAAAGCTTTGAAATAGCTGCAGGGAAAAGGAAACTACAAAATGTTGCATTGTGGCTTTGTAAAAGAACCAATTAGCATACCTTGAAACGAAAACTATAAGAAGGATAATTTTAAAATCGAACACAGATTTGAAATAGTGAGAAGTGAATTTAAAGATAGATCAGAAGTTTTCCAGAATGAAGCATATAAAGATAAAAAATGCAAAATATGGAGGAGAGAAAAGAAATATAGAGATGGTTTAAGGTTTGTTCAGAATTCGAGAAAAAGAGAATAGAAGGAAGAGACACTATTTGAAGAAAAATTGAGCATTTTCCCAAAGCAAGAGGAAACACGACCTGCAGATTTCAGAAGCCAGGAATATTTTACACAGTTAAACAAATAAAAAGATGCAATGTAGTGAAACAGCAAACATAAAGCCAGAAAAATATACTGAATCAGTGAGATAAAAGACAGGTTGTCCTGAAAGCATAAGAGAAAAAAAATTATGTCATTAGAGAGGACAATACCTTGTGAAAATATATTTTAAGAATAAAAATGAGAAAATATACATTTTTAGAAAAACAAATATTGAAAAAGTTTACAACCAGGTTTTCAATAATAAAAATTCCCAAGGATTTTATTTATTTATTTATTTATCTCTTAATTTTTTTGAGATGGAGACTCACTCTGTCACCCAGGCTGGAGTGCAGTGGCATGATCTGCTCACTGCAACCTCCGCCTCCCAGGTTCAAGTGATTCTCTTGCCTCAGCCTCCCGAGAAGCTGGCATTACAGGTGCCCACCACCAGGTCCAGCTAATTTTAGTATTTTTAGTAGAGACAGGGTTTCCCCATGTTGGCCAGGCTGTTCTCGAACTTGGAACCTCACTCACCTCAGCCTCCCAAAGTGCTGGGATTACACGTGTGAGCTACCTCACCTGGCCCCAAGGATTTATTTTAAACAACTTGTTACTAAATGAAAGATTCGAGATGCAGGAAGGAAGGAAGAAAGATCAAAGAGAGTCGTGAATGACTGGGTAAAAGTAAGGGAAGACGGATGCATAGAACACTAGTAGTGTAACACGAGGGAACATATCTGAGTCACTTGGATATGTAGCACCCAAGTATCTTAGTGACAGGGCATATGTATGGATCTGCAGCAGCCTTAATTCTTGCTTTCTCAGAAGAAAGTATTTGACTGAGGGGCATAAGGCAGAGGGAGAAAGGGAGGCAAGTTTTAGAGCAGGAGTGAAAGTTTATTAAAAAGCTTTAGAGGCTGGGCGTGGTGGCTCACACCTGTAATCCCAGCACTTTGGGAGGCCGAGGCGGGTGGATCACGAGGTCAGGAGATCGAGACCATCCTGGCTAACACAGTGAAACCCAGACTCTACTAAAAATACAAAAAATTAGCCGGGCGTGGTAGCAGGCGCCTGTAGTCCCAGCTAGTTGGGAGGCTGAGGCAGGAGAATGGCATGAACCCGGGAGGTGGAGCTTGCAGTGAGCTGAGATCGCACCACTGCACTCCAGCCTGGGCGACAGAGCGAGACTCCGTCTCAAAAAAAAAAAAAAAAAGCTTTACAGCAGGAAGTAAAGGCAGTAAAGTACAGTTGGAAGAGGGGCCAAGTGGGCAACTTGAGAGATTCAAGTATGGGTTTTGACCTTTGACTTGGGGTTTTATAGGTTAGCACGTTTCTGGGGCTTTGCATCTCTTGTCCCCAATTCTCCCCTTGAGGTGGGCTGTCTGCATGCCCAGTGGCCTGCCAACACTTGGGTAGGGCTGCATGCACACAGTGTTGAATGAAGCTGTGCACATGCTCACTTCTGGTTGGTGGTTTTTTCCCCTTACTAGTCATGTTTATATACCAGTTAAACTCTGCCATTTTGCCTCTTAGTGCGCATGCTTGAGCCCACTGGCTCAGCTCCTCAGATTTTATTGGGAAGCTGCTGATCACCAGTTTCAGGTGCTTTCTATTTACTGGGAGACGGTTTTTCCCTGGTGCTGGCTGCTACCAATTATTATTTTAGAGCAGCAGTTTAACAACTGCCTGACCATCGTCTGATGGCCGCCTGACATCCCTGGTTTGCAGGGGGTGGGTCTCTCTCCTGCCCTGTTCATATCTACCTGACTACCTATTATAACAATAGTATGTGTAATTAGTTATTATTTTTTTAAAGTAGCATTAAAATACAAAGTGTATAATCATTTATAAGTTTTCAGGGAAATAAATGTAGTTACACAGTTTTAAGGAACTTGCATTATCTAGGTATTAATTATTTCTAGATGAAGCTAAGTGGAGTTGATATGCCTGCTGTAAGTTCAAAGGAAATTCCACTAAGAATGGAAACAGTGTAAAACTGTGTCTTAGAGAGCTTCCTTTTGCCACCAACTTTTCCAGGTCCACTCTTCCCTCATCTGCACCCGGCTTGGTGCCTCGAGAGAGTGATCTTTGTGGACTGCATCAAGGGGCACCCTTGCCCTCTGGCCTCTGACTGGATTCAGCCAAAGGGGAGCGCCAGCAGGAGAGTAGAGGGAGGGAGGAGAATGAGGAGGTGGAGGCTGGACATGAGAGGCTGCCTCCCTGTGTGGTTGGAATGGACGGGCTGCTTCTCTGAGTGAAGGTTTCAGCTCCTGCCAGGCAGCCCTCTCTACTCAGCCTTCTCTGTCTGCAATTCTAGTAATTGTTCTTTTCTCTCATCCCTTCAGGCTGGGGGGTTGAAACTGGGCCCCCCTCTTCCCAGTTTTTTGGTTTCCCTTAATTCTGTCCACTGCTTTTTAAATAGCCCCTCGATTGAAGTCACATCACATTAAGCCATTTTGAGTTACGTCAACTGTTAATTGTTCAGAAATACAAACTTTATAGTAGAGGAAAAATACGTTAACAAGAAAGATCCAAAAATAGGCAAGAAGCAAAAGAAAAGAAAAACATAGGCCAAGTTTGAATAAAGAGAAATTTTTAAATTTTGAAGGTTAAGAAAAATTTTAAAATTACAATATAATAAATTTGAATCCATATAAATGAACACTCTAGTTAAAAGAGAAAGATTATCACAATAAATTTGCTTTAAAATGTTTCATAGACACGTACAAAAGGTATAGAGAAAAGTTGCATGTGAAAGAACAGGAAAATATGACACGTCCTATTCAGTGATGAAGAGGAAGCTAGTGTATCTATATTACAGATATAGAATCTTTTGATCTATAGACAGATCAAAAGATTTTTTTTTTTTTTTTTTTTTTTGAGACGGAGTCTCCCTCTGTCGCCCAGGCTGGAGTGCAGTGGCGGGATCTCGGCTCACTGCAAGCTCCGCCTCCCGGGTTCACGCCATTCTCCTGCCTCAGCCTCCCAAGTAGCTGGGACTACAGGCGCCCGCCACTACGCCCGGCTAATGTTTTGTATTTTTAGTAGAGACGGGGTTTCACCGTTTTAGCCGGGATGGTCTTGATCTCCTGACCTCGTGATCCGCCCGCCTCGGCCTCCCAAAGTGCTGGGATTACAGGCGTGAGCCACTGCGCCCGGCCAGATCAAAAGATTTTAAGGCAGTAAGAAGCCTTACTAATTGTAATAAAGGTTACTTAATGACAAAATAGGCTGAGCGCAGTGGCTCATGACTGTAATCCCAGCACTTTGGGAGGCTGAGGCGGGCCTATCGCCCGAGGTCAGGAGTTTGAGACCAGCCTGGCCAATATGGTGAAACCACATCTCTGCTAAAAATACAAAAATTAGCCGGGCATGGTGGCAAGCGCCTGTAGTCCCAGGTACTTGGGAGGGCAAGGCAGGAGAATCGCTTGAACCTGGGATGTGGAGATTGCAGTGAGCCAAAATCGCACCATGGCACTCCAGCCTGGGCGACACAGCCAGACTTCTTCTCAAAAATAATAATAATAATGACAAAATATTAAAAGTTAGAAACCTATGTTTAATTCATATTACTAAATATTACTAAATTGTCACTTCAAAATATATAAAACAATATACACATAACTTCATGTAAAATAGATAAATCAATGTCAATAGATAATCAATAAGCATATGATTAGAAATTTTAACACTTCCTTTTTGGTAACTGATAGAAAAAGCGGGGTAAAATCAGTAATGATATAACATATTTATATAATATTTGATTAATATGAAGGAAAGAGTTATTGTCATGATTTCTTAATGCACAAATGCCAAACACCATATTTAATAATTATTAAGTGTTCTTTTAAATCACACATATACTAGGCAATAAAATAAGCCTCAGCAAATTTTGGTATTAAATCATGCAAAGTATCTTCTCTTTTCATAACAAATTTGGAAATTGAGATTTAGATAACACTGAGTCAAAGGAAGATTATAAGACATGTTCAAGAATATTTTTAATTAAGCAAAAATAGTACACAACATAAAAATAAGAAAATGTGAGAATGTAGCTAAATCTGTACTTAGAGGGAAATTTATCTCCTTAAATATGTATATTGGAAAAGAAGAAGTGCTAAAACTTAGTGAGTTAAACATAAATACCAAGAATTTAGAAAATAATAAATGTTGGTGAGGCTGTGGAGAAACTGGAATCTTTATATGCCACTGGTATGAATGTAAAATGGTATAGTCACTTTGGAAAACAGTTTTACGGTTCCTTAAATGGTTAAACATGGAGTTATTATGTGATCTAGCAATTCCACTGCTAGGTATTTTCTCAAGAAAAATAAAAACATATGCCCATAGCAAGACTTACACGTGAGCATTCATAGCAACTTTATTTGTACTAGCAAAAAACTGGAAACAATACAAATGCCCATTAATGGGTGAATGGATAAATACAATGTGGATATTGATACAATGGAATTGTATTTAGAAATGAAAAGAAATAAATTAGTGACACGTGCTACAGCATGAATAAACCTTGAAAACATTTTGTTAAGGGAAAGAAGCCAGTCACAAAAGACCACATATTGTATGATTCCATTTATGTGAAACATACAGATTAGGTAAATCTACAAAGACAGAAAGCAGATTAGTAGTTGCCTAGGGGTGTGGGGAGGGGGAATGGGAGGTGACAGCATATGGTGCAGCATTTCTCTGAAAGTAATTAAAATGTTCTAAAATTACTGTGCCGATAGATGCACAACTCTGTGAATATACTACCAGCCACTGCATTGAACATTTCAAATGGATAAATTATATGATGTATAAATTTTATCTCAAAAAAGCTGTTAAAAGAAATAATTTAAAGAACCACAAAATAAATCTAAAGATAGTAGAAGGGAGGAATAATAAATAAACGTGCAGAAATTAAGGCAATGGAAAGCAAGCATACCCTAGCAATCCTTCTTAACCTGAGCTCCACAAGGCAATGAAGCCTGAATGTCCTATGGCAAAGGTCAGCAAACTTTTATACATATATATAAAAGTTTGATCACAACATATATATGATATGTTATATGATCACACATATATATGTGTGTGTGTGTGTGTGTATATATATATGTGTATATATATATATATATGTGTGTATATATATATATATATATGTGTATATATATATACTTTAAGTTCTGGGATATATGGGCAGAACGTGCAGGTTTGTTACATAGGTATACACATGCCATGGTGGTTTGCTGCACCCATCAACCCGTCATCTACATTAGGTATTTCTCCTAATGCTATCCCTCCCCTGGGTCCATGTGTTCTCATTGTTCAACTCCCACTTAGGAGTGAGAACATGCGGTGTATGGTTTTCTGTTCCCGTGTTAGTTTGCTGAGAATGATGGTTTCCAGCTTCATCCATGTCCATGCAAAGGACGTGAACTCATCCTTTTTTACAGCTGAGTAGTATTCCATGGTATATATGTGTCACATTTTCTTTATCCAGTCTATCACTGATGAGCATTTGGGTTGTTTCCAAGTCTTTGCTATTGTGAACAGTGCGGCAATAAACATACGTGTGCATGTATCTTTATAGTAGAATGATTTATAATCCTTTGGGTATATACCCAGTAATGGGATTGCTGAGTCAAATAGTATTTCTGGTTCTAGATCCTTGAGGAATCGCCACACTGTTTTCCACAATGGTTGAACTAATTTACACTCCCACCAACAGTGCAAAAGTGTTCCTATTTCTCTACATCCTCTCCAGCATCTGTTGTTTCCTGACTTTTTAATCATCGCCATTCTAACTGGCATGAGATGGTATTTCATTGGGGTTTTGATTTGCATTTCTCTAATGACCAGTGATGATGAGCTTTTTTTCATATGTTTGTTGGCCACATAAATGTCTTCTTTTGAGAAATGTCTATTCATATCCTTCGCCCACTTTTTGATGAGGTTGTTTTTTTTTCTTGTAAATGTGTTTAAGTTCCTTGTAGATTCTGAATATTAGCCCTTTGTCAGATGGATACATTGCAAAATTTTTCTCCCATTCTGTAGGTTGCCTGTTCACTCTGATGATAGTTTCTTTTGCTGTGCAGAAGCTCTTTAGTTTAATTAGATCCCATTTGTCAATTTTGGCTTTTGTTGCCATTGCTTTTGGTGTTTTAGTCATGAAGTCTTTGCCCAAGCCTATGTCCTGAATGGTATTGCCTAGGTTTTCTTCTAGGCGAAAACCTACCAAACTTTTATTGTAAAGGGCCAGACAGTAAGTATTTTAGGCTTTCAGGCCATAAGGCCTTTGGTCTCTGTTACAACCATGCAACTCTGCTCTTGCAGTGTGAAAATGCTGTGGAAACCATACAGGCAGTGTGTAAATAAATGATCATGGCTGTGTTTCAATAAACCTTTATTTTTTCCCTAATTTTTAAGCTGCTGTATTTGAAACCATGTGTTAGCCAAACAAAATACAACCCAGGCCCCTGTTTGCAACCTCTGACTTTTGCTGGATTTTATATTAGGGAACCTTGCATTTGAGTGTGGAATCTTATGTTTCCAATAAATCTTTATTTACAAAACAGATGATGAGCCAGATGTCCAAGCCAGGGGCCTTTGTGTGCTGACCTCTGTCCTAAGGCATCTGCTGTATGTGATGAGTTAACTTTTTTTCCCTGTACGTCTGGAGTGCTAAAAGCTCTGTACCATCCTTGGGAGAACTGAGAAAAGGGCCACTCACATCATGCTCTGTAGGAGTTAATTCTCTCATGGATTTCAAATTGAGAAAGGTTGTGCCGATAACCTTTGTTATTCGAAAACAAAACTAAACAAAAATATTAAAGTTTAAAATATTCTCAGAGGCTGATTTAGAAAAAAGGAAGTACAAATTACCAAAGTTGTAAATAAACAAAGAACGTTACTACAGAGCCTGTAGACACTGAAAAGTTAATAAGATGGTACTCCAAACAACTTTATGCCAATGCATTTAAATATTTCTTTTTAATATTGAAGTGTATGTGGGGTGAGGGACTTGCCAAAAGTGTGCACGAAAAATAGAAAAACCTAAATAGGTTTATATCATTAAACAAATTAAATTAATGGTTAAAAACCCCCAAAAGAAAAGTCGAACCTCAGTTGGCTTTACATTCAAGTAACATGGAAATCAAATGTAAACTTCTAGGGAACAGAAAAAGAAGAATCACTCCTTAGTTAATTTTATCAGGAAAGCATAACCATAATACACAACCTAATGAGAACATTAGAAGAAAGTAAATTTACTGCAAACCTCACTCATGAGATGAAAAATTGTTAACAAATCAGCAAGCTGAATTTGACGTCAAATAAATTTAAAAAGATGCGAATTATGATCACATTGGGTTTAACACAGGAATGCAAAGTGTTTTGAAAGGTAGCAAGTCAGTAATCTAATTTACTATATTAATAAATAATGAAGAACTATATAATCATCTTGAGGCAGTAAAATGTATTAGATAAAATTTAATATTTATTCAAGATTTATAAAAAAAAATCTTCTCGCTGGGCACGGTGGCTCACTCCTGTAATCCCAGCACTTTGGGAGGCTGAGGCGGGTGGATCACGAGGTCAGGAGATCAAGACCATCCTGGCTAACACGATGAAACACCGTCTCTACTAAATATACAAAAGATTAGCCAGGCGCGGTGGTGGGTGCCTGTAGTCCCAGCTGCTCGGGAGGCGGAGGCAGGAGAATGGAGTGAACCCAGGAGGCGGAGCTTGCAGTGAGCCGAGATGGCGCCACTGCACTCCAGCCTGGGCGACAGAGAGAGACTCCCTCTCTAAGTAAATAAATAAATAAATCTTCTAACAAATTAGGTGCAGAAGAGAAGTTCCTTAGCATGATGAAGAATATCACCTGCAAGTTACAAGAATGCTCATAGTGGCGATTTGTTTTTGTTGTTGGTTTTTTGTTTTTTATAACAGCCCCAAACAAGACACAGTCCAGTCAGACTGTGGTATATGCTTAAAATAAAATTCTATACAGTAATGAAAATGATTATCTTACAACTCTACAAAATGAAATGTGTGAAAATTACCAAATAAATGCTGAATAAACCAAGCAGTTTACAAAAGCATACATATAATATAATTCCATTTAAATGAGGTATAAAACCGGAGGAAACTACAAAGCCATACCATTTAGCCATGTCCACATAAGTGGTAAATCTCTAAAGAGACACAAGCAAAGGGTTTCCATAAACTAGGACCATGATTATGTCCTGAAGGAGGACCGGAAGAGACCCATAGCGTAAAGTGTTTTGGCAATGTTTATTTCTTGGCTTGGGTGGTGGTTACATTGTCTTTGTTATGTTCTTTATTTAGTCTTTATGTGCTTTTTCTGTATAAATTACGTTTAAAATAATACAATTAAAAATCAGGCTGAAGGAACACCTAATGCAGAGAGCTGAAATGGTTATTTTGTATCCAGGAGGAAGCAAATGACCTGAAAGCTGACGTCAAGAACCTGTGGATGGCAGAGTGGAGGGATAAGTCATGTGTTCTTCTATAATACCATCAAGATGCTGGAACAATCCTTAGACTGCTACTTTTGGATTTCTGGGTAAGTGAAGAGGTATTTTTACGTAAAAAGAAAGGCCCTTAGGTCAGAGTCGCTCTTAGTTGGCTTTTCTGTTACTCATAAAGTCTTAATTGTTGCTGTTCGTGTGCTCTTCAGTTACATCCTGATTTTCAATGAACACGCTTGGAAAGTTGTGAAAAGCATAACTACGAACTATTGGCTAATACGGCTTAGGCTTAGGTACTCCCAATTAAGAGGAAACAGATTCTTGAAGAGGTGCAGTTCAAAAATCCAAACACTTTAGTAAGTTCAAAGCCAGATGGCGCTTCGCACATACCTCGACTGCAGTTGTAGCATGATTCTCTCCCCAGTCCTGTAGTCCTATGCTGTAAGTCAGGGTTCCTGTTTACTCTTGTATTCATTATCTGAAACCTATTTATTGAATGCATAGTAAGTTCTAGATATTGTTCCAGATATGCCTGATAAAAAGATTGTAAACTCTAGAGTTGTTCCTATCCACTGTGAATGATACATTTGTAAAAGTACAATATGTATATGCAATTACAAATATGACCAATGTCAAGACAAATGGCCCTATAAAGATGTAACATTTTAATGATGGCTCACTGTGTTCCCTCTGAAAGTTTTAGCTTCATTGTTAGTAGATATTATCATTATTCTCATTAGTCAGATGAAGCAAACCAAAACCTATTGAAGCCAAACACTTTGCAGGAGGTTAAAACAGCTAGAATCTGTGGAAGCTGGAGTTGAAACACACAGCAGTGAGCTTTGATAACGCCTAGTTGCTAAACCTAATCACACTAAGGCAATTCGGGACTTAGATAATTCCCTCCCCCTTCCCTTCTCTTCCCTTCCCTCCCCTCCTCTCCCCTCCCCTCTCCTCCCTTCCCCTTCCTTCCCTTCCCTTCCCTTTTTTTTCTTTCCTTCCTTCCTTCCTTCCTTCCTTCCTCCCTCCCTCCCTTCCTTCCTTGCATTTAGCATATAGCATATGTATACCAACTGAATGAATGAATTTTATACTCCGATTCGGTTAAAATCATTCCCTTAAGAATGGAAATGATTTGTAGACTAGTGTAAAATATTCAAGACTCGTGGCTTAAAGCTGTGTTTCATGCTTCTCCAAGGATGTACTCACCAATGGACAAATTCATGATAGAGTATATTAGTTCTAAAAAAAAATTTAGATTATGAGTTCTTTTTACTATTATACTTATGACTATATTTCAAGTCACCTTCTCCAGTGCTAACCTCAGTTGTAATTTATGTCTTTGCCATTGACAATGTGGCTGGACAAGCCAACATTAAAGTGCACATTTGGAAGCACAAAGCTGATTAGAGATGTACCGTACATGAAAGCCCATGACATATTTAAGTCTCTTGCCCTGTAAGAAGGTACAGTAGATGAAATGACTTTTACAGAGTATCACTAAACCAAATCACATCATTTTATAGTTTCTCGGTTTCCTCATTCAGGTTCCAAAAGAAATTAAGCACCAGTGTCCTAGGCATTAATTCAGGGGTCTAAATCAATTGGAGGGCTTGGTTACATACTTCTTGCCCCCCCGTTTCTGATTCAGGAAGTTTGTGGTGGAACCTAAGCATCTGCATTTTCATTAAGTTCCAGGTGATGTCATGCTGCTGGGTACTGGGCTATACCTCGAGAACCATCACTGTAAGGCACACATTGCATGGGAAGAATTAACTTCTATGCATTTGGTACTAAATTTATGTATAATACTTGGGAGAACTGGGAAAATAGTCACGCAAGTCATTTTCTGTGTGTTGTGGTTCAGGCAAGATATCCTGATTCTGAAAGGTTTCATGACTAGACAAGGACTTCCTTCTGTTCTCCGGATTTAGATATCCAACTATCTCTCCAGCATGGCTATTTGAGTTTATAAAAGACTTCTCAAAAACAATATGTGCAAATGTTCCAGTACATCTCATATATATTTTGTTCATTTGCTCAGGCCCCAAACCTTGAAGTTAAACTTAATTTTGTTCTTTCTCTCAACTCCATGTTAAATTGATGAGCACATCCTGTCAAATACCTGAATCTGCCTACTTCTCTTAATTGATCTCTCTGCTTTGACCCAGTAGTCTATTATATTCTGCTGTCCAAAATCCCCCATGGCTTTCATGCCATCTCACTCAGAAGAAAATGCCACATCTTGACTGTGACTCACAGGGGCTCCTCTCCTGGTTTGTCCCTCTCCAGCCTGCTGACTTGCTTTCTGTTCCTTGAACACCCCACCATGCTCCTGCCTTGGGAGTCTGTGTACTTCCTGGAATGCACTTCCCCTGCCTCTCATTCTAGCTCCCTCCCTCTGCATATCTCCCTAGCTTACTCCCTCACAGCCTTCACATCACTATGCCAATAACGTTTCCTGACCTGACTATATAAAACACCAAAGTCCTTGCATGTCTTTCCCTTACCCCTAACGCCACCTATTTTATTTTTTATTTTTATAAAGAAAGGGTCTTACTATGTTGTCAAGGTTGGTCTGGAACTCCTGGCCTCAAGTGACCCTCCTGCCTTGGCCTCCCAAAGTGCTGGGATTATAGGCACGAGCCACCATACAGCATTCTTTTTCAAACTCTGCTTTATTGTTTCTGCATATACCATCACCTGCCATACTATATTTTTATTTGCTTATTATTTGTCTCCTCCCACTAAAATAAACTTTTCCTAGGAGCAGATTTTTTTTTTCCTTTTAACAGCCTTATCTTTAACACCCAGTACTATTCCAGGCATGTAGTAGGTTCTTAATTAATATTTTTAAGTAGATGAATTTTAAAGATTGAAATACCAAAATTCACTGAAGAGAAGACACTAGCTCAAGGACATCACTGGAGTCAGGGCTGGGAAACAGGGGCAGAGGCCACCTTCTTAAAAGCCCAAGATGGCGGTTCTTTCTATTAAAGCCCACACCAGGTTTGGGGCTCCTCTGCCTCCAAGAAAGAAGTGTGACCTCTGCTTGAACTGAGAGAACTTGAGCTTAAAATAACTGTGAGTCACGGCCTTCCCTGAACCTTCTTCCTTCCTGCAAGGCCCGAGGTTGTTCCCATAGCCGTTCCCTGGAGGACATTAGCAATGTGGCATATATTTGAGGGTCCCTGGGAAGACAAGAGCTTGCATTCCTAAGAATGTGAGAGGAGCCCAACCCCAGCGCCTATCCCATGTGATTGGAGGAAGTGGCCTGGCTGATATTTCAAGAAGGAATGGGTCATGGGAGTCATGTCACTGCTCGGGTTTGTCTTCTGCTGACATTGGGACATTGCTGGCAAGAAGCAGGACTTGCATGATTCACACTGTCAGCTGAAGGTCTGAATCCTGCCAAATCACCATCTCCCATCCTAGTGTTGCTTGTCACCTCCAGTCATTTATGCATTCCTTCTTTAATGATTTATTTCACCCTCTCTATCTACGAAACACTATGCTAGATGAATGCTCCTAACAAACTATGAGCAATACTGACATAACACCTGACTTCAAAGGCTTTTAAAAAGATGGGAACAGTCCCACTGATAGGTGACATTTGGAATTTTCACTAATGATGTAGAATAAAAGGGAAGTAGAAGCTGAGGGAAGGACGAGAGGTCCCAGAGACTCCAATCTGACTCTCACACCTCTTGCTTTACAGTTGAGGAAATTGAAGCTCAGGGATTGTTCCTTTTTGTGTCCTTGAAGGGTGAGCTGATGATCAGTCCACAGTGCCTCTGTGCCCTGATGTAAGGATGTATTGTTTGCATAGTTCAACTCAAGAAATAGTGTTTCCTTTGCAGTTCTCAAATTCAATAATGCCTAATTTACAATAATTATCTGCTGCAGACCATCAATGAATGTGAGCATATATGGCAGACAAAAGTTGATGTTTGCAATTTTATAACAGGTATATTTATAGATATCTGTTATAAACAGTGCTATTTATAGACCCTCAGAAGGGCCTAACAATCAAGGCTGGGGGCGGGGCGGGATAGTTCTGCTGAATTTCCTAGTGGCCCCCAGCATCTCAGGATACAGACTATTTCTTCTTCCAATGTCCTGTCCATACATTCTCATGTGCACAGAGATGGAGAGGCTCAGTACAGAAAGCCCATTTCATCAGCGGGTAAGTGAGAGGAGTCCTCCAGTATACACTCATGTTCTCGCTTTCCTCTCTTCCCTACAAACCCTATATATACTGTGTGTCTTTTCTTAAAGAAGGCAATGTGTGAATAAGGAAATCTCAGCCTTCAAAAATGCCAACGGCTTCTGTGACATGCTTTGTTACAGAAGAGCAAAATCCTTCTTTATTTCTTTCCTTTCTTCTCTGAGTTTCTCCAGATGAGAGGTGGGGTCTCACTCCTCTCTGTCCCTCTATTGCCAGGTAGAGCAGATGTTACAGAGCTATTGCTCAATGCATTTGAACTGAACTGGCTCATTATTTACTTATATTGTGAACCCCTTGAAGATATTTGGAGGTTTATATCATTCATCTTCAAATCTCAACCATTTATGCTGTGGCCTGACATATAGCTCTCTCAAACAATACTAACTGAGAAGTCCAGCCTGGTTGGGGGTGAGGAACCAAACAGTAGAATGCTACCTGTGCCAAAAATATGTATGGTAGGTTGCAAAGGTTGGCCAAAAATTTCCTCCTCTTTGTATCCATGTCCTTTGCAAGGTGAGTTTGCAGCAGCGCCCTTAAAGCAGTGACACAATTTTCTATCCCTTGGGGTTGGTCTGCTCTTATGACTTTCTCCAGACAATAGAATGCAGCAATGTGATACTGTGATCTTTATGAGACTTTTAGGCATGCGAAGTTAGAGATTGTCATGCAAGCTGTTACAGCATTTATTAACATTACAGCAATGGATTGGCCACTAAGATGGGAAATAGGGCCTAATTGATGTGTTAAGTTAGTAGATTAGGAGGGTCACCTGGGACTTTGTGTTGTGAAGAATTCTGAGGCCACATCAGTGATGTTGGCCCTGGATGTATGAGGGTATGGAGAAGGAATGGTAGCATTATGCTACTCAATGTCCATCAGTGTCCTATTTCTGATAGCACTGAATTAAGCCCTGGGGCAATATAGGCATGGAGTACATGGTTCTCATCATCAAGGATATAGAAGCCCATGTTAAAGAAGCCCTTATTTGCACTAGAACAGGCAGTTGTATAAGAACTTTGCTCTCAGGAATTAGAATTCTCTGATAGATACTTAATGAATACATGCCATACAATCTTCATGTTAAACTTGTATTAAGTCATTTAAGCTGAGGTATCCTAACTGAGGAAATGTGTACCACTGAGGGTAGGTACTCAAACACCTTCTGAGGACGTGAGGGCAAGGATAGATTTCAGCTTATCAATGTTTAGACCCATGACACCCATAGGTGCTCTTTCCTAAAACTGACCTGCCTAGGAGGATACCTGGGGTCTACCTGTTCTCTTATCCCACACGCCTTTGATAATTGTCCTTCGACTGCAATCAAAATATGCCCATTCTGAATCTTTGCATGGTGCATTGGTCCAAAGTGTAAAAATATTCCAACAAAAGAATATTATAACATAAGTGGAACACGCATCTCTCTGAAGGAAGCATCCTTCTAGGACAAAGTAAAGATGGCATCCATAAAAAATACTAGGCTTATTGAATCCAGGTAACAGACTCCCAGCAAGGCCCGACAGCTTCCTCTCTCTTTCTCATCACTGTCTCTCTGTGTCTCTTTCTTTCTCTTTCTTTTTGTTAGAATAAGAATTCAGAAGTGT
Organism: Homo sapiens; assembly: GCF_000001405.40. Classification (NCBI taxonomy): domain Eukaryota; kingdom Metazoa; phylum Chordata; class Mammalia; order Primates; family Hominidae; genus Homo; species Homo sapiens. The sequence goes on from NC_000002.12 coordinate 12,887,598, forward strand.
ATTATGATAACAATGGATATCAATATATTTATTTTAATTTTTTAAATGGGGTCAAATTTCATTTTCAATTGGCTTTATGGTGGGCATCTTCCATATACTAAAATTAAATTACAGATATAAGAGTTTCATTAAAATAGGTTTATATGTACATAATCTATATTAACATAACTATGTACTTAAATAATATACACACAGAAGTATACCATTTACAACTATTTGTATTTGTGAAGAATATTTTAGATGCCAATTTAAAAAGCATGAAAATATATGTAGTCGGCAGCCTCCATGTACTCCCAAATGATGTTTGCCTCCTGGTATTTACACGTTTAGATAATTTCCTTACACAATGAATCAGAGCTGGTTGTGTGACCAAGAGTGTGTGATAGAGATGACAGTGTGTGACTTTTGAGGCCAGCTCATTAGAGACTTTGTGGCCTCCTCTTTGCTCTCTTGAGCCATTTGATAATATTAATACTAGCATCTAGCATTTTCAGAGCTCTTACACCATGCAGGAAATGTGCTAAGTTGCTCCCAGGGGAGTTTTGGAAGGTACAAGAGCATAGATCCAAATTATACCCGTACTGCATTTAAGGTAGGAAGAGACACATCAGGACAAATTAAAGGGTGAGCACCACAGGAAAAAGCAAACTCTGTGTCTGCAAAGCAGATTGAGAAGCCTCCTTGAAAGGGAAGAAGGGAGAAGACTAATTTGTTCCAATAACAACCAACATGAAAGTGAGGAAAGCCTGGCGACAGAGGACTAGTCCATTGTATCAGGGGCCCTGAATCTGTGATTGGTGAGAGAGAAGACCCCAAAATGTGCCACATCTTGATGACCCTCTCTCTGTATTTTGGGAGCTAACTGTCAGTGTCTCAGTTACAAATTACACACTGCATTTTCTAACATCTTGTCATCATAGGCTTGGATTTCTTTATGTCAATTGCAATTGTAAAAATTTGTTGAAAAGAATCCAGTTTGACAGAGTATGTGCAGAGGGAACCACTACTCTTTCTGTAAAGCCCCAGGCCCCTCACTCTCTTCAACTCAATGTTAGGCTACGATGTGGGCCCTGCATTCAAATAAAGTCTGAACCAAATTTTAGGTAGTAGAATGGGATACTAAGATTCACCCTAGAGAATCAATTAATTGTTAACAAAAGAAACATTGACACAAGTTACTCAGAAAGCTTTTGGTCGAGCATGGTGGCTCATCCCTGTAATCTCAGCACTTTGGGAGGCCGAGGCAGGTCCATCGCCTGAGGTCAGGAGTTTGAGACCAGCCTGGCCAACATGGTGAAACCCCGTCTCTACTAAAAATACAAAAAATTAGCCCGGTGTGGCAGTGCATGCCTGTAGTCCCAGCTACTCGCGAGGCTGAAGCAGGAGAATTGCTTGAACCTGGGAGGCGGAGATAGCAGCAAGCCGAGATTGCATCATTGCACTCCAGTCTGGGCAACAGAGTGAGACTCTGTCGGAAAAAAAAAAAAAAAAAAAGAATGCTTTTAAGTTCCTTTATTGAACAACCTAGTTCAGGACAAAGAATCAAAGAGGGTATTGGACTGGATGATGTCTTTGCATTTTTGTGCCATATGATGTGTTCATATCTTTGTAGAACACAAAACAAGCTATCAAAGGTAAAGTTACTGATTTTATTGCAATTTTTATTAACATTTCTAATTAAATTTGCTTTACCATTATCAGAAAATTTTCACACTAGACATATTTCTCTCATAATTTCATGAGTCAGAAAGCATCCCCCATTTTATGAATATGGAACCATGGCTCAGAGGCAGGGTCCATGGTAGCACAGGTTGTCTGTCCACTGCATAATTCCAGGTAATGACCGTCACATGCGAATGATTCATGTGCCCAAAGTTACCCAGATAACTAGTGGCAAGAACAACATTTGAACCCATCTTAATCTCTAATCAAAGCCTTTCTTTTTTTCCCTGAGGCAGATATTCTTCCGCTGTTTTTGTTTATTTCACAATGTAGACTTTTTTCTTTGAGACAGGGTCTCATTCTGTTGTCCAGGCTGGAGGGCAGTGGCATGACCATAGCTCACAGCAGCCATGAACTCTAGGGCTCAAGTGGTCCTCCTGCCTCAGCCTCCTGAGTAACTGGGGCTATAGGCACACACCACATTAATGGGCTAGGCTAATTTTTAAAAAATTTTTGTAGATACTGGTTCTTGCCTTGTTGCCCAGGCTGGTCTCAAACTCCTTAAATGATCCTTCCATTTCTACTGCCCAAAGTGCCGGGATTATAGGTATGAACCACCATGCTCAGCCCCATGATGCGGATTTTAATAAAAAAGGAGGTGAGATAGGATTCAAAGAGAAACAACAGGACTTTCAAAAAACTGAACTCTTCCTGAGCTTTTTGATAGAACAAAGGAGAGTTAATGAGAAGGTGAAAGTGAGGGAAGGGTTGTGTGGGGTGGAAAGGAGCTGCAGGGTTATTTGAGCTTGAATGGAGAATTTAATATTTACAAGTTTGGGGACCAAAGAAAGCTATTGGTGTTAGTGGGGAAGAATTTTTCTGAGACAGCTGCAAAAGCAGTTGAAGTCATTTGAGATTTGGAATCTCTTTGTCTAATGTTAGATTTTGCCTCGACATTTGTTTTAGGTCATCCCTGGTGAAAAAGGACCCCACACATGTGCAGCAAAGAATGAGAGCACAAAATACCACAGCCAGCGAGGTGACATCTGTGCCTGGCATTTAAAGGGGGTCAAGGAGGGGTTTCGGGTCCTTGCTGCCAATGCCATCAGGCACCTCCGGTTAGATGTGCCTTTTCTGCCAAGGCCAAGAGTCCCTTCCTTCTGCAGGTCCATGGAGGTTGGGGAGCCTGACCCTCAGGACCTTCAGGCTCCATATACCTACCTCAGTTGGTGGAGCTGCAAGTCTGGACTCATTGGTAACACATTTATAGCGGAAATGCAAGTTCAGTCTTGTAGAACATGTGGCAACCTTTTGTATGAATCGACACCGCTGACATTAGGAGGATTAAGTACGAAGACTTTTCACTTGCAGGAGGACGCTCGTCATTCTAGAGGTTCCTTGTTTTTTTCAAAGGATTTTTGTGTTTTTCTCCAGCCACTCCCCACCCTCAGGTCTCCTTACACATTTTGACATTTACAGTAAACAGGGATTAGCCTCAGCTAACCAAGGGTGGCTAGCAGATGGTTTTAATGAGCTGTGTCTTAAAGAGAAAAGATTTAAGACTGACATGAAGGCTATTTACATGGAGTGGAGTGGACTGCACATGGCCCAGCCTCAGACCTGATGCTACTGCCTCTACCACTCCCTGCTTCATGGCTTCTGCAAAAAAAAAAAATGGAAATAACTATAGCTTCCATTTATTGATCACTTACTATCTTCCACATACCTACATGGTTTCCTTATCCGCCATCTGCAGGAATCCATGTGATAGGTATGGTTATGTCTACTTCACAGAGGAAGAAACCAGGCTGAGAGTCATTCACTGATACCAATGATTGTGCTCCTAACCACTATTCTATACCATTTGCCAAAAATTATGGAATAAAAATCATGGTAAAAGATTCAGAAAGCAACACTCAGAAATTATATAAAGAAGTTTGATAATTTTAAGAGGACCCAAAGGCTCTGTGGTAATTGGACAACTGATAATCCACTTAATAGGGCCCAGGGAAGGGATGGACAGAGACCAGGCATTATCATCATTATCTGAGCTGACACTCATAGAACAAGTACTGAATTACATGCTTTGTATGTACAAATTCAATCTTTGACAACAATCTTACAGAGTAGATCCTATCATCACCCTGATTTTATGGTGAACTTGAAACCTGGAGAAGTTAAACATTGCTCAAGGTCATGATGCTAGTAAATGACTGATTCCATATCTAAATCTAGGATTCTGGACCAGAGACCATGTTTGTAACTATTATGCTGTATACAGAGAGAGGAAGGAGAGTGTTGACCTCAGGGCATGGAGTTTCTGTCTTGAGAACTCGCTGAGGGCTGTGCGAATGATTTACATGTAACTTATGTGCAACAAAGCATGTTTTCAAGAGTGCATAGGAGTTTTTTGCATGAAACAGAAGAATTCATTCAGAACCACTGTACAGATTCCAAAAGCACAGAATAGAATAAGGAGTTCAAGTTCTAGTGGTCATGATTCTGATGTATACCAACAGAGGAGGAGGATGGCTGTACCAAAAAGAGAATGGAATCCACAGTGGACTGAATGGTGGCCCCAAAGATATCAGGCCTTAAACCTTGGAACCTCTCAATGTTACCTTATATGTTACAGTTCTCCAGATGTGATTCAATGAAAGACTTTACAATAAAGAGATTATCATAGATTGTCAAGTGGGTCTTAAATACCATCACAAGTCACCTTATACAGAGAGAGGTAGAGGGAAAATAGACACACAGAGGGGAAGACTACATGAAGATGGAGGTAAAAATTGGAGTGATGCAGCTGCAAGCCAAGGAATGCTGGCAGCCACCAGAAAATGGAAGAGGTGAGGAACAGATAGGTGCTTTCCAGAGCGTTGGAGGGAGCTTGGACTTGCTGATATCTTGATTTCAGCCCATTATTACTAATTTTGATCTTTTGGCCTTAAGAACTAACAGTGAGAGAATAAACTTTTGTTAATGTAAACCACTATGTGATGACTTAATACAGCAGCCACAGAAAATGAATACAGGCTCTTAGCTTGTGGTCATAGAGCGGTAATGTTGAAGCTATAGGAAACTGCTCTCCTGTGGATAAGCCTTATCCCTCCTTACTCTATCAGCTCACACACCAGCTGCCACAGTGACACATCTACAGACTTCCAGGCCCATGCCAGCCATCACTCTGTTGCCTTGACCTACCTCAGATGCATCAGCATCCCATTCAAAATCTGCAGCCTTTGAATCTTGACTTTGTTTCTCCTTCTGTATAAATCAATGTTAATTAATCAATTCAGTGTTCTTCAGTGAACCAATAGCACACATAAATACTGGGAGGATGTATTTTAAGGAATTAGCTCATAAGATTATGGAGGCTGGCAAGTCCAAAATCTGCAGGGTGAGCTGGCAGTTCAGAGACCTAGGGAAGAGCTGATGTTGCAGTTCAAGTCTGAAGACCATCTGCTGGCAGAATTTCTTCTTGTTCACAGGAGATCCGTCTTCATCTATTAAGACCTTCAATTGATTGGATGGACCCCTCTCCCATATTATGGAGAGCAATCTGCTTTACTCAAAGTCCACCCATTTAAATGTTAGCCTCCTCCCAAATCACTCTCATAAAAACATCCAGAATAATATTTAACTGAATATCTAGGTACTGTGGCCCAGCTAAGTTGATGCATGAGATAAACCCTCATAATTTCTTACCTTTTCTCATTGGACTTGAGGGTTTAACTTCATTTCTTCAACTCAGCTCTCAACCCTCAGTACCACCTAAGGACTCTGGCTAACCTTACCCATTGAAATCTCTTCTCCTGGTTTCCCTGGATAAGATCCCCTCGTCAAGCCAATGACTCGCCTGCTCAATGGTCTAGCTTTAGGATAATTTTTTGCAACACTGATGGCAAGCCCTAGGCCCAAGGATATGGAGAAGACTCACAGGTCTTAATGAATAAAGAGCAAGTTCAACAGCATTTCCTGGTCATCAAGTCACCTGCAGAAACGGTTAGGCACAATTGTGTTCTAAGAATACTGTTCACCCATCTCTATGCTGAGCATGGAAGATGAGGCTTCGATGAATGTCCCCGAGCCTTCATTTGTAAAGAATCCATCTGAATCCAGCAACTACCTCAGGAATAATGAGTGTCTTATGTTTTAGGAAAGTCCTATTTATGGTAGAATAAACCAAGTCATAGAAGCAATTATTCACTTCCCATTTCGCGGGGCTTCTGTGTGTGAATATCCACAGCTTGTGCAGTTTATACTTCATGGATTCTGTATAAGATTCAGGATTTTGCATGTCAGTATGACGGTGTTGGCCTTCCCTTACTTGATTAAGGATTATTTCATTTTTCCAATGAAATTTGTACCCTTAACTCAATACAGGTTCAAAACTATAACCAAGTGGTTGCTTTTTGATGCATTTCAAACCAATATTTTATATATTTCAAATCTCCAATTGAAGAAAACATAATACAGTGCAGGGAGATACAGACTTGGAGGCAGAAGACTTGGCCCTTAACCCTGGCATGTCCATTTAGAGCTATACATGGATGGGGATGTTGCTTAACCTTTCTAGCATGACCAACTTACCCATTAGGCACAGCAAGCACAGTGCCAGCTTTCAAGGGTCCAGAAGAATGTTTTAATTTATTTTAAGGAAGAAGAAGAAAAAAATGAACTTGTAATAATTTGTATAATGAGTTATAAAAATAATTATAGATTACAAACTTATAATAATTTATAGATTATAAGATTGATATAGATTATAATAGTCTATAATATTATCAATTTTATATTATCTATTATTTTATATTATCTTGATAATATAAGATTGGTAATGTTGATTAATATTATATCACAGGATTAAATGACACCATAGGTATGTGGCCCTAATCTAATAGAATTGGTGCCCTTTTAAGAAGAGTAAGGGTCACCAAGGGTGTGGAAGCACAGAAAAAAGATATAGATCTTATAATATTAACATTTTTGTCTTTATGTCTACACAGTGTAAAATCAAATTTCATGAAGAAAAAGGACCACACAGGCAAATGTACCCTAGTGTCCAAGAAAGTTGTAATGCAGCTCTGATCTTTGGCCCTCAGTCTTCTTATCTGTAAATAGGGGCTGAATATGAATAGCGGATCTTATGACAGAATTCTAGGACTCATAGGCATTTGTAAGATATTGATAGAGTCTGCAAATTCTTTTTGATATTCTATAAGTCCCAACACTTAGGGTAAACGTATCTGTTGAATGGACTCCTTATGTTGAAAGCACATTAATTTTGAAATAACAGACCTGGTTCAAATCATGGGGGTCGGTTGTTCATTTGCTGTGTGAATTTCGACACACCCTCAGTACTGAGACTTAGGTTCTTTACCTATAATATGTAAAATGTGAAAACAAGTATTTTTGGGGTTTTTTTTGATGATTAAAAGTAACAGAAGCAGAGTACATAGCACAGGTACCTTAACACTTTGTAGAAGTTCAATAAATAATACTGCTATAATCAATTTTTATTGCTGTAGTTTGACATTTATCAGCTGAAAAAGCTACCTTATAGTGAACATCCAATTTAGCAAATTACTGAATAATAAAGGTTGAGGAAAGGGATGAAAATAGTTAATAATTTGAGAGGCAACTTTTAAAAATGTTCCTATAAGCATTCCTCTTCATTGTCTTAAGTGGGGTAGTTTGGTGACTAAAGTTATGCATTCATCGATTTGGTCACTAGATCAAATAAAGTAGAAATGCTGGGACTGGTTTAGAAAAGTATGATTAAGGAAGAGGTAAGAAAGCTAAGGGAATGGATTGTGACATCAGATCTGTTATGGACTGAATTGTGTTCCTCCCCTAAAATTCAGATGTTGAAGCCCTAATGCTCAATGTGACTACATGTGGAGATAGAGCCTAGAACGAGGTAGTGAAAGTTGAATGACATCATAGGGACTGGGCTCTAATCTGATAGAATTGATGGTCTCGTAAGAAGAGGAAGAGACACCAAGGGTATGGGAGCACAGAGAAAAGGCCACATGAGTACACAGTGAGAAGATAGCTATCTGAAAGCCTGGAAGAGAGACCTCAGAAGAAACCAACCCTGCTGGCACCTTGATCTTGGACTTCCAGCCTCCAGAACCATGAGAAGTAAATGTCAGTTTTTTAAGCCATCTAGTCTGTGGCATTTGGTGATGACAGCTCAGGCTGGCAAATACAGGACCAGAGACTCCAGCACCTGACTATGCCCCTGCACCATGGCAGTACAGAATGTAGGAATGAGGGAGGGAGCACCAGCACCCATGAGAAGCTTGGTGGGGCATCCTGTCCAGAGGAAGGTTCATAGCAGGAGATGCAGAGATGGTTCTGGGCTCTTTGGTGTGATGTTGATGATGCAGGAACAGCAGAGCAGCCTGGAGGATGGCAGAAGACCACAGGAACTTGGGGGATTAAAACTCTCACAATGGGCAGCAAAGCTGGGGAGGCCACAGGATCATGGTGGAAGGCAAGACTCTGGGGATGGGACATCAACTGTGTTATTCCAGAAGATTCCCTTTACTCTATCAACTCTCCAGAACCTGGTTGCCCTAGTGGTTCTTGGATGCTTTTTTGATCTGGCATTTTTGTTTTGCACAGTAGGAATGTTGGTCTGTCACTTGTAGTATTGCTAGAAGTGGAAGTCAGGAGACAAATGTTTCTAAATATCTGAATCAAAAAGGAAAAAAAAATAATAGGGGAACCTAGGAATTAACAGGTTGGGTATTAAACTATAGGAACTCGAATGGCCTTTCTGCATGATAGTGCATAGTTCTTTGTACACCTTAATCCAAATTCCTGAAAGCCATATCTTTTGACCAGTTTCATGAAATAGATAGATTTTAATAATGAGGGTGTGTGGTATAATGGAACCAGCAAAAGCTTTTGCACAAAGGTAGTCTAAGTTCTCATCCCTGTACCAACCAGCTAGGTAACATTAGGGACTTCTCTTGACATTGCTGAGCCACAGGTTTTCCCTCTTTTATAGTGCTTGCTCTATTAAGATTTATGTCCCAAAGCAGGATCCATAGCTCCTGGTGTATGTTGCGTAGTTGATACACACAATTTTTCTCAATTCTGCTCAAGGGTTTCAGAGCCCTCTGTGGCCACTCATTGACCTGAGCTTCCTCATACTTTTTCCTTTCTGCTGTTACGTTTCTCAAGGGAACAGGCAGTTCTGATATTTCTTCCCCTTGTGTTACGACTGAATATTATTTATTATTGAGATTTATAAGCCAAACCCTTTTGCAATAAAGTCACTTCAGGGCACACACACAAGGTTAAAAGCTTTAGGTCAAATACACAGAACTATAAAAATAAACAGCTCAAGAACACAGTAGAAATATTATTTAAAGGAAAGTGGTGACTGCAACATAGTGGCCCTTTCAGTGAAAGTCATTTGAAAAGATACAAAGATGAATGACTCTCATGAAGTCTTCCAGTTGTTTAATTAAGGAATTGGAAAAACTCACCCACCCCTCAGAATTTGCTTCAAAATTCCAGTTAAGCCAAATAGGGCAGACAGCCAGATCTTACTCAATGCAAATGTTCATTAATGTTTCTCAGAACAGAGACAAGAAAGAAGATTCACACACCCAGAAATCCAGAGCAAACTTTCCTCAGCTATTCCAGAAAAGTTAGTGTCCCAGTTTCAGTGTCGTCTGAAAAGTAACTGAGTTGAGAAGCCTGTGGAATCTTCCTTGGCATCTCAGATAGTTCAGACCACTCTCTTCTATGCACCTTCTGTTCCCTACGTAGACTTTCTCACAAAATTTAAAAGACTTGATTTGATTTTCTGTTTACATATCTCTGTCCTTCACGAGCTCTGAGCTTCTTACAGAAGAGTCTTGCCTGTATTGTTTCTCTATGCACAGTTCTTGGCACTTGTCGTCCTCCATAAATATTTATTACACAAATGAACCAATGAATACTGGATATGGACACTTTTCCACTGGAGACACTTTTTGCAGAGTTAAAATTATTAGGTAGGATGTCTGTGTTTCAACAGCCTGTGAAGCTTTGAAAACAGGAACTAGCTCAGGAGGGCTGAGGCCAAACTGTGGTTGTTTGCATTTTAGCTCAACCAAGTGTCAGTGCTCCATCTGCAAGAGTTGAAAGAAAAAGTGCAGAGCTGCACCTGAGAATGATCCAGAAGCAGCCCATAAGAAACCAGGTGCCCTGAATCATCACATTATTCTGGGACCCAAGTCCTATGGTACCCTGGGTTTCAGCTTTCCCACCTTCCACTGATTAATCTGTAAGTTCCAGGATACTCATTCAACAAAGGGTCATTCATGGGTTCTTGCAGGGTGGAGAGACTGTAAAAGTGTAAAAGTGTCCCTCTCTGGAGGGAAGCAGGGCCCCTTCCCTTCAAAATCAGAGTGGTTAACAGCATACATTTTGCAACCCACTGCCTGAGTTTCAGCTTTAGATTTCCTAGCTGATGATCTTGGGTAAGTCACTCTGTGCCTCAGTTTCTGCATATATAAAACAGGAGTAATTTTATTATCCCTCACAGTCTTGTTATAGACATTAAATAAATTAATATGTGCAAAGCACTCAGATCATTGCCTAGTTCATAAGTGCTTTATAAATATTTGCTTCTATTATTATGTCTGAACCTATTTTCTAATAGTTTTCTTCTCATTATGATAATATAGCAATAATACTATAATCATCGTAAAGCTACCATACTTTTTAGAATCTCCTTTGGTCAGTTGCTATGTAATCAATATGCTATATATTGATTAATGATGCTGGTGTCATTATTTCTATTTTGCAGGTAAGGAAAAATCTCAGTATAAAAAGGTAAGTTACCTAAGGCCACAGTAAGAGGAGAAATGGACTGTGAGCTCAAGCCTTTCTAATTCAAGTCTTTTTGCCATAATCCACCGTTTCTCTACTTTCTCATATTTTCTTCCACATCTCTAGTGATTTGTCACTGCACTCATCAGTGTTAATTTTTAGCTGATGATAGGCCTAAACCCATTCCTTGACCTATCAACTGCTCCAAGGCTCTGACAGAGCTACCTAGGCCCTTCTTGTAAATTCCTCGCTGGCCCTGCCCAGAGTCATAAGAGAAAGGCCTGGGTAAATTTTTCTACAAGAGAGTATGTTACAACAAAACGTGTGCTCTTGAAAAACATTAGAGCAAAAGTTGGGGTAGTATGATATAGTATAAATGAGCTACAGAGGGCAGACTGCAGTGCATCATGAAGTGTCAACACACCTGGGCTCCAGTTTAGCCATGATATCGACCAACTTGGCATAAACAGTTGATAGTTGCTTTTCCTTCTTGGGTCTTGGTGTCTCCATATGTAAAATGAGGAAATTGGATTTATGAGATGCAAGTACTTGCAGCTGTAACATTTAAGACATTGTTGTCACTTCATCCTTTTATTTTAGAATGGTACTGTCCAGTAGAATTTTCTATAAGGATGGCTATGTTCACTGTCCAATACAGTACCCAATAGCCTCGTGGAGCTCTTGAGAAACTGAAGTGTGGTTAGCACAACTAAGGAACTGAAGTTTTAATTTTATTGAATTTTAATTAGCTAAAATTTAAATAGCCACATGGAGTTAGTTCTACCATAAGGAATAGCACAGTAGTCTAGACATTTGTTGAAATTGAAGAGTATTCTCTATTCAAGACATTGATTTAAGCATGAGTCATAGGAATATTAAAAAAATAAAGAACTCTCTCCTCAAGGATGATGAAGTCTATGACAGAGAAGTTAAATGCAGAATCATGGAAGTGTGTATTCATCTGAGCGCTCTTTCTGCTCTCACTTCACCTCTAAAACTCCTCTCCAGAATACAAGATTTATTTTACCTTTTTCATCAGGAGAGTTGCTTCCTTTCTGTCATTCCAAAGCACATTGTTTAGCCATTAATTAATTTGTACATGCACTCATTTTTTCCACTAATCTAGCAGGTCTCATTAAGGTGGGGATTTTTGAATGATTTCTATACTGCTATAGTTGTAGCATCTAGAAAAGCACTGGCATTTAGTAGGAGCTTATTATTTTGTTAGATTAACAAATTAATTCAATACATTGCACCGAAAATTTACTGTAGGCTAGGCATTGTACAGGCAGTAGGGACACAGAAGTTAAGAAAGACATACATGGAGCTTCCACATGGAGCATGGGAAAATCCAAGAAATCAAGTGTTACTAAGTGTTATCCTGCTAGCAAATCCTAAGACCCATCCTCCTGCTTCAGATAGGGATATGGACATGTTAACAGCTGCTGTTATCATAGGGATAAATGCAAGGTACTCCATGAGCACAGTGGGGTGTCTGGAATATTTTGCATGTTGCACATATTATATTGAATTTGAGATTACTTCTTTATATATATGCTTTCCTTAGACATTGAGCTATGGAAAGCCAGAACCATTGCTAGTCTTCTTTGTGACCCTAGCAACTGGCACAATGCATGTCACAGAATAGGGTGATTGATATCTATTTGTTGATTGTGTTAGTGATATAATAAATAAAACCTAACATATGGGTACTAAAGATGTAGACAAGTTTTTTGAAACTTTAGAGAATAAGATGCTACTTTTGGTATGGGGGAATGTAACTGGTTGATTGGTGGCCCCAAAATGATACATCTACATCTTAATCCCTGGAACCTGTGAACATTACCTTATGTGGTAAACAGATAATGTTACCTTATTTAGAAAGAGACTCTTTGGAGATGTAATTAAGTTAGAGATCTTGCAAGGAGGAGCTTATCCTGGATTATCCAGGTGGGCTGTAAATGCAATCAGATGCATTTTGTAAATGTCCTATAGAGGAGAAGACATGCATACAGATGAGGTGGATGCAATGTGACCAAGGAGTCAGAGACTGGAGAAATGGAGCCAGGCAATGGTCAACTTTATGTGTCAACTTGGCTGGGCCATACTGGCCAGATATTTGGTCATACAGTTTTGGAATGTTTCCTTGTGGGTGACTTTTTTGGATGAGATTAACATTTAGATCAGTGGATATCAAATAAAGCAGATTCCCTCCATAATTGTGGAATCAGTTTAGATCAATGGATATCAAATAAAGCAGATTCCCTCCATAATTGTGGGTGAGCCTCATTTAATCAACTCAGTCCTTACTAGAACAAAAGACTGACCTCTCCTGAGCAAGAGGAAACTTTGCCAGTATGTTGCTTTCAGACTGGAATTGTAATTCTTTGCTGGGTCTCCAGCCTGCTGGCATATCCTGAAGATTTTGGACTTACCAACATCTATAATCATGAAGCCAATTCCTTAAAATAAATATCTCTACATTTTTTTCTGTGTCTGTCTCTCTGCCTATCATCTATCTATCTATCTATCTATCTCTATCTATATCATCTTCAACACACTCTTTTTACCTATCTGTCTATCTATCTGTCTGTCTGTCTGTCTGTCTATCAACACAGGTTGAAGAACCTGGGTTTGAACTACGTAGATGCATGAGTCTACTTATATGCAGATTTTTTCCAATAAATAGAACAATTTTTCGAGATTTGTAACAATGTGAAAAAGTTTACAGACAAATCGCATAGCCTAAAAGTATCAAAAAAGTTAAGCAAAAGTTAGGTATGTCATGATTGCATAAAATACATATAGATAACTAGTTTATTTATTTGTTAATTCACTATTTATGTTGTCAGGCTTCCAGTCAACATAGGCTATTACTAGTTATGTTTTGGGGCAGTCAAAAAGTTATCTGAGGATTTTCAACTGTGAGAAGGGTCAGAGCCTCTAACCCTTGTGTTGTTCAAGGGCCACTGGTGTATATACACACATTCTATTGGTTCTACTTCTCTGGAGAAGCCTGACTAATACAGGCCACAAACCAGAAGAATGTAGTCAACAAAAAGCTAGAAGAGGCAAGAAAGGGAATCTTCCCTAGAGCCTTTAGAGGGAACACAACCCTCCTAACACCTTGATTTTGGGCTTCTGGCCTTCAGAAGTGGGAGAAAACACATTTCTCAACTTTTAAGTTTCTGATAATTATACAGCTGCCACAGAAGACTAACACAGAAAGGTGAGGGGTGAACAAGAAGAACAGATAGCACTTGAACCTTCTTTGTAGATTAGGGAGAGCTGTACATGGCATCTGGCTGTAGGGTGGTGCAGGGATTCAAAGGGGAGCCAATAGTGCATGTAGAGGCTGAGCAGAACATGCATGGCTTGTGGAGTGTGATGAGCCACCTCTAGGCACAGAATTCATGAAGGCTGGGAGTGGAAGATGAGTGTGGAAAAGACATTTTGGAAATATTGTGGTGAAGACTGAATGTATGCAAATATTTACAGATTTTGTATTTTTTCTTTTCTAAAAGACTGAAAATTTATTAGATATTTTTGTCAAAGAAGGGCATGATCAGAATCATTCTTTATGAAATTGATTCAGTTGTATATTATGTTGATTGGCTAGGTAGTGCCTGGTGGGAGGAAGGCCAAGGGCTTCTTACAGTTGTGTGGGACAAGTTCCATAAGGTCCACATTGTGAGGGCATTATCCTGTATTTACATGGGATGATACAGTCAAAACTGGATCTGTGGCATTTCCACCTATTTCAAAAGAGAGCCATTTTTATAGAACAGTAAGACATTCGTATAACTGTTTAAAGCCTTAATATTTCCAAATACATATTTTCTCCCGTTCTGCTCATATCTTGAATCATAAATGTATCTATCTTCTTCTTCTTCTTCTTCTTTTTAATACAGACAAGTTTGCACTCTGTCACCTGGGCTGGAGTGTAGTGGCACAGTCATAGCTCACTGCAGCCTTGAACTCCTGGGCTCTCCCGCCTCAGACTCCCAAATATTCAGGACTACAGATGCACACCACGACACCCAGCTAATTTTTAAATTTTTTTTGTAGAGAAGTGGTCTCACGACATTGCCCAGACACATCTTAAATTCCTGGCTTCAAGCCATCCTCCTGCCTTGGCCTCTCAAAGTGCTGGGATTACAGGCGTAAGCCACTGCGCCTGACTCTTTCTTCCTTTTTTAATTCAAAATACTTAGGTCATTGATGGTTAGCTATAATTTTTGATATTATAGACTTTAACAATGTCAGGCTGGAATTTTATCCAAGATGCGTGTTTGGTGCCTTTCCTTTTTTTGGCTGGAAGACTAATAATGATATACTAGTTATCATTTACTGTGTATAAGCTCATTCTCTGGTGCTTACAGCAGAATAACTGAAACTGGGTAATATATAAAGAAAAAGAGTTCACTCTTAAAGTTTTGGAGGCTGAAAAGTCTAAGGTCAAGGGGCCTCATCTGCTGAGGGCCTTCTTGCTGACGGGGACTCTAGAGAGTCCCGAGGCAGCACAGGGTATCATGTGGGAGGGGGCTGAGTATGCTATCTCAGGTCTCTCTTCCTTTTCTCATAAAGCCACCAGTTCTCGTCTCATGATAATCCATTAATCCACTAACCCATTAATCCCTTAATCCGTGAGTGGATTAATCCCCTCATGAGAGCATAGCCTTCCTGATCTAGTCACCTCTTAAAGTCCCCACCTCTTAATACTGCCACATTGGATATTAAGTTTCCAACACATGAAATTTGGAGGCCACCTTCAAACCAAAGGACAGAGCTTGAGTTTCTCCCATGAGTTCAATACTGTATGTAATAATTTGCATATATTAGCATATTCAAATACTTCCAACATTTATGCAGTGTGTACTACTCTTAATTTTATTTTACAAATGAAAGGACTTATGCTAAAAGATAAATTATCTCATTCAAGGTCACACAGCAAGCAAGCAGCAGAGGTAGAATAAGGACACAGGTTATCTGGGGATAAGATGCCTCTCTAACCTGGACAGTGAATTCCTAATTGTAATTGTTAGCCAGATTAAGAATCCATGAGCAGACCAGATTTTTCAGAAGTCAAATAGCTCCATACTTTGGGTTTAAAAGTGGAAACATTTCCCAGAAAGCCACTGAATTCCATGGAGAATTTATTTTACGCAGTTTGGGCCTGAAATTCGGAAGTGAAAAAGAATGCCATGGAATTCAACACAGACCTTTTATCTGGGGCTTGCCTCTTATACTTGTTGCTATTTATCTCACCTCTTATCAGCAGACATTGAAGATTAGAGAGCAAGAAATTTCTTTTGAAATAATTACCTGATCCTGTTATCTTAAAAGACTTGCAGACTGTGAGGCATTTTTTGCTGAGCAGTAGTTGGTGGCATCATCAGCCTCAACATTACTAAGTGTTATCCTGCTAGCATTCCTAAGACCCACACAGCAGTCTCTATTCCTCTGCTGAAATGTTGGTCATGACAAGAAATTAACTTGAAACTTGAAGCCCTTTGCCTAACAAAGGTTGTGTGGGCCACGGAGTCATTTTGGGGGTGAACCTGAGAGTGAACCTGAAAGTGGATCAAATGTCTCTGAGTCTCTGGCTGTGAAGAAAACAACCAATTCTTTCTCCAACTGAAAACCAATGTAAGGTTGAAATCAACACCCTCCATATACCCACCAAGTGTATACCATGGTCCTCAACTTGGGGAGGTAATGGGCTGGAAAGAATTATTACAGAGTGATCTGAGGTGAATTTTTAAACAACACATGATACCATAACCCCCATCACCAGCCCCCAGCCCCCAGTCCCCTTCACCAAAAAGCCTAACACTGTAACCATGTATATTTTAACATATATCATTGTTTGATTTCTTGGATTCTCCCATGCTCCATGTGCAAAACAACCAAGCCAGAACAAAAGTCCTAACTCCAAAGCCAGGAATGAATGAAACAAAGCAGACATCATCCTTCTCCTCTTCTTCTCCATCTCCTCCTTCTTGCTGTTCCCTCTACTTTAACTATTTATTTTGAAGTAATCATAGAGTCACAGGAAATTGCAAAGGTATTAGTGTGGTCCTGGGTGTACCCTTCACCCAGTTTCTCCTAGTGGCAATAACTTTTACTTACAACAATAGAACCACACCAAAATCAGGAAGCTGGGAAACTGACATTGATATTTATACAATCCATCAATCTTTTTCATGTTTCACCAGTTTTATAAGAACGGTCCTCCATGTGCGCACGTGTGTCTCATTCTAAGCACTTTATCACACATGCAGATTCCTATAATAGAGATACCACAAAAATCTCCTGATATCTCTATATTCACACCCAACACTCCGTCCTCCTGATCCCAACCTCTGACAACCACTCATCAGTTTGCTCTTTCCATAATTTCATCATTTATGAGTCTTACGGAAACGGAATCCCCAAATAAGCAACCTTTTGAGATTGGATAGTTTTCATTAGGCACAATAACACAATGAGAGCCATGCAAGTTGTTGGATGTGTCAATAGTTTATTCCTTTCTAATGCTGACGAGTGTTCTATGGTGTGAATGTACCATAGCTCATTCACCCATTTACCCACTGAAGAACATTTGAGTTGTTTCTGGGTTTTACCTATTACAAATACATTTGCTATGGATATCTATGAACAGGTTATTTTTTGTTTTTTTGTTTCTCTTAGGGGGTAGTATTTTTTCAACAATTTTATTTCTTCTATGTTAACTGGTCTGTTCATATCTTATGTATTTTGGAAGGTCAATTTTGGGGATTTATATTTTCATAGAAAATTATCTGTTGTGTATTCATTTTTCCAAATTTATTTTCATAGGGTTGAAATAGATTTGTCTCATAACTTTTCTAAATTTCTGCGTTTATTCTGCAATCTCATTTTATGTACTTGTATTTTTTTCCTTAATTCAGTTAGCTAATGGCTTTTCACATCTTACTATAATTTTAAAAAATCATGAATTTATTTGTATATTCTACAATTTTTCTATTTTCTTATTTTCTATTTCTATTTTCATTTTTTTTCTATTGATTTCTTCAGGTTCATTATTCTAACATCTTGAGTGGAATATTTTTAATATATTTATATTCAGCCACTCTCATTAATTAAAATGTTTTTAAGGTGATGAATCTTCCTCGAGTCATAGTTTAGCTAAATCTATATAGGTCTGATATCCAGTACTGTTATTATTACCATTTCCAAAATACTTTACAATTTCAGATTTAATTTCCTCTTTCACTTAAGAATTGCTTGAGAAAAGTTTTACAAGTCCTAGGTGGTAAGACTTTCCTCCCTTTTCACCAAGTTTGTTACTGTATTGTTGTATCATTATCAGAGAAGTTGCTTTATATAATTTTTACTTATCTACAGGTTTTTATGTAGACATGATTTTTCACTTTTCTGGGACAAGTACCCAGGAGTGTGACTGCTGGGTTATATGGCAAGCTTATATTTAGTTTTTTTAAAGGAACTGCCAAACTATTTTCTGGAGTTCCTGTACCATTTTATACTCCCACCAGAGATGCATCCCGCTGCCACGTTCTCATCAGCATTTGGTATTTCAGCTGTTTTAATAACATAGTTAAAAGAAAAAAAAAACTATAAAAGTTACACCTCCATCAACTGCCCAAATGATCTCCTTGATATTCTTTTGCATTAATCTTTATCTATATTATTAATCTGAATCTAAATTCTCCCTTAACAACCAAGCCCAGCTGTAGTGATGTCAGCCTTCTTAATCTATTAACAGTAGGACATATATGGTGGTTATCAGCTCTTCCAATACTTGCTTAAGACAATTGGAAACTATATATTTTGGGGAAAGTTGAAAACTGTGTTTTCTGACATTAATTTCTGGAGTAATCATCTTATAATCCTTACCCCATTCCTCAGGTGGGGAGGTTGAGGCCCACAGTAGCCTGTGTAGGATTGGCTGATGATGGAAAAATAGAAAACTGGGAGGTCAGGTGATGTAATAGGGTTCCACAGGAATCGTGACAAATTTTGAACAACAGGGATCCCATTTACTAAACTACAGATAGGAAGTCATGGTTCCTTTTTCAAACGATGAAATATTTCAAACATAGAAAAATACATAAAATAATATAACAGGCACCCACTTACGCACAGGGCCACCAGAAGCTCATGTCTTTGTGCAAAGTAGAGAAAGGCTTTCTGTCTTTCACACCGCGGCAGGGTACATGGCTGGGCAATCCTTGACTGAGCTGGGCCCCCACGAGGGAGCTCAACCTCGACAGCCGTAAGTGGAGGTAACCACCGCTGAGTTAAACGGTGGTGAACATGCTGCTGCATTTGCTTCAGAGTTTGATTTTAGTGCCCAAACCTAAGAACTATGGCCTAAGCCTGACCACTTGACTCCTAACCTCTTCCTTTGCACAGGTAACCCATCCTCATATTTGCTATGTATCATTCCCATAAATACTACTGGTCCCTGTATTTAAATTATATACAAATAATCTCAAAGTGTAGATTTTTATCATGAAACAACTTGTTTTTTCATTTATTCTACTTATGAAATTTCATTCGTATATAGAAAAGTAAAGTAAGGATAATAGGAATAGTTAACTCTTACAGGTTTCTTACTGTATGTTGGGTGCAGTTTTAAGCCCTTTGTACATATTACTGCATCTAATCCCATCTTTGGATGTTTTAACTGATCTGTCTGTTAGATTCTAAGTGTGTATATGTGTGTATGTATGTGCCTTATTTCTCTCTGAGTGCTACTTTTATGTGAGAATGCATGATATTTCATCACTTCTAAAAGATCTTTAGCCATTATCTCTTTAAATATTGCTTCCCCACCACTTCCCCATTCCCCACCATTCTTTTTTTTTTTTTTTTTTTTGAGACAGAGTCTCACTCTATTGCCCAGGCTGGAGTGCAGTGGCGTGATCTCGGTTCACTGCAACCTCTGCCTCCCGGGTTCAGGCGATTCTCTTGCCTCAGCCTCCTGAGTAGCTGGGATTACAGGCACGCACCACCACGCCTGGCTAATTTTTGTATTTTAGTAGAGACAGGGTTTCACCATGTTGGCCAGGCTGGTCTTGAATTCCTGACCTCATGATCCGCCCACCTCAGCCTCCCAAAGTTTTGGGATTACAGGCATGAAACACTGCGCCTAGCTTCCCCACCATTCTTTCTTTCCTTTTTTCTTTTTTTCCTTTTTGAGATGGAGTATCACTCTGTCTCCCAGGCTGGAGTGCAGTGGCACGATCTTGGCTCACTGCAACCTCCACCTCTCAGGTTCAAGTGATTCTCCTGCCTCAGCTTCCCCAATAACTGGAATTACAAGCGCGCATCACCACACCAGGCTAATTTTTATATTTTTGTCAGAGACAAGGTTTCACCATGTTGGCCAGGCTGGTCTCGAGCTCCTGACCTCAGGTGAGCTGCCTGCTTCAGCCTCCCAAAGTGCTATAATTACAGGCATGAGCCACCGTGCAAACCCCCACCATTCTTTCTACTGTATTCTCCTAGTAGACGATGCATTTTGGACCTTCTCATTCCATCCTCCCTCAATGATCTCTTTGTAATGAACTTATTCTTATCATTCCTTGCTTTATTGCACGGTTCCTTATTCTGATAAGTCTAATCTATGTTTCATCTGTCTGATAAGTTTTTAAATTCAAGGATGATCTTTTTTATTCCCATTCTCTCTGTCAAATCTGCCTGTTTTCATGTGTCTCTTATTTCTTTTATTGTGTTAATTTCCTGACTTTGTCTTTAATCATTTGTAATTAAGTTTTTTGTTGTACTGACTAATGTCCTTAGGTTTTAACGATGCTCGTGTTTGTATCTACTATATTGTGCTCAGGATGCATTGTTTCCTCATGCGTTTTGTAATTTTTAATTGTAAGCTCAAAGTAGGAAGGCCTCCCTCTTCCCAGTCCTCTGAGCCCTGTGGGAAAACCTATATAGCCTGTGTTGTTGAGGTACCTCTAAAGCCTTTTATATTTATTTCTGCCTGGTGAATCAGGTGGTATAAATTTAGAATCTAAACTCTTGTGAGGTGCCAGTAGAGATCAATGAACTTTCCTGCTAATTTCTTTTTTTTTGAGATGGAGTCTTGCTTAGTCGCCCAGGCTGGGGTGCAGTGGTGCGATCTCGGCTCACCGCAAGCTCTGCCTCCAGGGTTCACGCCATTCTCCTGCCTCAGCCTCTTGAGTAGCTGGGAGCTTTCCTGCTAATTTTTAGACAGAAGGGAGATTAATTTTGTGGTTCACTTTCACTGAGGCTGTGATATTGGAGGTACTAGCAGTGGTCTCATTTGCAACTCTTAGCTTATTTGGTCCAAGGTCTCATCTTTAAGGCTTCTATAGGTTCTAACACTCAAGATCCTATGTTTTTGGGTGTAGTAAACCCACTCAACCTCAGCTGCAACATTTGTTTACATGTTTCCAGCTGTTATTTTCAAGTATTTATTAATTCAAAGATATATTTTATCATATCTTTTTAAGCTTTTAGTGGGAAAGATGATTTTTTAATTACCTTAATCTGCCATCTTGTCAACATTGGAATTCTTAAAACAAGTTTAAATGTTTTGTGTATTGCCTTAGTATCCTGAGAAAATGCAGTTAGAAAAAAAGGCAGACATCAAAGATAATTTATATAGGTGACACCCAGGCTAGTAATAGAATTACAACACCCCATTCCTACCTTCCAGGTTTACAAGTAAAGCAGGCAGCCAGTATTTTTTTTTTTTTTTTGCAGCCAGTATTTTGTAGGATCAATTTGAGTGAGAGAAGTCTCTGTAAAAATAACATATTTGATAGAATTTTTATCTTGAGCAGAATTATAAACAGATACTAGGAGTGTTGGAGATGAGCAAAAAGTCAGTGAAATGCAAAGCAGAATGTTAAAGAAATAAGAGAAATATTAATATCATGGGCAACTTAGGTAAGGGCCATCCAGGCAGAAAAGCCATGAAGCAAGGTCAAGCCAAGAAAAGGTGCTTCTCTCGGCCACATTAGCTAATGAGTCTCACTAATACCCAGTATTGTTTTTGCAGAGTTGGTTTTGTGTGAGTAGGTAATCTGCATCCCACCCCATTTTTCTACAGAGCATGGACTCTGTTATTAACAAAGACTTTGCCCATTTTATAAACTTTCAAATAAGAAAAAGCCCGTTTAGTTATTCTTTTTTTTTTTTTTTTTTTTTTTTTGGGACGGAGTTGCCCAGCCTGGAGTGCAATGGCGTGATCTCAGCTCACTGCAGCCTCCACCTCCTGGGTTCAATCGATTCTCCTGCCTCAGCCTCCCAAGTAACTGGGATTACAGGCACCCACCACTATGCCCGGCTAATTTTTTTTTCTTTCTTCCTTTTTTTTTTTTTTGTATTTTTAGTAGAGATGGGGTTTCGCCATGTTGGCCAGGGTGGTCTTGGACTCCTGGTCTCAGGTGATCTACTCTCCTCGACCTCCCAAAGTGCTGGGATTATAGGTGTGAGCCACTGTGCCCAGCCTAGTTATTCTTAAAAATATAAATCTAGACCAGTGGGACCCTGAATAATCAAGATCATCAGTATTCTGCTTTTTAGGGCTGAACACATCAGTTTACAAAATCCACTTACTGAACACTTTCTTTTTTTTTTTTTTTGAGACGGAGTCTCGCTCTGTCGCCCAGGCTGGAGTGCAGTGGTGCGATCTCGGCTCACTGCAAGCTCCACCTCCCGGGTTCACGCCATTCTCCTGCCTTAGCCTCCCGAGTAGCTGGGACTACAGGCGCCCGCCCCTACGCCCGGCTATTTTTTTTGTATTTTTAGTAGAGACGGAGTTTCACCGCGTTAGCCAGGATGGTCTCGATCTCCTGACCTCGTGATCCGCCCACCTCGGCCTCCCAAAGTGCTGGGATTACAGGCGTGCGCCACTGCGCCCGGCCCTGAACACTTTCTTAAAAAAATTAATAATGGCCGGGCACGGTGGCTTACTCCTGTAATCCCAGCACTTTAGGAGGCTGAGGTGGGCAGATCATGAGGTCAGATTGAGACCATCCTGGCTAACACAATGAAACCCCATCTCTACTAAAAATACAAAAAAATTAGCCAGGCGTGGTGGCGGGCACCTGTAGTCTCAGCTACTCGGGAGGCTGAGGCAGAAGAATGGCATGAACCCAGGAGGCGGAGCTTGTGGTGAGCCGAGATCACACCACTGCACACCAGCCTGGGCAACAGAGAGAGATTCTGTCTCAAAAAAAAAAAATTAATAATAAAAGTAGTTTTACCTGGGTGTATTAATTTTCTATTGCAGCTATAACAAACTACTACAAACTCAGTGGCACAAAACCCCACGAATTTATTATCTTACTATGTTGTTGGTCAGAAGAGCAACACAGGTCTCACGTGATAAAATTAAGGTATTAGCAATAGTTTGTTCCTTTCTGAAATTTCTAGAAAAGAATCTGTTTTCCTGTTCATTTAGCTTGTTGGCAGGTTTTGGTTCCTTGTGGTTACTGGCTCTCAGCTGAAAGTTGTTTCCAACTTCTAGAGGCTTCCCATATGCCTTGGCTTGTGGCCTCCTTCTTTCATCTTCAAAGCCAGCAAGGGCATGATGAATTTCTTTCATACTTCACTTCTCTCATGTCTGTTCTTCTGCCACAGCCACTCTCTGGCTGACTCTTCTGCCTTTCTTTTCTGCCTCTAAGGGCCCATGTGACTAGATTGGCCCATCTAGGTAATACAGGATAATCTCCGTATTTTAAGATCTGCAACCTTAATTCAATTTGCAAAGCTCCTTTTGTGATGTAATGTAACGTACTCTAAGGATCCAGGGATTAGTGCATGGGCATCATTGGGGGCCATTATTCTGCCTACCATAGTGGCACATTCTAGTGAGGAGAAATGTTATAAAGCATACCATCAATTATACTATCAATTTATCAAAAGAAATTGAATCAATTTTTAAACTTTTTTTCCAGTTGTTCACCTAAGATTCACCAATATCCTTATTAGCCACATTTTAAGGGTACATGTTTTATAGAAACTTCTACATATTCATAACCAGGAGGATAAGAAACAAAGAGATTAAAATAACCTGTAATCTAAGAGTGAAACATAAAAACATGACGGGCTAGTCACATTTGCAGCTTAGTACTATGTTCCCTGAGCCAGTATGATTCATCCAGTTAAATGAAAGATGGATTATTTTGGATCAATCATGGTTATTCCATGGAATTTTCAGAATTGGATGACAAATGGCAGCTATCTCTTTAACCTTGGCTGCCATTATTGGTATGTGGTCCTGTCCTTGGCATGTCTCAGTGTTCTTTCTCATGGAGGACTCCCATAGAATGACCCAATGAACAGGTGGAAGCCAAGATGAGGGATACAGAGAGGAGAGAGGAGAGGGGAGAAGGGAGACAGGAAAGAGAAAGCTAGAACACTAACAAGATTCCTTATGAATCTTTTGAAGCAAACTTCAACCCTGCCTTTCCATGGTATGGTTAAATGGATCTATTTATCTATGTATTATCTATCATCTATCTCTCTGTCAATCATCTATCATTTATATTAATTTTATTTGGGGTGTATTGTTTGAAGACAAGGGGATCCTGACTAATATGCAGACTACTTGATTGAACCCTTGAGTCTTACAGTTGGAGAGGGAAAGGGATGTGAACATGTTCTGCTCTGATATTAGAGGCGTCATTCCTGCTGTCCTCCAAAAGTCACTGTGTGCTCCTCTATCTCCTTATCTGTCTGGGAATTTAGCCCCCTTAAATATTTTAATTTTACTTTCTCATGATGAATGAGCTTCCTTTGGGAGGAAAAAAATTACAAAAGTCTGTTTTCCTCCTAGCGTATTTTGTTTTTGAATTTTTGAATGTCAAATTTTTACTTGATTCCGAAATAAAAGACCAGGAAAGTTTATGCACAGTGACAAGCCTATGGCATCAGTTTCATGAACAGAGTGGCACCTATATGTTCTTACTGAGGGAAGAGAAAATCAGGATAAGAAAGAAGGACTTGAGTGAGTCACAGATATGCTTTGCTGTCCTGGGCAAGCTATTTAAATTCCCTAATCTGCAGCCTGCACATAAATTTAGGGAAATACTAATCAAACTTATTTTGCAAAGTTGTCATGGGGATTGTATACTTTGTATCTAAAGATGCTGAATATTAGAAACTGAATAAATGGAAGTCATTGAAATGTGACATGAACAGAAATGTTTAGGACCCCTTTTGGAGATATATCTCTTTACTAAAGGAGGCATTATGTTAAAATTTTGTCTTGGAAACCAGGTCAAAGAACCTAGCTATAGTCTTTCCCCTACTGCCTGAGATTTCAAACCATATTTATTTTTCAAAAAGAGTGAACTGGAAATACATTGAGAACCCTGAAGGCACATGCTGGCTTATTTCTTTGAAGTACTTAATTTGCAACTCTTCTACAAACTGCTTCTAAACTTCCATATAATAAAGCTTATGAACCCTATATCCACTAATTAGCTGGTTTGGTTAGGATTGAGGGGTTTTCTGATCTCATCTATATATGATCCAGTCAAAATCTCCAAAGAACATTGAGAATCATCATGACACGTATATTTTAGCTTTCTGTTGTCCACTGAAGCACAAAATTTTTGAAGGCACGACAATTAATAATCAGGTGTATATGATTTGTTGGAAAATAAACAAGAGTTTAGAAAAATAATCCATTTGTTAGCAGACATTGTAAACCAATAAAAAGAAAACCTGTTTTATTATTATTATTTTTTGATCAGTTACTTTAGATTCAGAATTCCCTGACCATGAGTTATGACTCTGCCTTCGAGGATGAATGCTCAAAGCATTCTATGCTCCTGTCTCAGAGTTTCACAAATGATATCCTTCTCTTGGAAATACATGATACATAAAGTGATAATATATGCATTTAAAAAGTTGTTTTGTTTTGTTTACCCCATCACTTTCCAAAAAGTTTATGACAAATTTTCATATTTTCCAGAAGTATAGTTTCATTGAATTCGCTTTAGGGAAGTTTAGGCTAGACAGCATGATTTTTACTATGCATATGTTAGACTTAAAAGTAATAGAGTATCATTACCCCAGCTATGTTAGAAATATAAGCCACATAGAGAATAAAATGAGGTTGATTCTAGAAAAAGAACATATTTATTTTGGGATTTAGAAAACAGACTTATAATCAAATAACAAAAATATCATGGGCTCATGACCCTGCATGTATTTTTACAAGATATATCACCTCTCACAGAATAGGACTATGTAGGAAAGCATCATTATGATTTAGTGAAAATCCAGAATTTCAGGCCATTATTAATATAATGTAATGTTATTACTTGCACTTTTTGGAATCACAGTGCAAATAAAAGCAACATTGGGGAAACATTTTTTCTTTTTACCTAAGCTAGCAATATGAAAACATAATAACCTGAATGCTGGGGAAACTGTAGCAAAACCTAACACATACATTTCTAGGGGCATTGTTAAGTTTGTTCAACCATGTTGGAAAGCAAGAGCACAGGAGCATCATGGCCAATAGAAATGTATATTAAACTCTGTTCATTATGTTTAGATATAAAATTCCATTTTAAGAAAATATTCAAAAAATAGTAGGCAGATAATTTCTTGCAATGAGTGGAGGGGAAAAGGCTAGACTTAATTTTTGAAGACCCAGGTTTAAGTCCTGTTTCTTTTACTTGACCCCTGGAAACCTATTTCTTCATTATTTGGCTTGTTTTCCCAGAATATTTACCAAATGGCAAAAAAAAAAAAAAAAAAAAAAAATTGAAAAATTGAAGTAGCAAAAGTCAGAGAAGGATTAATTAACAAATTATTCTTCAGCTTCTAAGTTACAACACAACTCTGTGTAATCATGAAAATTGTTTTAGAAGTGTTAAGTAGTGAAAGCAGAAGAAAAGTATCTCTTCATGATGATTACAAAAGCCAAAGAAAAGACAAGCATTTTGGAAAAGAAAAATGTGTCATAGCAGCGTTTTTAAAGATTTATGTATTATTAATTTTCTTTAATATCTTTTGTGATGATATTTTTATATGAAAATGCTAAAATAAAAATATGATTTGAGTATAAATTTAACAATATAATTGAATGGGCAAATATTGAGAAGTCTCTATAAATATATGAGTTGTTAAAATCCTGGCTGACATAAGAGTACACACAGAGAGGGCATCTGAACTCTCGTGATTTGAAAGGGTATGAATCTCATGTGCTCTAGTTTTTATAAGTTTATATATTTTTCTATATTTTTATATTTATATTTTAATATATTTTTATAAGCAACATCATAACTTTCTTAATTATCACATTTTTTAATTTAAGAATTTCTGGGTTCATTCATTTGACGAACATTAATGAATTAGAACTTGCTAACTGAATTAGGACATAGTAAGTGTCAGATAATAACAGAACAAAAGGAGAAAAAGCCATAGTATCTACCGTAACGAAGCTCAACTATGTTACTTAATATGTATCTTAATTAATATTAATGAGCAAAATGAACCATTTTCTTCCATGGAACGGATCACAGTGACAAATAGTATGACAAAGTTCTTATTGGTGTGGTTTGTAACATGAACCACAGACACGGGATGTAGGAATAAGGGCTGAGTTGAAGAAAGGAAACATAGTTCTTTCCTTTGCCTTGTTACTTCTTAGCAGTTTGACCAGGTAACTTCCTTCATTTCTTCATTAATTTTCTCATTCATTCATCCCCAGTTATTCTATTTCTCAGATATTGTGGAGTGTGTCTGTCATATGTAAAGCACAATGCTAGGTAGTGAGGGTACATAACTGAGTTAGACAGAGCTCCTGTCTTCAAGAACCAAATCTTCTATTAAGGAAGGTGGAAAAGTTTAAAGACAAAGTTATAGCAGGGGTATGAAAGTGTGATGCAAACACAGAAACAACTAAGTATCTTCAACTTCCTTAAAATGGTGATATCTACATCCAGATATCATGAGGATAAAAAAGATGATGAAAACAATAGGTCTGTGACACATTCACTGTCTCTGTGCAAATGCAATGAAACCTCTAAAATCTCCAGCAGTAGTTGGAAAGCCCATTCACAACCGGACCCCAACCTATTTGTCCTATCTAGGATCTTTTCAATCTTTGCCCTATTGCTTCGGAAACTTTAAACTATCCACAATTTTTCTAAATATGGTACAATTTCTCACACCTCTGTACCTGGCACTAGTTGCTTTCCCTGCTTGGAAAGATTTTCCTTCTACTTCTAACATGAGCCCTCCTGACTCTCTGGTTCATTCCCTTTCTTATGACTTACTCTTCATGTTGCAGACACAGTGAAAATTACATAGCAAAATCTTCTCAAACTCCCAATGCAGTTAATTACTTCTTTCTTTCAGCACCCCTACTGCTTTTTTCCCTACTTGTAGTAAAAAACTGATCAAAGCCACCTGTCTGTCCTCTTCATCATTAACTCCCTGAGGGTAGAGACTTCACCTTTCCCATTTCCTTACTGCCAGCACCTAGCAACATGTCTTAGTAAATATTGGTTATAAAAATTAATGCAACTATAGAGAACACACTAGCCAATGAAAAAACTAAGTGAATGAATGAGTGATCAAATTAGTGAGTCAGTAAATTACTGAATAGTGATTGAGGAAATGAGGAAATGATTGAGTGGCAAATTATGGCATAATTATTTAATTAATGAATACATTCATTATTTAGTAAGTGAATAAATAAGTGTATGACTTACCTAAAGAGTTCATAGCAGTTTTTCTTTCCAGATCAGAGAAATTCAGGATTTTAATTGACATAAACTTTTTTCCTCCAACAGCTGTGTCTCCGGTCATCATACTGCAAGTAGAGTTTTTGCCAAAGGTATTAAGAATAGCTCACCATTTAACTATTCCAGACAATTTGCAATTGCAGTCTGTGACAAAGCCACAGTTTTAACAATATTTCACAATCCTCATTTTATGACTGTGATTTTTTTAATGTAAACATCACCCTCTGTGAAATTGTTTTGTTTTTTTTTAAATTTTTTTCCAGATATTAGTAACAGAGAAATGACTTATATACTATATGTTGGCTAATAAATTATATTCCTTCACAGTAAGTAAGTTCTAGCTGACTTTGATTTATGAAGACAACATTGACTTAGAAGAAAAATATTTTTGTTAATTTGATAAAATGTATCAAAACTGTTCTGTAGTACTTCATTTGCACTAGCAAAGCTATGAACTTAGCTTGAGACATGGCATGGCATTTGTGTATGGCCACAAGGAGACATTGTGTCTTGTCTTTGCAGTACAAAACTGCACACAATCTTGTTTGTGAAAATTGTGCCCAGGAATAATTATTTAGGTTTTTTTGTTTGTTTGTTTTTTGTTTTGTGACAGAGTCTCACTCTCTTGCTCAGACTAGAGTGCAGTGGTGCTATCTTGGCTCACTGAAACCTCTGCCTTTCCTCAACCTCCACCTCCCAGGCTCCAGTGATTCTCCTGCCTCAGCCTCCCAAGTAGCTGAGATTACAGGTGTGCACCACCATGCCTGGCTGATTTTTTTTTTTTTTTTTTGTATTTTTAGTAGAGACAGGGTTTCACCATGTTGGCCAGGCTGGTCTCAAACTCCTGACCTCAAATAATCCACCCACCTCAGCATCCCAAAATTATGTAGTATTTTGAACATCCTTTCCTGTGCAGCCAGAGGTTTCTAATGATAATTGTTAAATAAACAGATCATTAGGTTAAGATTAAGACTGTCAATACAGGCTTAGTCTGCTAAATTAACAGTGTTTGATAGAATGGGACCCATGCCTTCTGCAGTGGTTAGCAAATATTGAATTTGTAAGATTCCATCATTACCTTGTTTTTCATGTTACTGAGTAATAAAGTGAGGCCTAAGTGAATATATGGTTTACTAAATTGATTTCAGACATTAGAGAAAATGCAAAATAGTAAAATAAACATTCTTTAACATGAAAAAAAGTGAGCTTAGTCACTCTGTGTCCTTTCAGTGTCCTTCTTAAAGATTTAGCTTTTCTAGACCCTTTTAAAAGAATACAACTTTTAACACTAAAAAGTATGTTCTTTAAAAAAACTTTTGGAAAATAGAAATGAATTATAAACTTTTCCAAAATTTTGGCTGATTTCCTTAGGATTAATTCCCAAAAAAAGAGAATATGTAAGTCTAAATTGTGAATACTTTAAAGTACTTTTTATTGATTTTCAATTGCTGTATAGAAAGAACCTGAATATATACTAAGTACTAAAATGTCTCTTCCTCCTGTAGAAGTACCTTGTCTCTTACGTTTAGTAATGGAAACAAATGTGATGAATTGCTAAAGGCCTTTTTCCATGATGGCACTCTATTCATAGAAGTTTATATGGCATTTCAAAAGCTCTAGTCTAAACAAATATTGACATAATTTTGGAATCAACTCTCCCCAAGAAGCAGTCATGTAGAAAAGAATATGGATTTTTTTCTTACCCTCCAGAGTATGGAAGTGATCCCCTAAAGAGGACATTCCTGGAATGCTAGACAAACTCAACGTAAGGAACCACATTCTAATGTTTTTGGACTCACCACCTATGCAATGAGCTGACTGCTAGACTTACATCAGGAGTGTTGTGTCTCTGGAAATGTCCAGAGAGAGGTTGGATGACCAATGCTTGGGAAGATTTTTAAAGGTGCTCTAGTTCCAGTTGGGTAATCCAACTAGACATAATGTAAAGTTGCTTCATGCTGGCGCCATGATGTAAACCTCATATCCAGCACATGCAAGCAATTAAATAACTGGAAACTATTACATTTCCAAAGAGATGGTAAACTAAATTTTAATCCATTATTTCAACCTTCTGCTTCATTAATGCCCTTTGAATGAACTACTAAAAGTAACAGAACAGTAGTTTGGGAATTTTCTTTTGTTTTTGTTTTTGATAGCTTGAGTTTATCTGCTTCCTCCTTGGGCCTCTCCCTACTTCATACTGGACATGCCAATGTCTCAAAAGAGACAGGAGAAGAAGAAAACACCTACCTAAATTCAATAATGGATTAGGAATTGGGATGCAAAGGCAAAATGATTTGAGAACTTAAGGAAGTTTTACAGAGACAAGGCAAGGTATCTAAGACATTTTAACAAAGCCATGGCACACTTACTGATCTTGGAATTGGACTCTGCCATCCATCCTGTCCCTTCCCATACCAGCACACCAGTCCCCATTTCTGTTGACTTTTTCCCCTATTCTTCTCCTTTACAATTTGCCCAAGCTGGGAAATGTGGCTCTCATATGACAACA
The DNA here is from genome assembly GCF_000001405.40 of Homo sapiens. Classification (NCBI taxonomy): domain Eukaryota; kingdom Metazoa; phylum Chordata; class Mammalia; order Primates; family Hominidae; genus Homo; species Homo sapiens. The sequence continues at coordinate 12,918,372 of NC_000002.12, forward strand.
TGAAAAATTCTCAAAGGAATGTTGAATATTTACTTTAACGATAAGAACTTGATTAGAAGAAAGAGGCAATTAAGAAATACTGTTCTCTTTGAACAAATTCAAGAAATATTTTGAGACACAAAGGGGCTGAGGCATTTCTGTGTATCCTTATGAGAAAAAATCAATAGAAATCGAGTATGATAGATTTTGAATACACCCCTCAGGACATAGGAAGGTTTACGTGGATATTGCAGCGTATTGGAAATGGACTACATGTTCTGTGACTAAGTTGGGGAAGTAGGTCAATCCATTAGATATTACAATTACATGATGCAATAGGAAAAGCACAGCTATTGAATTTTAGCTGCTATAATCCCAGCTAGGACTCGACAACCCGCAGTTGTTCTACAATTACGATAATCTTTCAGGTGGACTTCATACATGAACTGAAGAAATTCTTTTGAAAATAACTTTTAAAAGGGAGAACATTTCCCCCGCACACATTTTCTAGTCTGCTTGGCCGTCCCCTCTGGGCTCAGTAAAAGAAACTCATGCAGTGCAAGTATGTTTAGCAATTGGGCCTGTTCCCAGGTTGTGAGACGTTTAGCAAAAATCCAGAGTTATTATTAGATCTAAATGGAGGCTTTTGTCAAAAGGCCTCTTGAATTGTTAGGAAATCAGAGTGCAAATTGATAATGACACACAACACGTCTCTGCCCTGGCAGCTCCCCGAAGGCTGCTGAGATACCCCAGAAAGAAGTTCCATAGCCTCACGCCAACAGCATGTTGCCCAATACTTGTCCTTCTCCTAAGTCAGCCTGACAACTGCATTCTTCTCTTTTTTATAAGAGGCAAAACGAGATGGATTAAAGAGGATGTTTGAACTGAGACTATTAATTTCCTTGCAGTGTGTTTTCAAGTCAGATTCCTTTAGAAGAGTCTTTTGTGGTTTCATAAAATTACAACTTTGGCTATTCAGCTGCCTTTTCCAAAGCACAAATTTGGCTTCTAAAGAAAATGTACTGCATATCAAGAAAGGAAAGGAATGAGTATGTGGTTATCTTAAATATACTCATTTTATATAATAGCTCCTTTATGCAAAGAAACAATTACAGTATTAACTACTTATTAATTTAAAAATCGTAAAACATAGTCTTCCTAAAACGTATACGTTTTCTTTGATATATATTTTTTAATTAATAAAAAAGTTTTTCCTTTAGCAATATTTAAATGCTTAAATATGCTTTTTTTCTATCAGGTTTAAAGATATAAATTTCTCTTCTTTTTCTAAGGCTATTACAATATTTTTAATGTTTCAGGGATTAGGTGAGAGACCACTTCCTGAGCAAAGTGCATGTGTGTGATATCTTCAGGGAAATTGGAGAATGAATTGCTCCACCTCCTTGTCTTAATACTCCTGGCCCCATTAGCTTTCTTTGGATGTGCCCTATGGCCATGCACGTGGGAATAGGGCTCACTAAATGGCAAAGTAATTTCAGATTCTTTGTTGGTCCCACTTCTGTGGTCCAAGCACAGTACCTCCCACATGGCAGGAAGTCTATTTTACGTAATGAACCATTAAACATAATCCCCGGAAAAGGGGAGATCCTTACTTTTCACTGCTCTGCAGGTTTGACCAACTTTTAGTTAGTTTGAACTGATAGAAAACTGAACCCAATTTACTTGCCAATGAAGAAAGACAACTTGGATATGTGGAGTCACATCAAACGTTTGGGGATGAACTTCGGGCACATAAGGACACAGTGAGATTTTAAAGGGTGCTTACTAGCTGTCCACAAACCTCAGCTGTAGTTCCAGTGCTACGTGTGGTTGATCCATCACTTTCCTCCATTGGGCTTTTTCTGCTCTTACTGAGATCAATGGTTCTCAAACATCACTATGCATCAGAACCACCACTGGAGATTTTTAAAACACCTATTCCCTGGTCCCACCTCAGACTAATTAATTCAGAATATCCAGTGTGTGTGGCCCGTCTGTGTATTTAATTTTAATTTGATTTTATTTTAAGTACAAGGGTACCTGTGCAGGATGTAGAGGTTTGTTACATAGGTATATGTGTGCCATGATGGTTTATTGCACCTGTCAACCCATCACCTAGGTATGAAGCCCGGCATACACTAGCTAATTTTTCTGATATTGTTCTCTCACGCCACCTTCCACTGACAGATCCCAGTGTGTGTTGTCCCCTCCCTGTGTCCATGTGTTCTCATTGTTCGGCTTCCTTTTATAAGTGAGCACATGTGGTTTTTGGTTTTCTGTTCCTGCATTAGTTTGCAGAGGATAATGGCTTCCAGCTTCATTCATGTCCCTGCAAAGGACATAATCTCTTTCCTTTTTATGACTGCATAGTATTCTATGGTGTGTATGTACCACATTTTCTTTATCTAGTCTATCATTGATGGGCATTTGAGTGGGTTGATTCCATGTTTTTCCTACTGCGAATAGTTCAGCTGTGTATTTTTAAAAAGTTCTCCAGGTGATTCCAAAGTGAAGTTGGAAGTAAACCTGAAGATCATCCTCAAACATCTGATGTGACTCCAGATATCCAAGTTGTTTTTCTTCATTGGTAACTAAATTGGATTCTGTTTTCTATCAGTTCAAACTAATTAAAAGGTTTGGCTCACACACACAATTGTCTTCACCTGGTATGCTACCAACTCAGGGCCATACCAAACTGCTCCAGACTTTAACGTGATATGATTGACCTGGGGTCTTGTAAAAATGAAGCTTCTGACTCATTAGGTCTGTTCTTTCTGCCGTGATACTGAGCAACAGACCTGTGTGGCTATAGCCACTCAAGGTGGATGTCCTACCTCAGCTTGGCACTAAATCTCTCCTTGTGTCTTAAGGACAGGTTGGGACATGAGAGCTCTTGAAGGCTCAAGACTCCCAGAATAAAGCAGCATCGGTGGGCCATCTTTGGGAATGGTAATGGACGGGAAAGAAGGGCACCCACTCACTTGATTTCTGTGCTCCTTATATTTTTGATGTTTATCGAAGCTGACGTTGCTTCCCAAAGGCCAAGGTAGGAAAGACAAAACAGATCATTTTCATCTGCCTCATGTTCCCTTAGCTATTTCCCAGGCTGACTGAGAACAATTTGCATCCTGTCCAGGCCTCATAATTTCTGGTTGTTAAAGAAAGACACATGGGTATTGCCAAAGCATCGGGAGACCGTTACTCAGTGTAGTGTGACTTGAAGGATGTGGGAAATGTGGGAGCGTGGATTACTTTGATTTTTCTTCCTGTGGTCCACACTGGAAGTTTCCTATGAAAGAGGGAGAGACATTGAGTTTGCATTCTCTTTCAATTTAATTTTGGATTCAAAGCATGTGTGTGTATTAAATACAGTGACTATGAGGTATCCTCTGTGTGTCAGATTCTTGGTTAGATGCTGGGGACAGTGACTTTAAGGAGTCATAGATTTTCTCTTCAAGGGGCTCCTAATTGTGGGTAGGGAAAGCCACACAGCTAAGTGTTATCCTGAAGAATAAGGTGCCATAAGAACACAGAAAAAAGGCAATTAACTCTTTTGCTTATATGGTAAAAAAGATAACAGGGGAAGTATGTCAGGGAAACTTTAAAAAATAAAGAATTCCTCAAAATAGAAACAGGAGAAAAGCTTTCTAAGTAGGAATATAGCATGCCTCAAGTCAAGGAAGCAAAACACTATTTTAAGCTTTATTATAGCACTAGAATTAAATTTAGTTATATCTAATCTTAAATATAAACATTTTTTTCACTCATACAGATTTTCTAATCTTTAGGGCACCACCTAATCTATACTCACTAATAATCTGAGTGATGGCATGGTATTCCAGAAAGGCCAAGGCAAAATTGGAAAAGAAAATGAACCCCTAAAACATGAAGGTAAATTTTAGTTCAACTTGAATCAAATGTAGCAAAGATGAGGAAGACAGTACCTGTAATACAGGTGAGATTTATTTTGTGATTTACTTGAGGCTGGGCATGAGGTTTGGCTCACATACAGAATTATTTTCCCCTGGGAGTACTACCAGTTTAGGACCATATCAAACAAATGCTTGGCGGGGTTCTTGTGGACTGTGTGGGCAATGGAAACATGGGTTTATAAATTCTAAGAGGAGATATTTGTCTGCCTCCACCTAGAGTCAAAGTTGATACAGTTCGGTGTCCTTCTATGTTCCCTTAGAGTTTGTTGGTTTTTTTCTTCAATTTTATCCATTCCCTGAGGACATTGCTCTTTTGGAGTCTTGACTTTATATAGAGGTCCGTGGTGATTTAACCTTTACACGTATGGTATTAACTGATATACCAGGGCAGTAGTTGTCTCCAGTGGTTTGTTTCTGTTTCTCATTATTTTTGGCCTCTTGCAATATCCTTTATTATTTTGAGACACGCACGCACACACACACACCCACACAGGCACATACACTCTTTCAAAATATTCTATATATTCTTTCAAAACAGTTTATTCAGCCTTTTAGTTAATGTCTTAGTTTATGTTACTATCTAACAAACGACCCCCAAAACTTGGTAGCTTAAATTAACAGCAATGGTAGATTATGGAGATGATCTTGTCTTGTACAAGTGACTTTTACTGATTTTTAAATGTCTAGATTATTATATTGACAAAAATAAGATTTAAACAATTTAGTATGAACAGAGGCATGATGGATGTCCATCAATGAATTGCACTTGTGCTTAACAAGAACTTAATGGTTCCTGAATCCCTCCTGGCTCACTGCTGATCAGTGGGCCCACCTGGTGCACAGATGGGATGTGGAGGAAAAGGTAGGGTTTAGTCAAAAATAGAGAAGTGCTTAAGGTAGAGAGCAAAATGCTGGCCTTGGCTTCATTAGCATAAGTAATCTGGCAACTAAGTGTGTAATGAATTCAAAATCTGGAGATAAGATTGGAGGGGGGTGGCAGGGTCCAAACTGAAACAGAACTGGATTGTGGAGAGTGCATGAAGGAAGTAAGACAGGCCAGCATTCAGTGCTAGTTGGAAATAAGTTTGAGTCTTGCCTTAGCAAATAGCCAGCTCCATGATCTCAAATAAATCACGTTTTAAAAAAGATTTTCAAAGATGAAGGGCAGAATTGAAAAAAAAAAAGGAAGAAGAAAGTCACAACTGGACACACCCTTGTAGAAATTAGAAATTAGATAGAAATTTTCAACACTGGAATAAAAGAAGATTTTAAAAGCACCATAGGAATGAAAAGTAACAGGCACTGGATTTCTCTCTCGTTAGCAATACGAGATGCAAGAACACGGTAGAGGGCCAGGTGCGGTGGCTCATGCCTGTGATCCTAGCACTTTGGGAAGCTGAGGCGGGAGGAACTATCTTGAGTTCAGAAGTTTGAGACCAGCCTGGCCAACAGGGTGAAACCCCAACTCTACTAAAAATACAAAAATTAGCCGGGCATGGTGGTGCATGCCTGTAGTCCCAGCTACTCAGGAGGTTGAGGCAGGAAAATCGCTTGAACCCGGGAGGCAGAGGTTGCAGTGAGCTGAGATCGTACCACTGCACTCCAGCCTGGGCAACAGGCAAGACTCCATCTCAAAAAAAAAAAAAAAAAAAAAAAAAGAACACAATAGAGCAATAGCTTAATAAATTCAGAGGATAGTTTTTCAACAGAGAACACTATAGCTCAAAAGTGGTGGAAAGTTTTGGCTTCCTAACCACCAACCATTTCTTCTCTGCCTATTCGTAAGCACATTTCCAGTTTATAAGGCATTTCATGAGAGAAATATGCTAAGGAGGGAGCCTTCCACAGTCCTGGAGGATGAATCATTATTAGTCTAAATCAATCATGACAAAATCTCTTCTCTTTGATATTGATTATTTGAAGTGTGGGATTATAATGCAATTCTAGCCAAGACGTCTTCAGGGGCTTCTGGAAAACATTTCTGTTTTCCTGATAAAGAAGATAGAGGTATTCAGGAAGGTCTTTTTTTCTCCTTACAGCTCTTCGCCCTGCCTCAAACTCAGTTCTTTGAGGATATTATGTTTGGATCTGTGTCATCCAACTTATGACCAGGAGGTCATAAGCCAACATACTGTGGATGGCTAAGTAGAATAATGGAAAGAGCCTGGGTCATTGATAACATTGTTTAGCTACTGAACCAAGCCTGGTACCACCTACCTCCAGATTTCCTGTTATTTGAGATAATTAAGAATCTTTATTACCTAAGCCATTTTGGGGTATGGAATGCATCATAAATGATACGTGGACCAAATTATGTATCAGGCATAAAAATATTTTTCTTTTCAGGTAAGGAAGAGGTCAACCATTTTTTTATTATTCATTTCTTTGTAGGGCTTTACCTGAGGATTATTTCAGTAAAGTAAGGAGGCAACCAGGAAAGGAAACAGAACCTGCCCAGAAGGAGCATAAGGGGCTGTGCTGGGATGATCGCATATAGCCCGAAAGCAACAAACCAGATGGCAAAAGAGGAGAAAGGATGCAAAGTACAGATCAGGGAGAAAGGTAGAGAGGGAGGTTTTCAGGAAAAAAAAAATGTGGTGGACGTAATGGATAGAAAGTATGATCGAGAGTTTGGATGACAGTAAACATATCCTAACATGTTATGGGGAAATAATGCTGGAAGCAAAAAGGCAAGTAAAAACCTTGCATGTGTTAGTAATGAGTGGCAGGAAGGTAGGGGATAAATAAGAAAGGCCTGGTACGAACATGAAGTAGATTATATTGTTGCATGCTAAGTAAGGTGAATTAAAGAAAGAAAAACCACTTAATCTTACCAAGTAGGAATATTCACTTTTGGGGATTCTGTACATCTTGGAATTGGATCTATCTATGCTTAACAATGAATAATATTTATATAATTTTAAAAATTAAATATAAATAAATCTAGTATAATCATGTAAGTGTAAATGTGTAGAGTTAATCTTTGGACAAAAACCAGAAGTTTTGGTTGTGGTTATATGACCATACATAAAAATCACCACTAATGGAAACGGATAGCTGATATAAAGAAGGAATTTACAGTTGGGTAAGAAAATTCAGCAATGTAAAGGGACCAGTTTACTTAATTCACAATCTGGTAATAATAGTTAAATATTGATCAGAACTGGTGAAATAAGAAAATGTTTAAATGTAAAATAATATAAATATAAAAAATGTACAAATATAAAATAATATAAATATAAAAATCATACTTATAACTAAAAATAATAATATAATATTAAATATTTTGAGATTCGACGAGGGAGAAAAGTGTAAATGAGTGAAATCCATCTTTCACATTGAGATATTTTACATAATCTCCTTGTCTTTCTATTTGCCTGCAAATCCCACCTCAGACTGTCACCTGCTCTATGAAACATTTCCAGCCACCTGATATTCTCATCAGGTTACAATAGATAATAACTGCATGTTCCTCCGTACAATTCTTTTCTTTTTTCTTTCTTTTTTTGAAACGGAGTCTCCCTCTGTCGCCCAGGCTGGAGTGCAGTGGCGTGATCTCGGCTCACTGCAAGCTCCGCCTCCCGGGTTCACGCCATTCTCCTGCCTCAGCCGCCCGAGTAGCTGGGACTACAGGTGCCCGCCACCACGCCTGGCTAATATTTTTTGTATTTTTAGTAGAGACGGGGTTTCACTGTGTTAACCAGGATGGTCTCGATCTCCTGACCTCGTGATCCGCCCGCCTTGGCCTCCCAAAGTGCTGGGATTACAGGCGTGAGCCACCGCGCCTGGCCACAATTCTGTCACGCATCCAGCCAGCCAGCAACACATTTTGGGGGTCGTATTAGGCTGTTCTTACATTGCTATAAAGAAATACTTGAGACTGGGTAATTTATAAAGACGATAGATTTGATTGGCTCACGATTGTTCAGGCCTTACCAGAAGCATGGTGGAGCATCCGCTTGGCTTCTGAGGTGGCCTCAGGAAGCTTTCAATCATGGCGGAAAGTGAAGGGGGAGCTACCCCTTCGTATGGCAAAAACAGGGGCAAGAGAGAGACAGAAAGTGGAGGGGATGTGCCCTTTTAAAATGAGCAGATCTCTGGAGAACTCACACAGGAAGCTAGCACCAACTCATGAGCAATCCGCCCCCGTGATCCAAACACCTCCCACCAGGCCCCACCTCCAGCTTTGAGGATTACTATTCAACATGAGATTTGGACAGGGACAAATATCCAATCTTTATCAAGGGTCTTGAGGGTTTATTCTGTCCTAGGCTCCGTTTTAAATGCTAAATAGAAACTGTAAAAAAGCAAGCCATACCTGAGTGCTCTTCACATGGGCTCCGGCCGCACAGGAGCCCAAGGCGGGTCGGGGGGAAGCTCAGGCATGGCGGGCTGCAGGTCCCGAGCCCTGCCCCGTAGGAAGGCAGCTAAGGCCCGGCGAGAAATTGAGCACAGCAGCTGCTGGCCCAGGTGCTAAGCCCCTCACTGCCCGGCGCCGGTAGGGCCGGTCGGCCGCTCCGAGTGCTGGGTCCGCCGAGCCCACGCCCACCCGGAACTCGCGCTGGCCCGCAGGCACTGCGAGCAGCCCCGGTTCCCGCCCGCGCCTCTCCCTCCAGACCTCCCCGCAAGCTGAGGGAGCCGGCTCCCGCCTTGCCCAGCCCAGAAAGGGGCTCCCACGGTGCAGCGGCGGGCTGAAGGGCTCCTCAAGTGCCGCCAAAGTGGGAGCCCAGGCAGAGGAGGCGCGGAGAGCGAGCGAGGGCTGTGAGGACTGCCAGCACGCTGTCACCTCTAAATAGTACGGAGTTTGTCTTTCTTAGAAGAGAACAGAGCAGCCACTCACGGAGCAAACCTCAATGAGATTTGTTTGCGAATAGATGAGGGGTGAGCAAACTGCAGCCTGTGGGGCAAGTCCAGCCTCCTACCTGCTTTTATAAATACACTTTGACTAGAACACAGCCACACTCCTTTGTTTGCTTATTATCTATGGCTGCTTTCATACTATCATGGCAGAGTAGTTACACCAGAGATCGTGTGGGCTGCAAAGCCTAAAATACGTATTATTTTGCCATTTATAAAAAAATAGCTATTCACAATAGCAAAGACTTGGAACCAACCCAAATGTCCAACAATGATAGACTGGATTAAGAAAATGTGGCACATATACACCATGGAATACTATGCAGCCATAAAAAATGATGAGTTCATGTCCTTTGTAGGGACATGGATGAAATTGGAAACCATCATTCTCAGTAAACTATCGCAAGAACAAAAAACCAAACACCGCATATTCTCACTCATAGGTGGGAATTGAACAATGAGATCACATGGACACAGGAAGGGGAATATCACACTCTGGGGACTGTGGTGGGGTCGGGGGAAGGGGGAGGGATAGCATTGGGAGATATACCTAATGCTAGATGACACGTTAGTGGGTGCAGCGCACCAGCATGGCACATGTATACATATGTAACTAACCTGCACAATGTGCACATGTACCCTAAAACTTAGAGTATAATAAAAAAAAAATAAATAAAAAATAATAAAAAATAAAAAAAAAAAGGCGTGAGCCACCGTGCAAAAAAAAAAATAAAAATAAAAAAAATAAAAAAAATAGTTGTTGGGTCCTGGAATAGATCAATCTATAAACAATGCAGAGGACTGTTCCTGCTTTTGTGCTTGCACGTTCTGTACTAAGATCATCTGTATTCTTATTTCTCTCTCCCATTATTAGACTGTGAGCTCCTTTAGGACAGGGACAAACCATATTCAGTTCATTTTGGTTTTTCTAACTCCTAATACAATATTGCTACAATGATCCATGGGTTAATTAAGTCCATTTTGCTCATTCAGCTTATGAATTATCTAGTCCAGCTGCTAATTTAACTGATTTGAAAATTGAAACCAAAGGAGGTTGAGTGACCTTCTTTAAAGCCCCAGCAACTGAGTATCTACATTGGATCTCAAACCTAGGTCTCTTGACTCTTAATCCTGCTGTCTTTGTTCTTACTGTAACTCAGCTGTTCAAATTAGTTTAAAAATAAGCAATAATGTGAACATTAGTAGAACCAAGACAGTGGAGATATGTATCTACTTATAGAGTCATTCTTTTACAGGCGCGATGACTCATTTATGTGGAAAATGTGCCCAGGAGCTATGTCTAAATCTGTGTTCTAGTCATCTCTATAGAGCAGAAGTTTGTGCATTATCTTAGGAAGCCAGGCTTAATGAATCTCCCTAGAAAGCTTTGGAGATTCTGCGAGGAGTCCTCCATGGAGGTCAGAGATATAGAAAGCTCCGTATTGCTATTCCATATGCCTGTTCACCCTTCCTATTAGGAGGCTGGAAATATAATTAGAAGACAAGCACCACAGATGCTGCAGTTTACAATATCCAGAAGAAACTGCCGAAATGGGTAAGACATGAAAGGATAATTTTGCTTATACAAAATAGCAGACTGCAAACTAAAACCAAGAAAAACAAACAGGCAGATGGGAAGAGTGGAGAAGGCACTGGCACAGCTGTGAGCAGGATTTAGACACCCAGATGCAACATAATTTGGGGGGAGGGGTGGGAGAGGAAGAGCATCTGAAAGAAAATTAGAATCACAAAAGATGCTGAAGAATAATGAGTTTCTCATCTCTCCACCTGCAGGTTAAACTTTTTCACCACTCCCTAATACCGTGGTTGCTGAAAGTCATTTCCTGGGGGATGGAAGAACAGGACTCTAGGACGGAAAAGATAAATAGACGTCATTCTTAGCAAAAAAGGCAGCAGCAGTAAAATCAACAGCTATGGTTGTGATGGAAGAAGAAAGACATAACCATTACCCAGAAGAGGGTGGATAGTAGTGTTTAGTTTTATTATTAGCAGCACTATTTACATAACAGCACATGTGCATGCCTGCCTGTCCATATAGAGCTATGGGCTTGGGGTGGGGCAAGAGAGAGTCATTGCTTGTAGAATTTCTACTAGGCAGTAGCCACTATGATGGAAACTACACATATCATCTTCATTAATTCCCCGCTTTCCCACAACAGCAACAAATTAAAAAAAAATCAATGATGTATTGTTTTTCCTGTTTGGGGGGATTAGGAAACTAAAGGACCAAGGGGTAGGAGCCAGGATTTAAATTTAGATCTTTATGATGCCCTAGAGGGTATTCCTCAACCACTTAAGTACAAACACAAAGCAAAGTCATCAGAAAAAACATTTCTGTTATGTAAAATCAAACGTAACACCAAAAGGGAGCAGCAATATGTTCTTTAGCAAATTGTGACTCAAAAAAGAAGAAGCTTCTGTCAGCCAAGGGAGATTCAGCAACTGGGTGCTTAGCTCTGCCATGCCACAGAGCACCTCTTCGCTTCTCTAAAAGTACTTAAAAAAAAACAACTGGCTGTTTATGCATTTTTATTCTCACTATGTTGTGAGCCCCTGCAGGACAGAAATTGGACATTACTCATCCATATATGCCCAGAACCCAGTAAAAAGCCTAGCCCTGCGTAGAGCTACTACGTGGCTGGACTCTAGGAGTCCCCACTTAAATACTGGTGTTAATGTGAGTGATGGAGGCAGGGCTGTGCTCCATAGGAGGCCCACAGAGAGCAGGTGTTCCCTAAATGATGACAGAGGGATGGGCTTGTTTCAGCCAGCCAGCTTCTAAGAAGTTTCCAGTGAGATCGAACTGCTCCTTCCCCTACATTTTCAGGGCATTCTATTTAGTATGCACCTTTCCCCCTTCCTCCACCCCACCACATTCTCATCACAGTTCTGTGTGTCAGAATGATGTTTATCCCTAAGGCTATTTATGGGCATGACTGGATTTTATCTTAGCTTCCTTGAAGTGGCCCAGTCAAGTGAAATGAGTCTGCATTTTAAACAAAATAATGTGCTTCTTTCTAAAACAAGATTTTTTAATCTATAAAATATAGCTCATAAAACCCTTTTCACACATAATCTATGCTAAGTAATATCTTTTTCTTTATTGTCTATTTCATTCCTCCCTCCTGGTGGGCACACCATGAGAGAGTTCCTTGAACGGGTGTGTCAACTGTTTCCCAGTGGCAATAGGGCCGTTCTGCCTGTTACTGCAAAAAATGAGGTAGAGTTCCCATATCTTGGAGGATATATCTCTTCATGGGAAGAGAAAAATCCTAGCTCTGCATTCCAGCTCATGGGCTGTGTGCACCAGCTATTTTGGGGAAGGGGAAAGCCAGTCTCACAACACTTTCCCCAGAGAAAAGATGCCAATCTCAACATTAACCATTAGGAAACATCATTAAAGCAGATGAGAAATGGGCTGCGGACATTTTTATGAGCCCAAAATACTCTACTTGGAGGTTTTATGGAGACCACAGGAAGCCAGAGAGACAATGACATCCATACCCTTTTTTTAGAGTCTGCTGAGCTGAGGAACAATCTCTGTGCTCCATAGAGTGTGTTTTTGCAAGTGTAAATTACCATTGGGGGCCATGTCAAAGTAAGCCTTTTTCAGAGACTTGTGCACCTGTTGGAGATAGAATGCTCTAGGCCAAGTAGTTGTGGGCTTACTGTCCATATCCATCCAGAGTTGCAAAGAAAATACTTCCTTTTGATTCCAGGACAGTCTTGGAATTAGTCTTTAGAGAAGGCTATTCTGCTTAAATCTGCATGGTTGCAACATTGCACCAGTAATCTCTATATATTGGTTTTCTTATTTTTTCATATGACAAAATGAAGCTCAGAAAAGTTGAGAAACTTGCACACACACACAACTAGTAAGTAAAGGAATCAGAATTTGACTCTGCATGTTCTTCCTTATGGCACCACCTCCTTATCCAAGCCCAAAATGTAGATTTAAGGCAGGGACAGGAAAGAGGGTGTGCATACAGAAGTGGCCCCAAATGAGGTCTCTTGGGTCTTTATTTAGGGCAAGCTCAGCAGAGATATTTTTTTCTCTGTACATCAGGAATTGTGTTTTTAAGGCATTAAACCACACAGTGAAAATAGGAGAGAGGTGAGCAAAGTCCTGGCAGGTTGCTCTCTGCCTTCAGTAATGCAGTTGTGTGTTTTCCCGGGAGCCCTAGAAGAGGGATGGGGAAGATGGTCCAGAATAGTCCTGAATTGTAGAGCTTTCCTATTTATACTGACATCTCGTGGTAGTGCTGTGTGACTGCAATCTGCATTGTCTTGGGAGCCAAGCATTCAACTTTACCAATATTCATTTTACTCATTCGTGAATTAATTGAACCAGAAGTTGTTACTAAGCACTTGGTATTTGCCAGGCACTGTGCTAGACACTAGAGAATACTATGACATGCTCACAGAAAGATCCTGGGAAAGACCAAATTGGAAACTCTTAAAGGAGCTCAATGCTTATCAAAGCGTTAAGAACAACAACTAGTGAATGTAGGTGGCAGAGTTGGCCAGGTACTTAGTAATGGTGGTACTATGTCCTCTGCATTTATCATCCCATTGAATCTTCATAATGATCCTCACTGGTGAGTATTCTCATTCAGATTTCAGATGGAAGGAAACTAAAACTATAAGAGGTTATTTAAAACACCCTAGTTTAAAAACCTCCTAAGCAGTGAAGTTAGGATTTGAACTCTGATTTTTGAGATCTCACAGCCAGAACTATACTTCTCTGTGAACAAACAGCAAGAAGAGATTAATTCCAATGGTCAAGTGTCATTTGAAAAGGGCTTAAGTTTATTTGCACGAGATTTAGCCCATGACAATCATGGGTATCAGACTTCCCAGATGTCTACTAGTTAAATGAAACTAGGTCTGTTCAATTTAATTTAATTTAGCAACCAAAACCCTACTGCTAACATCTTTGTGCATATGTTTCAGTTGGTCTTCTTCTATAAACTCGTAAATACATGAATATATAAACAAAAAAGGGAATCATACTGTATATGCTGTTTGTAACTTTCTTATTTTGTCTAATTTATTAGCTTCCTATTGCTAAACACCAACTTATCACAAATTTAGCTGAAAACAACTCCCATTTATCTCATAGTTCTGCAGGTCAGATTTCCAGGCAGGCTCGATTGGATTCTCTGCTTAGGATCTCACAAGGACAAAGTCAAGATAATGTGCCCAGCTGGGCTCTTATCTGGAGGCCCTGGGGAAGAATCTGCTTCCAAGCTCATTCTGGTCTTGGGCAGACTTGAGTTTTTTGTCACTGCAAAACTGAGGACCTTTTTTATTCTTGCTGGGTGCTGGCCACGGACCAATTTTGCTCCTAGAGGCTCCTCTCAGGTCCTTGACAATGACCCTCTATCTCAGCAATGGACAGCCGCCTCCAGGTCAAATCTCTCCCCACTTCTAATCTCTCGAAACTTCTCTTCTACTATTATCTGGGAAAATTCCTATTTTCAAAGGGCTCTTACCATTAGGTTAGGTCTACCAAGATGACCTCCCCTATCTTAAGATCAACTGATAAGTAACCATAATGACATCTGCAAAATCCCTTTTGCTGTGTAATGTAGTATATCCTGGGAATGCCACTGGGGCAAAAGTCAAGGGGCATTTTAGAATTCTGGCTACCACGTTTAACAAACATGTTTTCAAAATGTATTTATTGACAGCGTACTTTGTGCTTGAGTCTAGGCTCTAGAGCTATGATAGTGAACAGAATACATAAAAACTGCATTCATGTAGCTGACATCTAGTGTCCTGGAAGGAGATTTTCTATATTGAGGAATATGCCTATATAACTTTTCATTTTTATAGATATGTAATTCCACTGTATAAATATACCATAATTTAAATAAGTACTTCCAGCTATTGAATAATTTAGATTCTTTTCAATTTTTGCATTTGTAAACAACATGGCAATAGAATTCTTTTGCACTATTTGCAGATAGATGCCTGGAAATGGAATTTATGGGTCAAAGTGTATTATTTTGACACATGATATTAAACTGTTTCCTGGAAAGTCTTGACAATCCAGCATTCCTGCCACCATTTTTTTTTGTCTTTGCAAATATTTTCAGTGAGATTGAATTTTTTACCTCTATATTATGTACATATATAAGTATATAGTATATTTATAATCCTTTTTATGCCTTTCCTAGTCACATTTTTTGATGATTTTTTTTCACTAGGATTTGTTTTACTTTTTTGTATCATTTTACTACAGTTATTTAAAGTATTAACTTTGCTGTTACGTATTACTACAGATTTTATGCCAGTTCATTGTCTTTCAATTACATTTATGGCATCTTTTGATATAACATTTTTGTAATCCAATTTATTCATATTTTCTTTTAATAGTTGGTAAATAACTGGATTCATAGTTGGTAAAGCTTTTTCATTCCTTTATATAAGAATGCAGATGTATATTTATATACACATGTATATTTTAAAATTTTATTTTAGTATAGGAATATTTAACTTGGTAATAAATTAGGGACTACACATTATTTTTCAGAAGTGTAACCAGATGTTCTGACATTACTTCATGAATAAACCAAACGTCTCAACATGCCCTCAATGTTTATAAATACTTTTTTCTCTTTCTTAACTTTCTATATATTTTCACTGCTTGGGTTCCCTTGCATGATCCCACAGGAGTTTTATTGTTACAACTTTAGGATGTTTTAATATGATAATCCCAGTCTTTTTTCATTACTCTTCTTAAAAATATCCTGGTCAATCTCACACTTTATCCTTCCAAATATGCCATAAAAATAATTTTAATTCAAATCCAGACTTGTTAGTGTTCAATCTGAACATGAGAACAATATGGAAAGGCAATATCAGCTTTGGAAGCCTATGAATTAACTTCATATGTCCCTAAGTCCTTCTCCTAGCCCGTCCATGCTCCAGTTCATGATTACCTGAGAGTCTCTGTGATACCTCACTCTCTCCTTTGCTTCCTAATCGACCTACTCCAATCACTCACCTACACAAGCTTAATGACACCCACCGTTCTTAAATATGTCAATTGTCTTCTTCCAGACCACTACTGGCTTACTCCTGAGTGTCATCTTCTTTTTGTGTCATCTGTTTAGTGACCTGCATATCAGCTTGCTGGCTTCAGGCATGTCCAAGTCATTCTCCACAGGCACGGTCACAATGGCTGTCTAAAGGCTCACTGGTCATGCCTCTGCCATGCATTTGACCTCTTTCCAACTGTCCTTATCACTGATGACAGGAAGTAGAAGCTCTTTAATCTAAACACTCTTCACATTTTGGTCCTTACCTATCTTTCCAAATTCACGTCCCTTCAGACTCTGTTTTACAGTTTAATTCCATCTGCCTATACCTCTGTTCCCATACAGGCTATTTCGCAACTCACCTTCACATATTTCTAGATGGTTTCCCTTCACTGATACATTCTTCCTCATTGCTCTGGTTTCCCCTGCTCAGGCGCTAACACCTGCATCTCCTTAAAGACTGCTGACTTTGTCTCCTTTGAGAAGTATTCTGTGATATTCTCCAGTTCCTCATGTCCAGCCCCAATTTCCCAAACTTATGATGAGCAAGTTAATGATTTTTCTCTGTATTCTTACATTGGGATCACCACAGCTCCATAGAATTCATGATTTCTTATTTAGGTGCTTGTTTTTGATAAAGACAACTTACATGACATCTCAAGTTATATCTCCGTGATGTAGAAGTTTATAGCTCCTATCAGTTATGGAAGAACCTAATAAACCTATTTATACATTTTACTAGTACAATCTACTCTTTAACTCTTTACCAGCAATTTAAGTTTCTGTAACACTCCCACCAAAATTTGTCATCTTTATCCACCCTTTCCTCCAGTCTGACCTCTTCTAATTTTTCACCCTCTCTTGTGATCATGACCCTTGAAAACAATTTGATCTCCGCTTTAGAGGATAAATGATCCTTTGTTTTAGAATATTTGTCTTATTGTTTAAGCAGGGATAACATGGATTTTGTAAAGCCTTCCTCTCTTATTGCTAATTTTAGAATCTCAAAACTAAAAGGAGCAGGGAGTTTTATTTTTCCAGGCTAGAGAATGTCTTTGTTACCAAGTTCACATGTATTAATACCTCCTGAAATCCAGTGACTGCAGTTCCTGGGAGACAAGAAGGAACTTTCATTGAAAATGCTCTGCCTGGCTCTGTAGAACTCTCTGAAATGAGCTTCACTTGTTATCCAGGCCACACTAGGTTGCTATGGAAACCAACATGTTAGATCAGCGAAAACTAAGACAAAGATTCGGAAGATGTCACTGATGCTGCAACCTCTTTACCTTCTTTTCAGCATCTCTCTCTCTCATTCTCTTTCTACAGGCTTGTATGTATGCATGTGTGTGTGTGAATGCATGTATATGTGTGTATCTCTGAATGAGTGCTGGATGTCAAAACCTGCATGTTCCCTTTTCACTGAGCATATATGCTTTTACACCCTTCTCAGATTTGGGCCAACCCGGACTGTCTTTACTATTGTTGGGGCTTCTTCAAATAGGTGGTCCAGCTTATAGGTCCACAAAAAGAGCTTTGCCTTTCCTATTTATATCTAAATGGTCTCCAGAGAAGAAATGGTTATGTAAGGAGAAATAACCCACCATCAGTTCTGAGGACCAAGCCACATTCCACAGAAAAGAAAATAAAAACCTGCGGTCAGTGTTTTGCTAATGTCTCTGCTGTTAATCCAGGGTGGGAGTCCAGAGCCAGGGAAAACATTTCATTCAGACCTTGGAGGCTCTTGTAAAGGTCCCTTTTTCAGCTTGGTCAGGGAATTACCCACCCAGCGGTGCAGTGGGAAATGTTTCCGACATTCGAAATTCCAGCTGCGTGTTGCAGTTGCTTTGAGCTCTAGTTTGGAATAACGTATGCTTGGCTTATGCTCATGCTGGCTTTTTCATTCACCAGGGTGCTGAGATGGCAGAGATCTAAGTTCCTGAATGTCCTCAGCTTTATCCACCCTGGACCAGGAGAGAGATGTGGCAGCTCCTGGTTACTCAGGCATTTGAGGCAGTGTGTGGATGTGAGTGAAGCCTGGAGTTCAAACCCCTTAGGGAGGAAATAAAAAGTTCTGAGCACTGATTCTGTGACACATACTGTCCTAGGCGTTTCAAACAGATTATCTGAAACTCATTTCATTCTCACATCAAACTTGCATGGCACATATTATCCAAGTTTTATAGATACAGGAACTGAGGATCAAAGAGGCTAAGTAAAATGACCAAGATCATGTACCTTTTAAGAGGCTGGTGTGAGATTTGACCTCAGGCCTGCTGGGTATCAGAGCCTATTTTGAGTTTTGTTCCCCCTACAACTGTTCCCATTATAATATACTGTTAGAAGGACACACACACACACACACACACACACACACACACACTGCCCTATAGTTGCACACTGCAATACTTGCCTAGCTATCTATATATACAAATGATTTCAGAGGCATCATTAGAGAAAGTGTTAATGACTCCATGAAGGGCTGTCTTTCCCAATGGGAGAATTGAGTGCCCAATTTAGGATGAGTCATGGGAAGAAAATTAACACTTGATTCCTTTTCTCCTTCTCTCCCTTCTTTCTTCCCTCTGTTCCTCATAATAATTCAACAAATATTTTTCGAATATTTATTCTGTTTCAGCCTCTGTACTTAGCATATGGCTAAAGACATAATCTCCTGGTTTTGGGCTTATCTTTTCATTTTCCTTTTGGCAATTTATTTGTGGGCATGTCAGTGTGTGCTATGAATGTGTGAACCGTTCTTAATGTAGTAAAATTCTTCAATCTGTCATTTATTTAACACCTTTTATCTTATTTTAAAGAGCTTCCTACCTCATACAGCAATGCCCCTTACTGACTGTATTCATAAAGTCTTATAGTTTTGTCACTCACATTTTAAGACTTGATTTAATGTGAAGTTGATTTTTGGATAGTGGAAAGTAGGGATCCAGTTTCTGTTTGTTTGTGTTTTTCAATGAATAAGCAAACTTATAGCCTCATTTATTGAATAATTCCCATCCTTCACTAACCTGTGAAGCCTTGTACAAAGTGTCTATTTTAAGGGCCCTTTAGATCACATTCAGTGCTCATTTTTTCTCAATGTTCTTGATATTTATAAGACCAAATGTGAAATTGTGTATTTCCATTAGTATTTCTTTTTTGATACCTGAGCCCGTTGGTAGTGGATTCCAAATATGTGTTGTGTTAAATATATATTTGTTGTTAATTGATTTCTAAACTGTGTTTTGATGAGAAATACTGGTAAATATGATACTATTATTTTAAAACTTGTTGAGAATTACTTCACGCTTTCCAAAATGACAAACGGATGTAAAACTTTCACATTTGCTTGAAAATTATGCCTCTTTTGCAATTGTTGGAACCGTATTTCAATAACTGACGGCTCTATACCTGTTAGAGTGACACCTAGTAGCGTTTAAATTATGGTGTTGTGTAGAAAGTTTGGCACCAGTTCTCCTGGCCTTGCTTTCTCATTACAAGTAATTTGGCAAACTTATTTATGAGTTTGTTAATTAACAGTTAAAAATGTTCAGGATAAAAGCGTAGGTGACTACAATCAACCTATATACGAATTGCAATTGTAAGGGCTTATGCAACTTCTTGAAGTTAAATTTAAGTGTTATATATACATTGCTATAAACCTAAGTATATTTTCTTCTTCCATTGTGCAACATAACATGCCAGCTGCACCATACTTGCTTTTTAACTTTATTATAACTATAACACAAAGTAAACTGCACAAAGTTGAATGCATTTTTACTTTATTTATTTTATTTTATTTTTTATTAAGACAGACTCTCACTCTGTTGCCCAGGCTGGAGTGCAGTGGCGCAGTCTTGGCTCACTGCAACCTCCACTTCCTGGGTTCAAGTGATTCTCCTGCCTCAGCCTCCCAAGAAGCTGGCAGTACAGGTGCCCCCCCACCACGCCCAGCTAATTTTTGTTTTTGTACTTTTAGTAGAGATGGGGTTTCATCATGTTGGCCAGGCTGGTCTCAAACTCCTGACCTTAGGTGATAGGCCCTCCTTGGTCTCCCAAAGTGCTGTGATTACAGGCATGAGCCCCCATGCCCAGTCACATTTTTACTTTATTGCATTTGTTTCTTCACCTGTAGCAAACATATCCATGTAACTGTCACTCAAAAAATATAAAAGATTACATGGATCCCCAAAGTCTCCCTCTTGCATCTTTCCAGGCATTACCCCACTCTAAAAGGAAACACTTGTGTGATCCTGATGATCATAGATGCATTTGTCTGCTCTTGAACTTATTATAAATGGAAATAAACAGTACTTTTACTCAACATATTGTTCAAAAGAGTAATAATTATTATTACTAGAGTTCATTCTTTTATATATAGTGGTATTAACATATGTCAATTCATTAATTCATTGTAATATGACTGACATTTGTGTCATTTCTGGTTTTGGGTGTTTATGAATGATGCTCCTATGCATTCTTGTGTCATCTTTTGGTGCAGATAACCATAAATTGTTGTTAATTATGTACTGAGGAGTACAATAGCAGGTTATTGGATATGAAAGAGTTCAGCATTAGTAGGTACTGCCAAACAGTTTCCCAGAGTGATTGCACCAATTTACACTCTCAGGAGCATTAATGCAATTATATATTCCCACTACCAACAGGCATTGTCCTCCCTCTTCTTCAAATTTTAGGCATTTAAGTGAATATGTGGTGCTCCTTCATTTGGGATTTAATTTTCATTTTACTAATGACTAGTGATGTTGAAAACATTTTCACATACTTATTAGCCTTGGCATATCTCCTTTTGTTAATTGTCCATTAAAATTTCATTGAGTTGTTCATTTAAAATTTTGCATTTTTTTCTACTTGACTTCTAGATATTACTTGCATATTCAGAATATGAGTCCTTTGTTGAATACACATTTTACAAATATATTTTTCTTTGTTGGTTTGCCTTCTTGGTTTATATATTGTGACTTTTGATAAACCAAATTGTATTTCAATGAAGTCCAGTTTATAATCTTTTCTCTTCATGTTTCTACTGATTGTGATCTCTTATAAAAAGTATTCCACTTACCCCAAAATCGATTCTCTATTATCATCTAGATACTTTATTGTTTTTCTTTTCACATTGAGATGTACAATCCATCTGAAACTTATTTTTATGTAGAAAGTAAAATACAATATTTATTTTATTTCATGTGGATATGCAATTGACTCAGCTCCTATTAGTGAAGAGAAAATCTTTTCCTCCATCACAATTCAGTTGTTTCTTTGTCATAAATTGATTATTGTAAACATGGTAGGCTGCTTCTGGGCTCTCCATTCTGTTTCATTGTTCTATTTATTAGTTTTTATGCCAATACTACATTAATTATGAAAGATTTATAAAATTGTTAGTATCTGTTATTATATCCAGTTTGATCTTTATGTTCAAGAATAATTGTATTCTTGACCTCTCATTTTCATACAAAATTTAGAATAAGCTTGTCAATTTTCGCAAAGTGTCTGCTGGGATTTTGTTTAGAATTATGTTCCATTTGTAGGCCAACAATAGGTGTTCAAGATACTATCTTCAGTGGTATAATATTCAAATTGTATTTTCCATTCTTGGAGCTGACACATAGAAATTATTCTGTTATTGACCTTGTAGTCCCCAAACTTGTTACATTTAATTATTGTCCCTAATAAATTGCCTAATAATATTTTTTATTTTCATGTACACATTCGTGTGTCAGTGAATAATATAAATATATTTCATTCCTATATTTATGTCTTTTATATCTGATGATTGCTGTGTAGACGTGACTAAGATCCAGTTAGATTTTGATGAGAACATCTTCTATTCCATCTTTCACAATCTCTTTACTAGATATGGAGATGTAAAATGGAGAATGAACTGTTACCAAAACCACAAAGGTAAAAGAGGCATGGTAAACTCAGGATTCTATTTAAAGTAACTTTTAATTATACCTGTTTGGTAGAGTCATAACTCTAGACTCATAAATCATAATTCTATAGAACTGCAATTGAAATCTAAAATGTAGCTAATGGAAGAAAGTACACTTTCAGTATATTAATATGCCAAAACAGTGTATTAATTTGGCAAAACACATCAATGGAAAATTTGCTTTGGTCATTTTCTGAGGATTATTTAATAACATCTGAACATGTTTGTGATAGAATGATAAATACAAAACAACATGCGTATGTATGAATGTCTATATACTATCTGATTGATAATTTACTAATTATGGTAAGCAAAACGTGTAGCACTATAAATAAGAAATATTGAATTTTACTATGGTTATTTTAAGATTGGACATTTACAGGTGGTTTTTAATTTATATGTTTCTATTATACTGTATTTTCTAAATGTTATTTCTAGTTTTAGTAGTATAGGTCGAATAGGTTTGTCTTTGAGGAATGTAGCTTGTCATGCTGTCTGCAGATACTCCTAATTTGTATCACATTCTAGTGGATTTGTTTGTGTGTTTAACAACTTTGTGTTTGTGTGTTAGCAGGCATTGGCATCTAAGTCTATTTCATGATTTTAACTAAAATGATTGTAGTGATTCACTATTAAATATGGAGGAGGCTGGTATTGGTTTAAGAGGAATTTCCACGAAATCTGGATTAGAGTTTTTGATCTCATTTCTGCTACTTTCTGTTTCCAAAAAAGATTGTCAATTGAAATTGTATTTTATTCAGATCCCATACAATATTAAAAATCAGATTCATTTTTTCTTTTATAAACAATATAACCACATCATTGAAACAAAAACTGCAGTTAATCACAGGTTAAAAAAAAGAAGAAACCAGTAAAACCAATACTCATAATCTCCCCAGAGATAACCAGTATCTCTAAAAACTTTTTCCTCTAAATACAATCAGTATATCCACATGTGTATTTGGTTACACAAAATAATTTTTCACTAAACATTTGTAAACAACTTTTCATGTCAATGAATATTTATCTATGTTGACTCTTTAAATGGCTATTTCTTTGTATAGTTGTACCATGAAAATTAACAAATCTCAAAAAGCAGTAGAATAAGATTTTGTGATTCTAGGCAGAGGATAGGAAAAATAAAATGCCTCCCTCTCTTCCCTGTAGAGTAGATGAGTATGATTTTCTGGTCATTGTTTAGTCAAGCTATGTCAAATAGGGTCAATGCAAAGGATGAGGGTGCATGGCATGGTGGACTTTAACTCTATTTTTTTTTTCTTACCTGAGAGTTTCTATTTGGCCTTGGCACTCTAGTTCAAACTTCTGCAATGTTGGCTTTTGGAGCTGATGACAGTGTTTGATTTCAGCCCACAGATTAGGTATGTAGGTGTGAATGAACATTTTTCTGAAGGTGTAGTTTATGTGTAATAAATATATAAGCATATATTTTCACAGAGAGAGACATATACGAACATATAGACATGAAGCATTTGTTAAGGGAAGAAATATTTCGAACATATAGACATGAAGCATTTGTTAAGGGAAAAAATATTTCTGAAATCTAGTAAAACATAGACTACTGCTTCTAGATTCTAATTGAATGAATATTTCCATGGGAACTTTGAAAACAGTGATTAAGAAATTGTTATATAGGCATCATTTTAATATAAAATATTCAGTTTAGAAAAATTTGTTGTTTTTGAAATACTAAAGATGAGGCCGGGCGCGGTGTCTCATGCTTGCAATTTCAGCACTTTGGGAGGCCAAGGCGGATGGATCACCTGAGATAAGGAGTTCGAGACCAGCCTGGCCAACGTGGTAAAACCCCATCTCCACTAAAAATACAGAAATTAGCCAGGCATGGTGGTACACGCCTGTAATCCCAGATACTCAGGAGGCTGAGGCAGGAGAATCGCTTGAACCTGGGAGGTGGAGGTTGCAGTGAGCCGAGATCACACCACTGCACCTCCAGCCTGGGCCACTGCGTGAGATCCATTTCCAAAAAGAAAGAAATACTAAGGATGAATAGTTTAAAAATGGTTTTCAACTGTGCATTTATTTTTTCATTTGTATTCTCCATTTAATGCCTTATACATGTAGTCAGGCTAAAAATGGTAATGATGTTTTATTAGTTTGTTCTCACGCTGCTAATAAAGACATACCTGAGACTGAGTAATTTATAAAGAAAAGAAGTTTAAATGGCTCACAGTTTTCCATGGCTGGGGAGGCCTCATGGAACTTGCAATCATGGTGAAATGGGAAGCAAACACATCCTTCTTCACATGCAGGCAGGAGAGAGAATGGAAGTTGAGTGAAGGGGGAAGCCCCTTATAAAACTATAAGATCTTGTGAGAATTGGAACAGTACAGGGGAAACCATCTCATGATTCAATTATCTCTACCTGGTCCTGCCCTTGACACGTGAGGATTATTACAATTCAAGGTGAGATTTTGTGTTCAGACACAACCAAACCATATCAAATGTTGATGAGTCTTCACTCATTGCCAGCAATTATAGAGAATAAAAACAAATGGCATTGGCTCATTATAGGCATTGATATTATTTTTCCTTCCTGCTCAAAGAAATGACAGTTTAGTTCCTTCTGTTTTTTAATCCAGAGTGGCCTAGTATTCTGGATCCTAAGGAATGCAGTCTTTCATGCTTTTCTATGAATTTCTCTAGGATATTCATAGAACATCTCACTTTCCTATGGTGACCCATCTGGGGTATCACCTACACACATGCTATATTCTTATACCTCATGGTGGTGGCAGCAGTCATAGCAGCAGCAAATCTTTATTGAAAGCCAGATATTTTGGCTCTTGCCAGAACATTGTCTTCCTTTCTTCAGAAATAACTGTACAAGATTAGAGGAAAAGTCTTCTATATAATCTGATCAGTTAAAGCATTGTTTTGATGCTTTAATTAGGACAATGAGTCCAATGGATACTAGGAGTAGAATGAGTGAAATACTCTAGTTTGGGGTTTATGCTATAGTTAGGCATATCATATCACATTAAAATTATACAATGACCCTATAGGTAAGTGATCTTACAACCATTTTTATGGATTCAAAGACAGAGGCCTGGAGACATTATGCACTTTGTCAATGTTTGGAAAGTTTTATGCAGTAGTGTGAGGATTTTAAACCAAGTGTCTGAGACACCAAAGCCATGTTTTCTTCCAGTACATTTTATGATCTCCAAAAATTATAAGAGGCAATGATAGATAGTTCCAGAGGCCGCATTCATTGTGGGCATCAGTGATGTTTTTTGAGTTCACTGATCATGTGGTTTCAGTGTGAAGGGGGCATATCAATTACATATAAGTGTGGTTTGCACAAGGGTCAAGGTTATTAATAGCCTCATCAATAAAGTGAATGAATTTAATTTTACTTAATCCAATATGACTCAATTCAGTTCAAGCTAAAATTACTTTTTGAGCACCAATTACATAGTCAATCGTCTGCTGGGTCCCTGTGCTGAGGACAGAAAAAAGTAAAGGCCTGAATTTTGCCCTTCAGAATCTCATAGTCCAGCTGGTGATACAATTAACAATCATGGAACGATCCACACACAATTTCATGTTAACATATATCCACTGCTGTCATGTAAGCTGATGACAGCAGCAGATGTATAGAATTTGAATCAGACATGTCAGGTACTGGATGTATGCTCTGACACCTCCTACCATAATAACTGGAGAATTATGTATACAATAGGGATTAAAACATTTTTCAAGAGATTATTCTGAAGATCAAAATCAATGCTACTTTAGATGTTCATTTTGATTGCATCTGAGTCCTGAAGCTTGGGCTCTGTCGGAGACTTCAATTAAATGTGAGGGTCTTCTTCTCCAGATAACTGATTTTTTTTAACTTCTATTTTAGAATCAAGAGGTAATGCGAAGGTTTGTTACATAAGTATAGTGTGTGATGTTGAGGTCTGAAGTAGGGGTACTGATTTAATCAAGACATTTAGTTAAAGGCTAAGACTTCTTGAGAGAATGAAAGGAACCAAGATCTTGATTTCTGAGGTTGAAAAGCAGATAGTGAGCATGCTGCAATGGATTTATCCTGTGTAACTCATAAGTCCTTGTAAAGGAACCATCATACCTGGCCAAGTGGGTAGATGATTAGGGAAATACATCATGATCCAGCTGTCTTGGTGACTGAAACTGAACGAACTGTGCAACTTGGAGTTGAAGCAGTTTTAGTCTAGGACACTTCTGACTGTGTGTATCATGGGAAGAGAAAATGCTTTCTCCCTCACCTTGAGGAGACTTAATGACTTGGATTATTTAGGGCTTGTGCACTCCATCTGTCAGCAGGAACAGGTGGCTCAGGAACTCCAGTGGCATAAGTGGTAGGAAGATAAACTCAGAACTAGATACTCACGGTGAGACAGATTTGTATGTATTTTTACTGTATTATTATTATTGGTGTTATTTCCACTGGGCTTCAGGCTCCACCATTAGCTGAGATTGCAGCAGCCTCATGCTGGCCATGCAGCAACACCACAGTCCGTACGAGGTGTGTCGCCTGGATGCCAGCTCTCCAGGCCAGAGAATCTAGAAAGCAGGTAACACTCTTGGGGTCAGAGGTTGGCTTCCCTGAGACCCATGAAAATATTGGGGTGAGGAACTCTCTGAAAAATTTGAGAATTTGGCTAGAAAATGGGTAGTGTCTTAGAAAAAAAAATTTTTGGTGGTATTAAGAGCAGAATGGACGAGAAACAAGTTGAAAAGTGAAATACTAGTTTGAGAGTTTATGCTACAGGTCAGGCCTTAAAATCGCACAGTAACCCTATAGGTTAGAGGTGTTATAACCATTTTTATAGATTCAAAGACAGAGCGAAATTTCTATAATTCAGTATTTTCAGGGCCCTCGGGGAGATGAAACTACGACCATGACAAGGATGTCATCTGCTTGCTTTAGGGCTTTATTTGCACTCAGAAGCTAGAGAAACTTGAGATATACCTGGAGACTTAGTGTAGATTACCTTGCCCTGACTTAATAATGTTAGGACTTACTGTTATTTTGAACCTAGAGGGAATACATTCCCTGAGAGAATTTACTTGGGTAGCAAAAATGATCCTGAGCAGTAACAATATTTTCTCTGTCAGAAGAGAGTTTGGTGAACACCAGATTTTTTATTAGCTTATTGATTGTTTGTGGAAGACATTGTAGTCAGAAATTAACAGTTCTGCATATTTATATATGAAAGACACCTGCTACAGGCGGACGATCATCCTGGCATGGCTGGAGCCCTCGGTCAGCATAAATAGGTGGCTTAAAAGTGCATTGAAACCACATAACTTAGGGTTGCTTGAAATCTGACCCCTGAGAAATCCCACTCAGAGGGTGCTTGAAACTTATCAGAACAAGTGTTCTCGCATGTGTTGGTGAACATGCAGAGGGTCACAACCCAGGACTTGTAGGAAGTGGGGGATGACTACCCTTTATTTTTTGTTTACTATCTGCATACACCAGGGTCTGGGTGAAGCATCTTCCATGTGCTAAATTTGCCCTGATTCTACCTCTTTAGGCTAGCTGGACTCACCTGTGCACCAGGCTCTTACCAGCAGATAAAGAGGAGACATGGTGAGAAGCTGTTCTCTACCAACAGGCTGTTCTCCCTCTTTCTCTCTCTATTTCATTTTCCCTTCTCTCCTCTCCTTCTCTCCCTCTCCCTGTTTCTGTTCTCTGCTTCTGTCTTTTACTTCCTCTCTCTCTCTGTGTCTCCCTCCCCTAATCTATCCTCTCGGTTTGTATCTCCGTTTAGTGCTTTACTCCTAGTTTTGATGTTCCCTTCTGGGCTCTCTTCTGTCCCTCATATGATTTAGTTATTTGGTCTTCTCAGTGTGATACTAAGATTTGCCCAAATCCAGAGCATTATCTCTTCTTGCTGTCTCATCTCACAGATGCTCCAAGACAACAATCTGTCCTGAGGTTGATTCTGGGGTCCCAGCCATGACTTGAACTGAGGGCTCATACAGACTTATGATACACCATGAGGGGTTAAAATTCATGTCACCAAGTGCAATGTCAAAAGTTCCCTGGAAGGTACAGTTGGTTCGCTATTTCAGGATTGCTGCTGTTGGAGTTGGTGGGGGGAGTAGATAGTTTTCTTTCCTCATAAGTGAAAATGAGTAATTTGTGGAAGCACAGGAGCCTTAGCAGTCAGAATATCCCACACGCCATTCCCATCCCACCTTGGAAATCCACTCAAGGAGACTCACGCACAGACTGGATGCTCTGGTTACCAGGACACTGTGTGAATTGTATCTCTGCCCTCATATGACAGAAGAGGCTGAGTCCCGAGGTGGGGTCAGTGGTAGAACTATTGGTGGTCACCTGAGGACTGACTGCTCTGTGGCCTGTTACTATAACCCTGTGAGCCTTCTTGCTTCTGGCCTTTGAGATGTTACAGAATGGGAAAAAGCCTACTAAATTTCTGGGCTCATTATGATGATTTTCAACGTCTTAACTGGAAATAGGCCTTACTAATAAAGGTGTCCTCAAAAATAATATTAGTTAATTACTATTCAATTTATAAAATAGATTTTTTTTTTCACACCTACCAAGTACCAAGTATGAGGTTTGGGCTATGTAGTGTTCTTAAAATTTTTACATTGTCAGGAAAGAAAACAGAGAGTAAATAAATATGAAAATTAATGACAAAAGTTGAGGATAAACAGTGCTCAGTGCTTTGAAGTATACCCCAGAGTGCTATGATAGGGAGTTCCAAGGGTTGATACTCTACTGGGGAAGAATAGAGTAGCTCGTTCTTAAAATGTGAAAATGAAGCCAAGCCTGAGGACAATGATTGAGCTCAAATCATGCTAACCTGAGATATTCACCCTCCCGATGCTGTACAAGCCCCACAGAGCACAATCAACCATGGTGTAGGACCCAACTCCTTGATGTAAGCTTAATTCACTCCGGCCAACTGCATTTGGTAAACAAGTCTTAATGTCCTAATTCTCACATGGAGACTGTAAATGGCTCTGCTACCTGTCTCATAATTGTTGTAGTGAGCAAATATGATACTGTTTATCAAATCCATTGACATATTTAATGAGGTATGCCAGTGTTGATTATTACAGGGGATAGGAAGAATATATTTGAGTATCAACTGTGCGCAAAGGATCTATATCCTACAAGGTTTCATACAGGTTCATGTTCATGTTCAGTAATCCTAGACCCACCGTGCAGGTCTGGTGTTATTTCCATTTGAAACATAAGCCAAAAGCTCACACCAGGAAGAAAACTAGGAAATCTGACTCAAACTTCGAGTTAATTTTTATATTCTCTGTTTGAATGCCGCTAATTCACAGATTACATGAAAACTATCAGCAATAGCAGCTTCTAGAGTATAGCCCTACATTTGTCTCTCTCTCTTTTTTTTTTTGTTTTTTGTTTTTTGAGATGGAGTTTCGCTCTGTCCCCCAGGCTGGAGTGCAAAGGTGTGATCTCCATCCACTGCAAACTCCGCCTCCCAAATCAAGTGATTCCCGTGCCTCAGCCTCCACAATAGTTGAGACTACCGACGTGTGTCACCACGCCCGGCTAGTTTTTTGTATTTTTCGTAGAGGCAGGGTTTCACCCTGTTAGCCAGGATGATCTCCTGGCTCGAGGTCTCGATCTCCTGACCTCATGATCCGCCTGCCTCAGCCTCCCAAAGTGCCGGGATTACAGGCGTGAGCCACCGCCACTGCACCCGGCTCATTTGTCTCTTTTTTAATGTCTGGGGAGGACAGGGGTACTCAGTCTGGGACATTTGCAGAGTAACAGTTGCAGGTTGCGTATCCTCTTAGCATTCTAGGAACAAGATGCTGCTGAGCTCTAAAGCTGAGGTAAGCCTCCAGCATCTGTAAATAACAGTCTCTGAAAAATTTCTATTGACATTTTTATTTTGCTCTCCACACTTTTTAGATTTTTTAACTAGAATTATGAAAATTTTCAAATCATGTGAATATGATTAGACACAGTTAAGCACTCATACTTAAACCAGAAATGAAGAGTATGGTAGGATCTCAGGCCCATCCTCTTTTCACTCATGTTTGTAAGAACCCCAAACTCTATGGCCCAAAGACACTTGTTCTCTTTCTGTCTGGTAGTGATGTTTCCCGTGCTCTAGCTGCATGTGGTCTGGTCTGCAACGGGGCATAGGTGTTGACTTCAAGGATTTGCCTGGGTCTTAGTTTTGCTGCAGCATTTGCTGTCAGCACTGTCCCTAAGCCCTGGGAGTATTGGCGGATGTTTGCATAAGCCTTGCTCTGCATCCTGCTTGCTGAGTCTGTGTTGAAGCATAGCTCTATCTCTGGCATTTTCTCTGCAATATCAGATTTTGTGTGATCTGGAGCAGGAGGAGGGACATTTAAAATATTCCTTTTGGAGAGAAGCATCACCTTAGACTGTGTGTTTAGCATCTGAACATGCGGACCCCAGAATACTTCCTGTGTTGCATCGTTAAATATCAACTGAGCAGGAGCAGCTCAAGAGTAGTTCGAGGGGCATTATTGTTTATCACTTCATGTCTGGTGTCATCTGGGCTGCATTAGCAGCAGTTGGAACACCCCCAAATAATGACTCCATCCTGTGGGTCTCTGGCTACCTTGAGGCCGGATGTGACTGCATTATTTGTCTTACATGGTGCAGATGCAAACAAGGCAGCTGTGATCTGTAAAATTTCAGATGATGGATATTTGCCCTGCCTGGGTGCACGAGTTACAAGTGAAGAATAATTAGAGTGATAGCTCCATAGCTACACGCTGAATGTAAATAGAGTGACCACAGCCTTGAGTGTGAAGTTTGGGCCTTACTCTTACAGATCACAGCCAAGGATGCTAGGGGACAGGTGGGCCTTCAGTATGCCTGGGAGACACCTCAGTCACAAAAAGCACTTCTCCCTCAATCTCATAGTTCAAGTGAGGAGAAGACATGACTGTTCCGCTTGCCCTCTATCCACACTAGCAAAAACCACCAAACCAGTCAAAACTCCCCCTGAAACTGTCTGGTGTCTGCTCAATGGTCGAGCACTTTCCTTTACACCTCACTAATCTCAAACTTACTCTTTCCCCCTGCATGAAAAATTTAGCTACTACCAGCAGGAAATATGATGAGCCCTCACAGGGAACATGCAGCTTTGTCTCAAAATGAAAAGTCAATTTACTCTCAGCTTTTTCTGTTTGTGGCAGAAAGGGCTCTGGTTCATTTGCTGCTCAGATACAGACCTCTGAACTACTGTAAGATCCTTGCATACAGACAAGGGACTGAATTGATTCCTATATCATTATTTTCATCAAATATAAATAATAAGTCCTGCTAATTAAAATATCCTCCTTCCAGACCCAGCACACTCTCATTTCACCAGAAAAGGCAAACATCTGAAAGATTTTTAAATGACTTTATCCTTTGAATCTCTAGCCACAGAGAGGAAATGGAAGATAAATATATCATGCTTACTGCTTCAGAGTATGGTTAGCTTGTCTAGAGCTGCGTTTAATTATATTGTCAGCTGTACCTCTGTGTCACTCTTGAGTCTGCAAGCACATTTCCAAAGAGATATATGTATATATATATTTTTTCCAATTTCAGAATTCAGCTCTTCCTTTTTCTCTTTCATCTTGATTAGAAAGGTTATATGAATTGGGGATAAAGCATTAATTGTGAAATTGTCAAACTTTGGTTCAAATCTCAGCTCCCAAATTTACCATGGGAAGATGAAATTGTATCTTCTTATCCTCTATATAGTTTTGTCTACTATAATATATATATTACTCTAAATATAGTATTAGTATTAGTGTGTGTGTATATATACATATAGATGTATACTTTCTTAAGTGTTCTGAAAACTATCAAATGAGATAAAATATTGAAGAGCCAACTGCAAGTGAGTGATAGTATATATTTATTCGTTCCATTTTCCTTTTCTTCCAAGGCACCTCCTAGTGGAGGTGCCATCTGAAGCTGGATCTCAATTTTGTTTTGAAATGCCCATATTTTGCTATTTAAAAAAAATTCAACCCTCCACATTCCTTCTTACTTCTCAATCTTTACTCTCTGTACAGTTCTGAAGATTACCCAGTCTTCCAGCTTCCAGGCACTCCCTATCCTTTGCAGACTCTGTACCCCCACCAAACCAGCCTTTCTAAAGCAGCACATTTTACACTTACCTCCACCTTCAAATTGGTTATGGCTGAATTGCCTACATAGGCAATTTTGAAGGTTGCCATTCATTTGCACTTGCATTCATTGATCCTATAAAGAACTGGACATTGAGCATCATCATAAGACCACACGTTTAATGGGGAAACAGAATGAAAGCAACTGCGAATAGTGTGAGGAATTCTAGACTAACAAGGCTGTAGTCTCTTCCCAACGGGATATCCTCAGCTTTAGAAATTAGGTTTGCTTTACTTGACTTCTGTGTATTTTTTCTCAATGGTGAGAACTTTGGATTAATATTTGAGGATCATGCTGAGATGATGACAAGCAGCTAGATATGGCACTGTCCAAGTATCTGTTGTCTTGGTATAATGTGAATGGATACTCAAAGGTAGACGTTTTGCCTCTTTTATCTCTGAATTCTCAGATGGCACTGAACATGGTCTGATTTTTCCAGTAAATGGATGAGTGATGAATAGAATGAGCACTAGCTTTAGAGACAGACATTGAATGAAACCTCATCTTTGTCAAGTACCAATTGTAGCAATTGTAAATGAGACTTCGTTTCTCTTAAAAATCAGTTTTCTTAGGTGTAAAGTGAAGCTGATAAAAACTACATCAAGGATTGTTGTATTAATTAAAATAAGTTAGGTGCATAACTTAGAGCTTAGTACACAAAAGGTGCTCAAAATTTGTCAGTTCGGTTCACTTTTCTTTCCCCTTCCCTTATGAAAATCTACTGAGGTAACACAGACAAGACAGTTCTTACAATGCCTACAACCTCTGTGCACTGTGGTAGGCTAAGCTGCTACTGTAGAGCCATGCTTCTGGGTGGCAGTAGTGAGGGTAAATCAATACTTATCAAGGATCCCCCGACTCATGTCTCTGAGAGCCTTGCATACCTGAGACCTCACTACTTAGGAACCCTGAATCAGCAGGCACATAAGTATAATTTGTCATTTAAATAGCATCTAGCCCTTTGATATTGGGCAAAAACTGCGTAAACATCCATGAGTGCTGCCCTTGCTTTCTGCATGAACTCTTCACTTTCCTTTTACTCCTTCTTTTAGAATGTTAGATGAGGATATTTCTTGAACCAAGTACATAGATCTTTTTGCACATTTGTTCCGATTTTACTGAAAAGGAACTTTGCCTCAGGCTTTCCAAATAGTTGAAATTCTCAAGAACTTTAAATTCCTTTCTGCACAGACAAAAGGAAGTGACTTATTTCCCACGCTGTGAAACCGTGCTATATATTTACGGATTTTTGACAAGTACTTTCAAGTCACAGGGCAGCACACACACACACACACACACACACACGCACACACACACACACACATCTTTATCTCTATATCTCTCTATCTCTAACTCTATCTCTATCTCTATTTCTATCTCTATCTTCTCTATCTCTATCTCTACTGGAGTTCCATGAAAGGATAAGAGACTTTGAATGTCCGGGCCACTGGAGGAAGTAATCTAACCTTTCCACAATATCTGCATTAATAGAAAGGCACTTAGAAATTCTTTACTGAATGACTTTCTTACAATTAAAAGCATATATTTAAACTATAGAACCAGGAAATACATATTTTTATACGTTATGTTTTTCTTTATGGTTCCTCCCTGAGAGATTCAAATATTAAAGCCATAAATTCTCAAATAGAGACAGAATGCTAGCTGTGGCTGGAAGCAAAGGGACGACCACATGGCTGGAATCTGGGCTTGTCTGACGCCTGGACCATCACATTGTTCAGCCTGGTCTGTTTGATGTATGCTTGAAAGAAAAATTGGGCAAAACCAGAAGCTACAAAATAGAATTTGTGGACTGTATCCACCCCAGTGTTCTTTACGGGTGTCTCAGAGAAAATATACGTTGAAAATTTCTTTTAGTATTTTAAAAAGGTTTTTTTCCTCTGTTTTTTTAAGTTGATATATAATATTATATGCATTTATCACAAACAACATGATTTTCTATGGAATACATATATTGTGGAATGGTTAAACCTAGCTAATTAACACATGCATTACCTCACATGGCCATCACCTTTGTGGTGAGACTGATTAACATTCGCTCTCTCAGCATTTTCAAGAATACAATATGTAGTCATAAGCTCTAGTTACCATGCTGTACAACAGATCTCTTGAACTTAGTCCTCCTACTTGACTGTAATTTGGTGTCCTTTGACCAAGGTCTCCCCAGCCCACCCAATACATTTGTTCTTTTATGTATTCACTCTGTTCACAAGTTCTGAGCTCCTACTATGTGGCAGGTACTACTGAGCTGCAGGAGCTGTAATAATGATACAAAGAAGGAAAAAAAGATTTCCCTTAAGAATCTGAGGAGAGGCTGAAAGGTGTGTCTCCTGCTTTCACTCATTCTGTCTTTAGTCACAACAGGGATTCAGCTATGAGTTGAAAGCTGAGACACAAGCTGGAAGATGACATATAATAAAAAAGAGCCTCCTCATCTCCCCCACCATAAAAAAAGCACAGATTACTAAAAGAGCAAAGGTATAAATATAATGATTCATTCAATATGGAAAGAAATAAAGGCTCTAAGAGACTTTTGCATAAGAGGAAATGTGAACTTGGAGCAGAGAGAGAGATCCCCCACATCAGCTGAGGACTTAGAAGCCTCTGCCTAGCCTCTGCTCATTGCTGAGCCAACCCCAAAAGGCTGAAGCCCCATGCCTCCACTGGGTGGGGTCTGGGGCTATGTATGCCATGATTCTGTGTCTTAGCACCATGGTGAGCTCAAAATACCTGCCTAACTTCTGAGTAAGAACCTTTCACCTCACAATCTAACAAACTGTAGGTATGCTTGGTGTAAATCCACACTGGGATTAGAGTCTGGTCCTGAACTCTAGTCTGCTTGACTGAAGCCAAGAAACTCTGATCCTTTGGTCCCATTACCTACTCCTAAATAGCCTGTATTGCACAGATTTTGTTTTTATTTGTCCAGAACTCATAACCTCCCTTACTTGGGGAAACTCTTTTTTTTCCCTTCAAAATCACAGGATTCTTAGTAATGAGCCATATTCCTCTATAACCAAATATTGAGCTTAACATGAACCCAGAATTGGGCTTGCCACTGACTTGGGCCAAGTGAAATTTATAGGCATAATTTTTTCAATTTGCTTATAGAGGAGAAGGAAACTTGACTCCAGAATTAGAGAATAAGAGAATGTTCACAGGTATATTTCCTGACACATGAAGAAAGCCTTTTTTAGTGCAGTGGAAAAGAATAATCAACGAAAAACAAATATAAGAGACAAAAAAGAGAAAGTCCAATTGATCCAGTCATACCCAAGATAATCACCAATTCTTGACATGTTGGCTTTTCTGCTATAAGCCTTCCCTTTTATTTATTGTTTATGCTTATCTGAGCTCATTCTTTATCACTTGAATCTGAAACATCTCTGACTACTGTAGAGATGAACTCGGTTCCCCAAATCTGAATCATATTGAATTTCCGTTGTTGATAGAATTTGGATAGACCACACTACTGGTTTGCTCACTTTAGGTATTGCTCATTTTTATAAAACTCTTCTGCTTATACCTCATTGGTTAGAACATAATCACATGACCAAATCTAACTGCAAAGGAAGCTGGGAAACATAGTCTTTATTACATACTTGGCTAATCACTGGGGGTCTCTTATCTAGAAATAGAGAACATATTGAAGTAAATGACTACAGGTTTGACACACTCAAAGACTGATTGCAAATTTCCATTTATTTCCCCTTAAAAAACTACTAATGATTTTAAAAACTTCATAGAAACATTAAAGAAAGATCAGATAAAGCTCCAGATGTACAAACAAAACAAAGGATATGGTATCAGGCCCATGTTATGATGATTTCATTATTGCAAGATTTATCGAACATTCAAAGATCAATTAAGCCAGTACATTGACATATTAAGAGAAAATTATTATGGTGATCTCAATGAAGGTAGAAAAAGAATTTGACAAAGTTCAATGGTAACTAACGGAAAAATAAACTCTTGGCAAAACAAGAGTAAATAGGAGGAAATCACTCTAACTTAATAAAGCTTGGCAAAAAAGGTCTTGCCATCAACATGCTTTATGTTAAAGAATTGAAAGTTCATAATTTGAGTGCAAAAGCCACAGAATTATTGCACCATATATTTTCTATTCTGCTTTGTACTGGAGGCCAATGGCCCTTGCAGTAAAACAAGAAAAAGAAAAACAACAGTGACAATAAATGTGTAGGGTTATAAAGGATTAAGCAAAAGTGTCTTTATCCTCAGATGATATAATTGCATATAGAAAAAAATAAAAATATTCTACAGATAAGTTAGGCATTAGTAGGAGTTTAGCAAGGTTGCTGCTACAAAATTAATATCTAAGCAATTAATATCCAAATTAACACACAGTTTGGAAAATAAAGTTTAAAACATTACTATTTACACTGTTGAAGTACATAAAATATCTAGAAGTTAGGCAAAAATGTGTGAGGAATACTCAACTTGTGGCTTGACTTTTCACTCTGTTAATGGGATTTTTTAGTAAACAGAATTATGTACCAAAAGCAATTAATTCTATCTTCTTTTCTGTATGATAAGTGGATTTCTAATCTTGTTTACAATAGCCTTCCTTACTCATAGTCATGGAAATAGCTTCAACTATCTGAAAAAATAGAAACTAATTTGATCTTTCTTAATTGAACCACCTTTTGAATTATTTTATTTAAAAATTTTAGCAGCAACGTTAATATCTCACTCATATATCCTGATATAGTTTGGCTGTGTCCCCACCCAAATCTCATCTTGAAATTCCACATGTTGTGGGAGGGACCCAGTGGGGGGTAATTGAATCATGCAGCAGGTCTTTCCTGTGCTGTTCTCATGATAGTGAATAGGTCTCATGAGATCCAATGGTTTTAAAAAGAGGAATTTCCCTGCACAAGCTCTTTTCTCTTGTCTGCTGCCATGTGACACGTGCCTTTTACCTTCCACCATGATTGTGAGGCCTCCCCAGGCACATGGAACTGTAAGTCCAATAAACCTTTTTTTCTTCTGTAAATTGCCCAGTCTCGGGCATGTCTTTATCAGCAGTGTGAAAATGGACTAATGCATACCCATTCCCTTATAAGCATTTAGTCATCATTCTTTTCCTGCAAACTATTACACACCACTTAGAAACCCACAATAGCTTTTTGCTATTTGTTCTAACTCTATTTTCTCAATTCTCAAATCCATTCTTTACAAACTTACTCAAAAATAAATTATTATTACCAACCTACATCGTAGCTAATGAAGATGCAGAAATAAAAGAAATAAATATTGGAAGGCACTTGCAAAACTTATCATAATTTTTTATGGTATGATTGTAAAACTGAAAAAAGTAAATAATGACATAAGACATAAAAAAGAGTCTAGTAAGATGTCTAGATAAAAAATATTCAATATGTTAAAATCTAGATCTTTCTTTTACCCAACAAATTATTAGTTGGGAAAAAATAATGGAAAGAAACAGCAATCCCTATGGCTACAAATCTCAATGGGAACCTGTCCTGGATTCTCTCTGGAACAAGAGGGTTGACTTTACCCGGTGTTCTGCTACACTCTGCAGAAAGTCCTAGAAGTACCCCTTCCTATGTCAGGGGTCACAGTATCTGTAACGTTCTAGCTTCTACCCCTTAAGACACAAGAGAACCCACATCTGTTCTAAGGGGCTAAGTAAACACAGGTGTCATCGATGACATCACTCTCCATTCCATCCTAAGATAAAGAATACCATTTTTTCCAAGATGTGTTTCCCAGAACATCTTTTACAGACAACAAACTCAGCCTCCAACATAGAAAATATTTTAGATTTTCATCTCCAGAACTGTTTTGCTCCTTAGAATCTCAAACCTTTTGATTCCTGAGGAGAATATTGACTTTACATTTATACAGTATGAAATCCCATTTGATGTTTGTCATTGATGTTTTTTCTTAATTTCTTCTAACAAAGGAATTAGCTTCTCAAAAATGGTATTGAAATCTTTCTAGCTTTTATGGTAGAAATGCTTACAATGATTAAATATTGTTTCTTTGCCCCCTAGTTTCTACCCATCAAATTTTCTAAAATTCATAAATTGTCAATCTAGCCTAGGGACTCTGCACTTCTGCTCTATCCCACACTCCTACAGGTTTCTACCCTCCTCAAGTCTGAAGATCAATTCAGCCACCTTTATGTGTGTTTCAATGTTTTTTTTTTACTTTTATTTTAGGTTCAGCAGTACATGTGCAGGTTTGTTATACAGCTAAATTGCATGTTGCAGGGATTTGGTGTACAGATTATTTTGTCACCAAGGTAATACGCACAGTACCAGAAAGGTAGTTTTTCTATCCTCACTGTCCTCCCACTCTCCACCCTCAAGTCAGCTCCAGTATCTGTTGTTCCCCTTTTTGTGTCCATATATACTCAATTTTTAGCTCCCACTTATAATTGAAAACATGTGGTCTTTGGTTTTCTGTTCCTGTGTTACTTTGCTTAGGATAATGGCCTCCAGCTCCATCCATGTTGCTACAAAGGATATGATCTCATTCTTTTTTATGGTTGTGTAATAGTCCATGGTGTATACATACCACATTTTATTTATTTATTTATTTAGAGATGGAGTCTCACTCTGTCGCCCAGGCTGGAGTGCAGTGGCGCGATCTCGGCTCACTGTAAGCTCTGCCTCCTGGGTTC
Source organism: Homo sapiens (assembly GCF_000001405.40). Classification (NCBI taxonomy): domain Eukaryota; kingdom Metazoa; phylum Chordata; class Mammalia; order Primates; family Hominidae; genus Homo; species Homo sapiens. The sequence goes on from NC_000002.12 coordinate 12,957,034, forward strand.
ATGCCATTCTCCTGACTCAACTCCCATGTAGCTGGGACTACAGGCACCTGCCACCATGCCCGACTAATTTTTTCTATTTTTAGTAGAGATGAGGTTTCACCGTGTTAGCCAGGATGGTCTCGATCTCTTCACCTCGTGATCCGCCCTCCTCGGCCTCCCAAAGTATTGGCATTACAGGCGTGAGCCACCGCGCCCAGCCCACATTTTCTTTATTCAGTCCACCATTGACAGAAATTTAGGTTGATTTCATATACCTTTGCCATTGTAAATAGTGACTTCAGCCACATTATATAAAGCTTTACGATTGCCTTAGTTAAGTGGATAGTGCACATGTGACTTGAATATACCATTTCACCAGCGCCTTGAAGACAATGGTGTTTCCTGTCCTTCCTGAAACAGTAAGGCTTTTGTTCTGTAGGGAAGATGGGAAATATGAATCTGGATGAGGTCTTCCACTGTTCCCCCAGTGGTTACAGTTTCACTCTTCCATGTCTATAGCATGAGAAACACTTCTTACAGAACTTTCACCAATCTCTTCTGTGAGTGCCCAATACATTCCACGGGGAAGAGCCCATGAGTTGCTGAAAACTCCCTGCTAAATCTGTGGACTCTAGGGACTCTATACTCTGTCACCAGCCCATAAATGGTCTACACTAATTTGTGAATAACTGTAGCTGAATTCTTCTTACTGGTGCCCGGTTTTACCTTTCCCAAGTAAGCAAGTATTCTTGTTCTGTTTCTACCTGCAAGCCAGCCTTTCTATCCTGAGATTTCAGGCTGTTTGGTTGCCTTGTGACCTCAGGTAGTTTCAAGAAAAGTCTTAAGCTTTCAATTTGTTTGATATTTTTTCTTTGTTTGGGTGGAAAAAATCCTTTTCCCAGCTCTTTACATCCCTACGATAAACCAGAAGTCCTAATAATACCTCAAAGATATTTACATTGTGTTGAAACACTATATTTTTAATGATAAATTATGATAATTTTCTACTCCCATTGTACCCATTGTGATCTAAGTATTGGTTTCCTCTCCAAAATTCATCTCTCCCATTTTCTAAAAATATGCATAAATGCCACCCTTATCTCTCTACATAATGTTCCCAGAATATATATGAATAGAATACTTTTCTATCATGTCGAAATTCATACATATCCTTTTCTATTTATGAAATATCCTCCCTCTACTCTGCCTGTACTCTCTTAATTCAAGACCAAGATTTTTATCTTTATTTATAAACCTCCCTGAGACTAGTATAATTAAATGCTTTTTCCCTTGTATTTACATTATTCCTGATTCTTATTTCTACAATAGAATTTGCAATATCAAATGAAATTAGTACTGTGCCTGATAAATAACAGAGGTGAGAAAATAAATAAATAAATAAATAAATAAATGAACAATAATTTTGCCTACCAGCTCATGAGTTATGGTATCTTTAGTTTCTTTATAGGCTTCCAAAATAATTTTTATTACTTATTCCTCTTCATAACAAAGCTATGAGTTAGTTGTTTTCCCCATTTTGTCATTTAGAAAAATAAAGCCCAATGATTATACGCATTCCATAAGTCACCCACTTTGTATACAATGGAGATAAAATCTGAAATCAAGTCTATCTCATTTCAAAGACAAGACATCTGATCATTAATATTAAATTTGGTCACTACTTTTCAAAGCAGATATTCAAGTGTAAGGATTGAATGTCATCCTGACCCAATCAGCAACCTTTTATTCTCATACAATCCTTGAGTTTCAAATTTAGCCAAGACATAATTGTTACCTCTTCAAGAGATTCCAGTTTCCCAGAAGAGAGTACACCTACAGCATTTTCTTCTTACAGTCTGTATTCACAGATATATTACAAATTTAGAATGAACTCCCTTCCCCTCACAACCAGAATTTCTTGGTTTAGCATTCTGGTTAGTTTTTGTTTCAGAATAAGTAGGAAAAAAGAAACAGGAGAAAGAATTCTCATTACCTATAGCATTTTTTAAAAATAAGAAATTCAAGTAGCTTTAGATTTTTTCTCATATTAAAACATTGAAAGAAATAATTCAGAGCATGGTGTGCATGGAACTAAGAAAGTTCTACCACCTGCTCTAGAGAGGCTAAGTTGTATGTCCATCTGAGGATGTCTTGCCATGTTCAACAAGAAGCACATCGGGGCAGAACAATAACCAGTAGGGAAAAGTTATATGGAAGTAGATTTTAGCTCAAATGAGCTACTGTGAGGTTAGCAGTTGTGTATTAAAAGATAATTTACTTTAGAATCTAAAGGACACTCATTAGTTGAAAGATTTGACCAAGCTATATATGAGAAAAAGTCCATTAACATAGATTTATAATTATTGTTTTATGTGCTTGTGTTTTCAATCATATAAGAATGAAAAGGAATTTCAATGAAAAATGCAATGGTACTGACATTTATACATACCTCTGCATCTATTCTGTTAATACCTTTGTCATTGCTTTTATTTCTTCATAAGGGTTTGAGTTACTCTCTGGTGTTCTTTCATTTCAGTCTGAAGGACTCTTTTTAGCATTTCTTGTAGGACAATCTACTAGTGATGATCTGTTTAAACTCTTGTTTACTGAAAATGTCATGATTTCTCTTTACCTTTTAAATACTACTCTTGTTGAATATAGAATTCTTTGACAGGTTTTTTTTTCCTTTCATGGTTTTGAATATATAATCTTAATGCTTTCTAGTCTCCATGAGTTTTAATAAGAAATTAATATCACTAAAGATCCCTTGTACATGGTGAATTACTTCTCTCTTCCTGCTTTCAGGAGTCCCTTTTATGTTTTCGGCTTTCAGTATAATGTATCTTGGTGTGGAACTATTGAGTTTATCCTTTTTGAAGTTCACTGAATATTTTGGATCCAAAGATTCCTCTTTTTTACCATATTTATGAAGATTTTGGCCTTTATTTCTTCAAATATTCTTTCTATCATCTTTTTCTAAGAATTCTGTTAGGCATAAGTTGGTATACTTAATGGTATACCAGAAATCCCTTAGACTCTGTTCATTTTTCTTCATTGTTTTTCTTTCTGCATCTCATACTGGATACTTTCAATTGACTTGTGCTCCTGTTCACTGATTTTTTCTCCTGCCTGCTCAAATCTGGTATTGAAACTCTCTAGTAAAATTGTTGTTTCACTCGTTTTCAGCTTGACTTTTTGTTTCCTTTTAAAATTTTTTGTCTTTATTGATACTCTTTATTTGGTGAAACATCATTTTCCTGATTTTGTTTAGTTCTTTGTTTATGGTTTCTTGTAGCTGTTTGAGCATACTTAAGGAAGTCGACTTAAAGTCTTTGTGTAGTAAATCCAATATCTGGGCTTCCTCAACAGTAATTTCTGTTAATTTTATTTCCTATGAATGGTCTACAGTTTCTTATTTTATTGCATGCCTCATTTATTTTGGTTGTTGTTGTTGTTGAAAACTGGACATGTTGAATATTATAATGTGGTAACTGTTGAAATCCAATTATCTCCCCTCTCCCCAGGGTTTGTTTTTGCTTCTTGTTATAGATTGTGGTTATCTGCTTGCTTAGTAATTTTTATAAACTATTTTGGAAATACTATTCTTTGCTGTGCGTGGCAACTGAAATCTTTGTTCAATTAACTTAGTGGTTCAGGTAGTGATTACACAGAAATTTCTTTAAATGCCTGGATCCAAAAAAAAAAAAAAAAAGACAAACAAAAAAGAAGGAAGGAAAGAAAGAAAAAATAAAACAGAAAGAAAGAAGAAAAACATTTTCTTGTCATTGCAGAATGTCTTAGCTTTCTCTTCCTGCTTAGACATAGTCTAGAAGTCAGCCAGAGGTAAAACCTTTGGGTTTTCTCATTTTTTTAAAGTATGCATCATCTTAAGCATGAACACAGCATTCTAGATTCCTCCTACAAACTGAATATTTTTGGCCAGCCAAATTTTATATGTTGAACTCTTAACCTGCAATGTGCTGGTATTAGGAGGTAGTGTCTTTGGGAGGTAATTAGGTCTTGAGGGTGGAGGCGCTATAGATAGTATTAGAGTCCTTATAGAGAGCTTGCTTCATCATCTCTGTCTGCTCTCTGCTATGTTAGGGCAAAATGAGAGGATGGCTATCTGCAAACTAGAAGGTGGACCCTCACCAGACATCAGGTCTGCATTGATATTGGACTTTACAGCCTTCATCACTGTGAGAAAGAAATTCTGTTGTTTAGGCCACTCAGTCTATGTTATTCTGTTATAACAGCCTGAACTCACTAAGACAATTCCCCCCTATATGTGGAAGTTTTTGAAAGCTTTTACTTCTGTGTATTTCCTCAGCCTCTTTCTTTCTAGGGATTTGGTTTATCCTTTGCTTTTCCAACAGTTGTCCCTTTCTCCATGAGGCTGTAGTTAGTATGTTTTTAAATACCTTTGACAGACACAATTCAGGAATCCGCTCTATTCCTAAGAAACTTTTAAGAGGGATGAAACAAAGGCAAGCCCCTGAACCTATCTCCCAGGGAGCTCCTGACAGGTAAATCAACAATTCTTTAACTGAGATCATGGTCTATAGTGCACTTCACACCATTAGTAAGATGCACCAGGAACGTGGACCGCCATCCTCATATTAGTCTCCAAAACACCACAACTCTGTTTTACAAAACTTTAACAGCTTCTTTATCTGTTAAGCACTTTTATAATGATTGTAATTTTTTATTAGATTTCAGAATTTCAACAAAATTGAGTCTGACAGTTTTATTCCTCTTAAACATTGCGTAAGTTGAGTTTTCTACTCTGCTATTTTCAGATATGTCACTCTGAATGATCTTTTTTAGAGATACTTCAGGAAATCTTCATTAAATTGGATGGATGAATTAAAACACGTTGCAATTCCAAATGGCAGCAACTTTGGAAGGAAAGAACCAAAGAGTGGAGGATGTTTGGGGTCAAGAACCTGGTAAGGCAACTCTGTATAAAGAGTAAAAATGCACAGTGATGAAATACCTCATGTTATGGGCTGAATTGTGCCCTCACCTCTAAAAAATGTATACATTGAAGTCCTATTCCCCAGTCCTCAGAATGTGACTATATTTGGAGTAGGATCTTTAAAGAGGCAATTAAGGTAAAATGAGTTCATATGGGTGGGCATACATCCAGTATAACTGGCATCATAATAAGAAAAGACGATTAGGACAAAGATTCGCACAGAGGAAAAACCATGTGAAAACAGAGAGAAGTCAGTCATGTACAAGGAAAGGAGAAAGGCCCTTTGAAAAACCAATCTTGCTAACACTTTAATCTTGAACTTCAGAATGTGACATAATGCCTCCCTGTTGTTTAAGCCACCCAGTCTATGGCATTTTGTTATGGAAGTCCTGAGAGAGGAATATACTCATCAAGCCGAATTGTTCCAAAGACATGGACTTAACCCACGTTTATCTTTGTTAATCCTTTAAGAACACTATCTAAACAATAGTAAAAGAGCATGTGGGAAGGACTGTAAGGGCAAAGAAAATGTGAGAGTAGGAAGGCAATTTCAGAAGGTATAAGGCAAATGAAGGAAGCCACATTTTAAGCTGGCAATTAAGAAAGCCCAGAAGCAAACACATTTACATTGCATAAATCTAAGAGATCCAGGGATTAGTGCTTCCAGGTGTGTCTAAAAAGGGGTAAAGATGGGACTATAAACAGGAGTGATTGTTCCTATATTTGAAAAGCATTTAGATATACATACTTTATCACACTTCCTGGATCCTGGTTACTTTTTTTCTCCCCAACCCTAGAATGTGGTTTGTTTTCTATAGAAGTAAAGCACAGTCTTGTACCTGGGGGACATAAGACACAGTTGAATAATATACAGATATCAGAGAGCTAGCTGAAGATTTAACAATGGTGGGACTTTTCACTTTTCTTTCTCTTGGACTATTAGCTATTAACCCAGACCAAGCCTTCAAGAAGATTTTAAGAGGCTTCCTGGGAATCTGAGCAACTCAACAGAAAAGAGCTAAAGTTTTTGACAATGGAGGATCCCCACAAAATGACCCAGTCAGATTATAATTTCAATCAGATTTCCTCATCTGAACCATGGTCTCCAGAAAATGAGTTTGGTGACCATTTTCTAAATTTCCCCATGGCGCGTTAGTGTATTATCAGTAATAATATTATTAGTGTATTGCTCATACAGTATATTCTAGTTTCATAGAAGAGAAATTAATTCATTATGTAGATAGACTCCTGAGGGAATTAGGAATTAATTTTCATAGAACATCTAGTTGAGAAGGCAGAGCAAGACCATGGTCAGACCAAACACCACACAACTTCCGTTCTGTTTTTTGGTGCCCTGATTTTAAACAGCAATCACCAGGAATCACCAGTCCTGAGAAATGCATTCAATATGAAATGAAGACAAAACCAACTGGTAAAAACTTAGTAACTTAGAGAAAACTGAAACTATGACTCCTTTCAGGGCAAAGAAAACATTTAAAAAATGAAGTTATTATCACCAGAGAAAATTTGTTTAAATGCTGTATTCATGAAACAGTGGTAGGTTGTTCTTAAAAGAAACTTTTAGAGAATTAAATAAAGCTTTGGAAATTAAAAACAAGATGGCAGAAATAAAAAACTTAAAAAAAGATTAATAAGAAGAAGCAGCTAAGTAATTAGAACAAAAAGTCAAAGTAGAAAATAGGAGGTGAGGATTAGAAAAGTACAGGAGGAATAGAGATTTCTCAACATCTGAATAACAGGAGCTTCAGAAAGAGAGACTGGAAAAACAGAGGCAAGGAAATCATCCGAGGAATAAATCAAGAGGTATTTTCAGAACTGAATAATAAGAATTTTCACAGGGCCCACCATGCACCCAGAAAAACAGATGAAAATACAGCCATAGGCTTTCCACAATATACATCATCTGAGATTTCAGGATTGATGGCAGAGAAGATAGGATAAGCTTCCATGCAGAAAAAAGTGGACTTCCAAAATTGGTACAAAAATCAAAATGTCATTGCTTCCTCATCAATAACATTGGAAGTTAAAATAAAGTGAAAAATGTATTTGACATTTTCAGAAGTTGATTTTCACCCTTGAATTTGATATTCAGGCAAATTATCAATTAAGTATGAGTATAGAGTAAAGACACTATCAGAAATCTAATTTCTGAACAATGTTACTCGTCACATCTCAGGAAGCTATCAGAGTATGGCCCTAAACCAAAATACCAGAATTGAAAATTTAAGAGTAGAAATATTAACATATTTTGAGGCTATAAAAGAAGCTATAAAAATAATATATTAAGAGTTAAAACTGAGTATCTCTGAGAACTAAAAATAATTGTTTTCAACGTTCTTTATTGAACTGTTCTACAATTTCAATTATATGCAAGTATAATTTTAATAAAAATAAAACTAATTTTACAAGTGGGTACGATAATGTAATTAAGATACCTTGCACATATTACTATATCTATAACTTCTACATTTTACCCAATTGTCCAAGTATTAATTAGGTGGAACCTTGAACAAGTCATTGTCCTTGCTAGGTTTGAGTTTACTAACTCAAGAAAAAAGTATTGACCTACATTACAATCCTTTTAAAAACCCCAGGAATTTATTAATCTACTTAATATTTACTAAGACTTCAGTGGAAAGTTATATGGATACTGTCTTTAAATATTGTTAAATTTTTACCCCCGATTTTAACTCTTTATCATAAGACTGATAATTTGGCAAGCAAATATAGCAAGCAGAATCTAAAATATATTTTCAACTTGTTATTTGATCAAGTGGAGTATTGAGAAAAATGTAACTTTCACATCTTCTCGCAATCTATAAAAGGTCAACATTACTACCTTTTCTTTCTCTTAGTAGTAGGAAGTACCCCAACTTTGTAGAAAGGGTATGGCCAAGGCTATCAACACAAAAGCATTCTCTCAAAATTTAGAAACTGAATACCATTTAAGAAGCTTGGCAATTTCACATCCATAAATCTGTTTCACAGTGCCTGGTCCACAGTGGACTTTCAGTGAATGCTAGTTTATAGAATCATAAAACCATGGCATGTAGTTTGGAGACATTTAGAAAGAAAGAAACTTCCGGAGAGCCATGGCTTCCATACTCTACTACCCAACTGAAAAAATGCTATTCCTAAAAAAGCATGTGCCTCTGCTTTAGTGTCCTTTGCCTATGGCCCCTCCCTCTCCCTCCCAGCCCTTCACTTCTCTGAACTGGTTCTTTGTCCTTGCAAGCAAATCAAAGGGAAATTGAAATTGATCTCAGGGATGATGGCTGGCTAGAGTTAGAAACAGGAGATCCTGTGAGTTCGGATAGTTTCTATGACCCCTCCTTCCCATCCACCGCGCCCCCCACCCCGCACACCCCACACCCAATTCAATTAATTTCAAGTTGAAACAGATTTATTTATACTTATATTTTCCAGAATATTCTTCTGAAATTTTCTTGATTTAGGCTAATTTCTAAGTGCTTTCCTCCTTTTTATTTTAAAAGAAACTTGAGACCCTGGTCTCTATTAAAAAGGAAGAAAGCATCATTGATGTCCATCTTCCCTCCAGCTACCCTGAATTTGAGCAGACTGCATGACTCATCTTTCCTAGAAATACAACAATGAGATCATCATGTCTGTTTCCTTCCTACTCTGAGTACAGTTGAATTGGTTTCCTCTGTGTTCAGAGATAATTTTTTTTTCTGAAAAGCCCTTTGCTTGTTAATACACAAGAGTTTAATTATATATTTAGAACACAGCATGGAAGAAAATGAGCAGTGATTAATACATTCTGTTTTTTCTTCAGGCAGCTCAATCTCTACTTCCAAAACTAAAATTGTATAAATCATAGAAGGAGATACATCTGCATTTTATTTTAACACCTCCTGTGATAAAGAACTCACCACTTCCACAGGAAGTTAATTCTGCTTTTAACAATTTCTTTAGATAATTTTTGCTTGCAGGGACCTAAAATCTGATGGCTTCTGACTTCAGCTTTTTTAGCTCTATCCCTGAAATTTACAGCCAAGGAGAATATTTCTGGCCCTTTTCCAGGTGATATATCTTCAGATATTTGCAGACAATTATCATATCACATGATCTGACCTACATGAAGTGTAAATTTCTTAGAACATGGTCTGCTTCACTTTAGATATTTAGTTGTACTGCCAGATTAACAATCTTGCCTGAATTAACAAACAAATTCAAATAACTGATCTACATTTCTGTAAATGACTATTTCATCAAATTGAAAATTTACTACTGCAGTAAAGCCAAATATCTGGACAAATAAGTTTTGCCTGAATTGCATGGAGAGTTTGGGATTGTTGTTATATAAACAGTATCTAGACCATATATGTTACAAAACTATAAGCAATTCTATATTTTTATTGTTTTTACCTTTCTTCATAAAAAGTATTGTCTAAATCAAGTTATTGCATCAATCCATATACAATTCAAATATGAAATTCTCATTCATTGATTTTTATATTATTTGTACACAAACAGAATGTAACAAAATGTATGATACTTATTTCTGTATTTCCAAGATATTAGTATTCAAATATCGTTCTACCAGTACATTCTCAGATTCTCTTTGAAATTGAAGTTGAATAGAATGCCAGATTTATCTCAGGTGCAAAAATATGGTTGTCAAATAAACAAACAAAAAGAACTAACACAAAACAGAGAATTAAGAAAATATCTCAGTAGCCCAAATAGCATTCCAGTTATAGACATCCATACATGAGAAAGCATAAAATGAAATGGAGTTATTAGATATTCAATCTGGAAAGAACTTTATTATTTCTCATAAAAGCTTAGGGGCAACATTAAGTACATTTTCAAAAAAATCTTGAGAGCACAGACTCATAATTTTGAAGCTCAAATAAGACTTCAGAGGTATATAAAGAGCACTGGACTAAGAGTCAAGATACCTTGGCTCAAGGTACAACTTTGCTATTTATTAGCTGGTCCTTGACATGACCAGGTTAGCAAGGTAGAAAGATTACAAAGGTTGGCATGAAGAAGGTAGGCTTGTATGAGTGATGGTGGATGATAACAAATCTGGGGAAATGAAATGAACTACAGACAGGACACATGCGATGTGCTTCAGAGTATGCAGCTTTTCCAATCAAGGAAAGCTTCGTGCAGGAGGCCAAACAGAACCTGAACGCTGCAGTATGACCTCAGGGACTCACATCACTTTCTGAAATATCTAACAAAAATCGCATTTCTGCTGTTGCACTCTGAATTCCTAGAACTTGTGCGTGAACCATTTCACTGCATTCATTTTCCCCATGTTATTCTTTAACCAGCCTTCTTTCTTGATCACATTCCTAGATCTGAGATGTTTTCCTTTCAGTCTTTTCGGCATAAGACCTAATTACATAGCTAGTTGTCCAGTAATGTCTGGGAAGAGAAAAACCTTAAGTTTGTCATCTCTCAGTAGGACACCCCGGCTAAAGCCTTCTGGACACAGCAAGGATATTGTCTTCTCTCTCTTATAATCCTGTTGTATCTTCCACACATAGCATAATCAGCTATAAAGTTTTCCAATTCTTCAAAATAATTACTACCACATTTCTCAGAGATTTTCCAAGATTTCCTCAAAATTGGGAAAGTATTGATTCAGCTCAGTATTGATTCAGTCTAGTATTGATTCAGCTTCACTTATCACTTTCAGTGGATGGGTGGTCTTCACATGTACTGGACAGGTCCTCACTTAAATAAGATTTAGCAGCTACAAATCCAGTTACTGCATCAATCCACGTACGATTTATCTGTAGGTGAGCTCACAGTCCAAATGTGGACTGCCAGAAGTTGGGCAAAATGGAACTTGGTTCATTCTGCAGAGTGGACCACTGGGAATTGTACTGAGAATTACCAGAGCTGCATATCCTCTATTCACTCCTCCAGCTACAGTCTCTGCTTTCCATTGTGGCCCAGGAGACAAACTTACATTCTACATTATCAGCTTCTTTGATCTCTTGGCTTAGAGTAGCTTCAGCCAATCAGAGAACCTAGAGGGACACTGAACAAGGGAAAAGAGAAGTCTGAGGGTTTATCCACACAACCCCTGTCCGCCTCAGGCCCATGGCTTGAAAGTAGCTACATCTCTGCCAACACTCAGATTCTGTGGGGCACCCTTCTCTCAGGGCTCCAGCACTCCAGGGTTCTGTAATTTTGCTTCCTCCTCTCTCCCTTCCAGGCCTACAGGCAGTAGCTGCTCCCCGCTATTGCCAGGCTCTGGAGCTAGGGTGTAGCTGTGCCTCATCGGTTCCCTTCACTCTGCTCATACCTCCATTAACAAGCCATTCATAAACACCCTTTCTCATACCTTTGAACTCTATCTATAGATACCACAATGGTAAGAAAGACTGGTGAACATTTTGGAGGCAAACACACACCTGATGTTTCTGCAATTATGTTGGATTCAGAGCAAGAATACCTAGACTCTGTTTCTAGTTCTGTCACTTACCGGCTTTGTGATCTCAGCAAAGTTAATTATTAGGTTGGTGCAAAAGTAATTGTGTTTTTTTGTCATTTTTTTAATGGCAAAAACCGCAATTACTTTTGCACCAATGTAATATCCCAGAGACTCAGCTTTATCATCTGTAAAATGGGAGTAATAAACTCTCAGCTTCATTGTATGAGTTAAATTATATAAAAACTTAATATAGCTGTCACTTTTTCCTGAATTCATGTGTCCTTTGGTTTTTGATAACATTTTCCAAATAACAAAGTAATATGAAAGATGTTCCTACTCTTTATTAGTCTCAGCCGCTCTCCAAGTATCCTCTGGGTTTGCTTTTCACTTTCTTTTCTTTCCTCTAAACCCTAAAGAATCCTGTACGCAACAACACCGTATCCAAACCCTGACCTAGTGGGCTCGATGTCTGCGTTTGTGAGGACCACTCAGGCTGGTAACTGCCCACGCTGGTAAAAACAGGTTTCCACATACCCCACTTGCCTTGTGCCCACCAATAAATCCTTTATTTATACTCACTTTTCTAAAATGCAATTAGTTGACGTGGACTGAGTGCCTTTTTGACTTTAAGACTTGCCTACCTATTTTCAGAGCTTTTAGAGGACTGCCTCTTCGGGCTGTCTCCAGGTTGGGCTACCAAGGGCCATGCTTGTAAGATTGCCATCCTGACTGCACTAGATTTTTCCCTTCGTATTTATTTGGAGAAATTGAGGGAAGAATATTCTTATGACTTCTCTTCACACAAACAAGGCAAGTGAAAGTGTAAACTGCAATATATGCTGGAAGTTGTTTGATAAAAATTCCTTTTATGACAATCCAGTTGGATGGGATGAGAGCAGGCTTTTCATCGTGAGACTGACTTGAATTGCTTTGGGACCTGAGTATCCTCAACCATTTGGAGTTCTGTTTTTCTCATTTGTAAGATGAAAATAATAATGTGTACTTTGATGAGGAAGTCACCAATAAGAGAGGACTTTGGGAGCGATAAATAAGACAATGTATGAGAAAGTAAGCTGTACAGGGTCACCTGGTAAGCACTCAGGATGTGTTCTGTTAAGTTTAATTTTTTTCTTTTTTTTGAGGCGGAATTTCACTCTTGTTGCCCAGGCTGGAGTGCAATGGCACAATCTCGGCTCACCACAAACTCCACCCCCCTTGGGTTCACATGATTCTCCTGCCTCAGTCTCCCAGGTAGCTGGGATTACAGGCATGCACCACCACGCCTGACTAATTTTGTATTTTGAGTAGAGACAGGGTTTTTCCATGTTGTTCAGGCTGGTCTCAAACTCCCAACCTCAGGTGATCTGCCTGCCTCAGCCTCCCAAAGTGCTGAGATTACAGGCCTGAGCCACTGTGCATGGACTATATTTATTAAAAGTTCATTTTTAGCCCCTTTTCTATATTTGCACAATTTCAACCAGGTTTCTAACCAGACACTTGTTTCTTGGCAGTTTGATATGTTTACTATGCATGAATAGTGACAAAATATATAAAAATTATCAATTATTTAAAAATGAATGATTTATTCAGAATTCATGTGCAGCCAAATATGAGTTTAGATGGTTACTTCCCATTTAGTAAGCCAGGTGAAGCTGTAATGATAATGAGAGTAGCAATAGCTGTTGCTTATAGAGAGCTTCCTCAGTGTCAGACATTGTTGTAAATACCACCTATATTTAACTCACAGAAACTTCATAACAAAGCTATGATATAGCTATTATTACTCCCATGACCAGATGAGAACATTGAGGCCGTGGAGAATGACTTGTCCAAGTGTTTTAGGCTGAAAAAGGGGCTGCTCCACCCAAAGATGTTCACATCCTAATCCCTTGAACCTCTGAATACGTTACTTTACTTAGCAAAAGGGACTTTGCAGATACAATTAACTTAAGAAAATTGAGTTGGGCAGCTTGTTTTAGATTATCCAGGTGGGCCAAATATAATCACAAGAGTCCTTATAAAGAGGGAGGCAAGAAGGTCAGAGTCAGGACTGTGTGTAATGATGAAAGAGAGGTCAGAGCGATGTGGGAACATGAGCCAAGGAATGTGGGCAGTCTCTAGAAGTTGGAAAAAGCAAGGAAAAATAATCTCTGCTAGAGCCTCCTGAAGGAACTAAGTCCTGCTGGCACCTCAGTTTTTAGTAATTTGTTATAACAAAAATAGGAAACTAATAAATCAAGTGACTCACCTGAGTTCACTCAATTTGTTTAAGAGTGGGAATAGAGGGAGCTTGAATTCTTATCAAGACAATTTGATTCCAAAATCTTTACCTTTAACCACCATACACTATAATTCATTCTAAATTTGCTAGCTAATATTTAATTAATGTGAATAACAATGTTCATCTCACAAAGCATTTGTGATAATTAATTATTAAAAGTCCTGAAATGTGTTGTGGTAGACTGAAAAAAATGTGGCTGCGATATTTGTAGCTCATTCCATAAAGAGATGGCATCAGTTTCCTTGCCTCTGGAAGCCAGGCTATCTTGTGACTCACTCTGGCAATAGAATGGGGGTAAAAGTGATGTTGTGTGAATTCCTTGTGGCTTGTACACTTGTGTCTTGGAATGCCTTTGCCATCATATAAACAAGATCAGTCTAGTCTACTGGAGGATGAGAGGCCACGTTGGAGAGAACCAAGGAGACCCAGCCAATAGACAGAGCCAATCACCAGACCTGTAAATGAGACCGTTTTCAACATTTCTACCCCAGCTGAAATTCTACCTCAATGCAGACGCATGATTAAGCCCAGGCAAGTTGAGCAGAATGTTTTAGCCAACCCACAGAATCATGAGAAACAATAAATGGATTTTTGTTATTAGCCACTAACTTTTAGGGTGACTAGTTATAAAGCAATAGATATCTGATAAACGTATAAGGTGATTACAATATGATTTATTTTCCTCTTTTAAAGTAAGAAAATACTCAATTTCTTAAAAGCCAGTGAGCAAAAGAGCAGCAAACATTGGTTTGATGCTGACTTAAATTAATTCCTTCTCTTAACTTCAGGTCCTGGAAAATATGAATATGTTAAATATGTCTTCAAGGGTGTTAGAAATCTTACGTATTTAATTTTTTCAATAACCAGTCAGAATCTTCATTGTATGATAAGGAAATTGCGGCACAGAGAGATTGACTCACTTGTCTGAGGGCATAGAGCTAGAAAGAAGTTGAGACGGGTTTGTAACTTAGATCTGTCTGGCACAAAAGTACGTTTTTCCCCCTAAGCTCAGCTGAAAATGTTCTTAGCAGTCCCTACAGACATCATTTTGCTCTTGTAAATGTCTTCAACTAGTTTTCATCAGTGAGTGGAAAATAGCCAGGATATGATATTCTACAACATCTCCCTTAACATTCAAATCCACTGGTAACAGTTGCCAGGCAAAATGTCTTATGCTAAAATTACCTGTCTTATGAGAAGTTAAAATAGTTTTAAAGAGTCTTCTCCTCTCAACATGCCTTATATTGTTAACTTTACTCATTTTTTCCCTTTCTGAAATATAATGTGAAGAAAATTTATATCTTAAACAGAAAGCTCTGGTGTTTTAAATTGCAATTGGAGATTCAAAACAATTGGAGAAGGAAAGGTACAGTCAGTTGAGATCATCTGTTATCCTTGCAGAATCCATTTGGAAGCACACACAGAACATGGGGGAGAAAAATCCTTCTGGTTGTTTTCTGCCATTTTCCCTGTCTCTCGTTTTTGTCCTGTCACCATTTTCAATCAAACAGAGTATATGAGAACATTGGCCTTGATTCAGAAAAAGAATGGAAGAATGTCTAAAACATATGAACATCCCTTTCTCAGAAAGAGCTGTTCACAATCCACACAATATAATAAACTGAATTATTTTGCTATAGAATCATTTTTGAATAATTCTTTGTTTTTCTCTTAAAAGAGTACTTCCTATACACTAATTACAAAATAAAAATTAAAAGAGAGTAAATAAGGAAAAAATTAGTTATTGTATTAATTTGTTTTCACACTGCTGATAAAGACATACTGGAAACCAGGAAGAAAAAGAAAGTTAATTAGACTTACAGTTCCATATGGCTGGGGGGGTCCTCAGAATCATGGTGGGACATGAAAGGCACTTCTTACACGGTGGCGGCAAGAGAAAATGAGGAAGAAGCAAAGCAGAAACCCCAGATAAACCAATCAGATCTCATGAGACTTATTCACTATCATGAAAATAACACGGGAAAGGTTGGCCCCCATGATTCAATTACCTCCCCCTAGGTCCCACAACACATTGGAATTCTGGAAGATACAATTCAAGTCAAGATTTTGATGGAGACACAGCCAAACCATATCATTCTGCCCCGGCCCCTCCAAATCTCATGTCCTCACATTTCAAAACCAATCATGCCTTTCTGACAGTTCCCCAAAGTTTTAACTCATTTCAGCATTAACTCAAGAGTCCACAGTCCAAAGTCTCATCTGAGATAAGGCAAATCCCTTCTGCCTATGAGCCTGTAAATCAAAAACAAGCTAATTACTTCCTAGATACAATGGGGGTACAGGTATTGGGTAAATACAGTTGTTCCAAGTGGGAGAAATTGGCCAAAACAAACGGGTTACAGGCCTCATGCATGTCTGAAATCCAGCGGGGCAGTCAAGTTTTAAAGCTCCAAAATGATCTCCTTTGACTCCAGGTCTCACATCCAGGTCATGCTGATGCAAAAGATGGGTTCCCATGGTCTTAGGCAGCTCAACCCCTGTGGCTTTGTAGGGTACAGCCTCCCTCCCTGCTGCTTTCACAGGCTGGCATTGAGTGTCTGTGGCTTTTCCAGGCACATGGTGCAAGCTGTCAGTGGATCTACCATTCTGGGGTCTGGAGGATGGGGGCCAACTTCTCACAGCTCCATTAGGCAATGCCCCAGTAGGGACTCTGTGTGGGGGCTCTGATTCTGTATTTCCCTTCCACGCTGCCCTAGCAGAGGTTCTCCATGAGGGCCCCACCCCTGAAGAAAACTTTTGCCTGGGCATCCAGGCATCGGAGGTTCCCAAAGCTCAATTCTTGACTTTTGTGCATCGGCAGGCTCAACACCATGTAGAACCTGCCAAGCCTTGGGGGTCCACCCTCTGAAGCCACAGCCCAAATTCTACATTGGCCCCTTTCAGCCATGGCTAGAGCATCTGGGACACAGGGTACATGTCCCTAGGCTGCACACAACACAGGGACCCTGGGCCTAGCTCACAAAATCACTTTTTCCTCCAGGGCCTCTGAGCCTGTATGGGAGGGGCTGCTGTGAAGTTCTCTGACACGGCCTGGAGACCTTTTCCCCATGGTCTTGGGATTAACATTAGGCTCCTTGCTATTTATGCAAATTTCTGCAGCTGGCTTGAATTTCCTCTCAAAAATAATGGGATTTTCTTTTCTACTGCATCATCAGGCTGCAAAATTTCTGAACTTTTATGCTGTTTCCCTTTTAAAATTGAATGCCTTTAACAGCACCCAAGTCACCTCTTGAATGCTTTGCTGCTTAGAAATTTCTTCCACCACATATCCTAAATCATTTCTCTCAAGTTCAAAGTTCCACAAGTCTCTAAGGCAGGGACAAACTGCCACAGTCTTTTGGCTAAAACATAACAAGAGTCACCTTTGTTCCAATTCTCAATAGGTTCCTCATCTCCATCTGAGACCACCTCAGCCTGGATCTTATTGTTCATATCACTATCAGCATTTTTGTCAAAGCCATTCAACAAGTCTCTGGGAGGTTCGAAACTTTCACACATTTTCCTATCTTCTTCTGAGCCTTCAAAACTGTTCCAAGCTCTGCCTGTTAGCCAGTTCCAAAGTTGCTTCCACATTTTTGGGTATGTTTTCAGCAATACCTGACTCTACTGGTACCAATTTACTCATAGTCCAACATATAGAGCTGATTTTCCTTGATATGTTAATATATTTTATTTCAGCTTTTAATATAATCTGGACACCTTTTTTTCATTGAAGAGCTAATTTTGTATCTTTAATTTTTCTTATTATGACATAAGCTTTTCAAATTTATTATAAACTCTTTATAGAGGTCAATGCAGTTTATCATGTGGTGGTACATCTCCCCTCTGCTTGAGAACATTAAACGATATTGAGGGGGCTTTTGGTTGTAACAGTGATTGAGGGTCCACTGGCATTTAGCACCAGGAGCTCAGGAATGCTAAACTTCTTGCAATGTGCAAGACAGTCTTGAAATTTAAAACTAATTGCTCTACCCAAGTACATTAATATCTCAATTGAGAATACTGAATGTGGACTATTATTATGATTTTATAATGAATCCCTTGCTAGTGAGAAGGCTAAATGGCACAGCCACTTTGAAAACAGTTTGTCCTTGTCGCACTAAAGCTAAACATAGTTTTACCATACAATAAAGCAATTTCACTTCCAGGAATTTACTCAACTGATTGAAAAACTTACACTGACACACAAAACCTACATACGACGGTTTATAGCAGTTCTTTGATAATCATCAAAAACTGAAAACAACAAAGGTGTCCTTCAGTAGGAGAATAGATAAACAAATGCTTCATCTATACAACAGAATACTATTAACTTACAAAACGGAATAAACTATCAAGCCACATGAAGGCATAAAGGAATCTTAAATGCACATTGCTAAGTGAAGACACCAATCTGAAAAGACTACATAATTTATGATTCTATTCATATGACATTATGGAAAAGGAAAACTATAGGAACTATAAAAAGACCACCACAATTTTCAAGGGTTGATAGGTGAAGCAAAGAACTTCTTTTTTTTTTTTTTTTTTAGGTAGTGAACTATTGTTTACAGTAAGGTAATAGTAGATAAATAACACAATGCATTTGTAGAAACCTATTGAAATGATAGCATAGAGAGCAAACTTTAGTGCATGTCAACTAAAAAAAAAAAAAGAAAATGAAGGATTTAAGGATGGAATGCAAACTTTGACAAAATAACCCAACTGTAGTTTAAATGTATGAAATAACCACTCTGAAGAGGGTGAGAGAAATCTGTAAGACTAAAGGCAAAAAATAACTGTATAAAAGCTATGTATTCTAGTTGAAAAGTTGTTTCCCCCAGGAGTACAAGTTAACAATTCTGACACCATTGTACATTTATGCTGGAATTGAATAATTAAGTAAATGGATGGAAGACAGAGCAAGCCATGTTTCTCACTGCTTCAGGGAGAGGTTAAGACAAGCAGGAGGAGAATGTTAAGCTGATCTATGTGGTAATGGAGTAGAGTTGCCAACATCAGTAAGAACTCCTGTTTAGATAAATATAAATGGTTACATATAAAAATAAAGATATGTGTGTATACACAAGGGGTGAATATACACACATTTATGTTTTTGAATTGTCATGAAAGAGGACCTAGAAGTCATGACTCTCAGTAGCAATGAGGACACCTAGCATACAGATTTGGGTTTTTGATTTGATTCTCCAGTGAAAGAAACTATGGCTCCTTGGAGAAATGGCTGATTCCAGGACTTAGTCAAAAAATATACAGGATAAGCCTGGAGCATCTTGTAGCATCAGTAAATAAGAGAGTTCTCAGAAAAAAAAAAAAAGGACGGGGGAGAAGAAGAGCCCACAATATTGTGGGTATATATATTAAAAAAAAAAAAGTCAACTGAGGCCAGTTGTGATGGCTCAAGCCCGTAATCCCAGCACTGTGGGAGGCCGAGGCTGGTGGATCACTTGAGGCCAGAAGTTTGAGAACAGGCTGGCCAATATAGCAAAACCCTGTCTCTACTAAAAATAAAAATAATAAAAAAAACAGCTGGGCATGGTGGTGCATGCCTGCAATCCCAGCTACTTGGGAGCCTGAGGCAGGAGAATTGCTTGAGCCTGGGAGGCAGAGGTTGCAGTGAGCCAAGATTGCACCACTGCACTCCAGCCTGGGTGACAGGGCAATACTCTATCTCACAAAACAAAACAAAACAAAACAAAACACTAACTGAGAGAGCAACAATGGCCAAAACTCAATTTGAAAAACAAAATTAAATAGTTTGAATTATACACCAAATTGTCTCTCCTCTCTGATTCCCAAATGTATTTCTTTTTAATTTATTTTTTATATTTAACTTTTATATTTTAACATTTTTAAATCTTTATGTATATCAGTATGTACTTATGGATATATATTCATATAAGTACATATAAATAAATGATTGAATAAGCTTAAAAAACACAGAGAAGAGCGAGATTTTCCATGCAGAAAAGCCCCAAATAATTTATGTTGATCCTCTCCCTCAAGGTGGTAAAGCATAACTCCCTGCTCCTTAAGCCTGGACTTGTACTTAGTGACTTCATTTCCAACAGTACAGTATGGAAAAAAGAAAACAGAGTTACTTTAGTGAGGAATCTCGACCAACACTATTTCAGCTAAGTGAGCAAGGTCAACATCAAGAGTGAGCAGTCATGGTGACAGCAGGCATCGTTCATACGATATGATGAGAAGGACACTTTACCTTCATGGTCTTCCTCCCCAAATCACATAATGCAAGTCTAATAATGAGGAAAATATCAGGTAAATCCTAATTGAAGGACATTTTACAAAATAACCTGACGAGTACTGAAAACTTTCTAGGTTATCAAAAATCAGGAAATCTGAACAAACTTGGACTTAATGAATAATTATATATCCATTTTTAGCTCAAAATTGTGACTCGGGTACCATATGAGGATATGTCACTAATGGGGGAAATTGGTTGCGGGTCTATGGGAACTTTTAGTACTATTTTCATGATTTTTCTGTAAATCTAAAACGATTCTCTCTCTCTCTCTCTCTCTATATATATATATATACACATACATATACACATATATACATATATATGTATGTGTATATATATGTGTATGTGTGTATATATATATAAACTCAAGAAAGCAATATGACTTCTCTGGGTAGCATTTTGTAAATTTTGGACGATCCCTCTGTTGTTTACAATAATCGGTAAGACATTATTCAAATTTAATGGGCCAAAGACAGGATTGGGTTGCCAACTGTGAAACTACTAAACACACCCCATGCACTCAACCATTTGCCCATTCATGTAGGTAAAACAAACAAACAAAAAAACCCACTTATAATTATTTAGGAATAAAAACCCAACCTCATTTTACATATAAGTACAAAGTAATGTTTTCATGGTTTTAATATGCAATACATGAAGATACTTCTGTTCTGTACTGAAGGAAGATTGTAAATTATTTTTCTTGAAACTTTACTAAGACTTGCTGTGCTCTATTGGAAAAATCATGTAAACAAAGGCATCAGTGCAAATGAAATTTGAATATCTAATACAAAACAGAAGTCAGTTTGTGTTTGTCGCTATCACATATACAGTGATTCTATACTTATGCACAAATATCTAATACATTATATCTTTTAGGGTGGTTATTTTTCAGTATTCATGTCTTAAAACATCTATTATTTGTCATAACTGCCTGTTACTTTTTTTTATGTTACATGAAAAATTCTACTTACTTTTCGAAAACTTGTATATAAGTAGGTAGTATAACTTATCCATTATAATTCCAGATAACAAAGAAAGTATTCAACTATTTATTATAAAACGGATTTGGATCTGATTGCATTGAATACCACTAACTTCATATAATAAACTGAACTAGGGACAGAAACTTTAACAGAGACAACAAATCGTCTACCAAAACTGTCAACTACTGTTCTATAGTATGCAGTTGTTTCTGGGAAGTGCTTGCCCAGAATGGAACAATATTGTAAAATCCTTCCTGCTTCTAAGCAAGCTGATGTGACAGTTTTCAGCGCTGTAATATTGCAAAATGGGTAAGCCTTCCTCACCTCCCTGTGCCCTGGCTAGAAATCAGGAACTTCATAGACTTGGGCATGGATCAGTTACAAGTTAGAAAGAACCAAATCCCAGAATTAAGACGGTGAAGACTTTCTGACCACCAAGGTACATCTATGTTGGACTCTCCAGGAGGGAGAAATTAACTTCTATTTTGATAAGTCATTGCAATTTGGGGGATTTTGCTATAACAATAATCATTACCAAACTAACACACAGAATCCACGTTTATCACTGACTAAATTGAGAAAGCCACTTACTGGGTCTTCTTTTTTTTTTTTTTCTTAATCTTTAAAAGGAAGTAAAACATAATGAAAACCTTATGGGGCTATTGTGGGATTTAAGTAAGATCATACTTAGAAAAAAAGCACTTGCACTTAGTAAGCCTAACTTCAGTTGCCTGGGGCATTGCCCTTTTTATTCCAATTTGTATATTTATTTACCTGCAATTTAACTTCTAACATCCAATAATGAAACCTAGACCTCAATTTCATTTAACTAGACTAGGTTGTAACTAAGGCTCTGAAATGCGTCTGTCAAATCCCAAGATTGCCAGGTCATAGGGTCTCCTTTTTTGTTCTTTCTATTAAATGTGTCATTTGAAATATAGATAGCCATCACTTTCTCTCTGAATCAAGTCTCACAGAGTAGTGACTGTTGGATATTTTGCTTCACTTATTTATCAGAAAAATATATCATTTATTTTGTGACCAAAATGGTAATTGTTACTGATGTGCATCACATTTTCCCCAAACTGTGGAGAATTTACATCATTCATGCAGTGTAGAGGTAGAAAAGGTTCAAGGTTCAAATCCTGTGTAAAACTCTTGCATAAGCTCCCAAGGGGGCTTCCAGACTGCGTTTTTGCTCATGATGAAAATACAGGCATTTGTTTAAAAATTGTGTAGAAGCTATGAATATGGAAAAGATGAGGCTAATGCCAGTGCATGCGTCAGCCACTCCATGTTTTATTCAGAGCCATGGCTCACAGACCCAGAGACCTTGCGACACACCCTTGCCTGAAATGCCATGCTGCCTATGGGCAAGAGTCAGCAAGCACTTTCAAATAGAGTGCTTTGTTTTCAAATAATACCTATTTCAAAATTTCCCAGATGACCAATTTTGGAAGCAAACAAAGTTGCCAAAAGTTAAGAAGGAGTCTGTATAGCTGGTCAAAAATCTTCAAATTTTTCTGACTGATCACAATAAGTATTTTTCGGCACACTATGAAAACAACAATTGCACTTATTTACGTTAAAGACACAGGAAGCAAATAATTTGATTGCATATTAAGAATTTCTCAAGCACTTCAATTAATCATTTTCTCATCATCTTAACACTCTACAATGGTGCATTGTTTCCTACAGAAATGGCTTCAAATTATTTGGGGCAAAAAAAGTCTTTGAATAGTTCATCACAGTTTTGTAAGTCGTCTTCCTTTCTCCCTCTTCCCAACACATAATATGCGTATGTAGGCAAAATATATGACATTTCGGGTAGCTTATGAACTCTTAACATCAGCACATGGACTCTAGCATCGGATCCACTGGCCTTCAGGGTAAATGTCCACCTACCTGCTCAGCCTGCTTTCAAATTCTTTTATTTGCTCCTTACCTTCCCAAGCAGACCCTTCTCACTTTGCTCACCCTATGCCGCCTTCACCTCTAGGTGACCACACACCACATCAGTCTCTGAATACACTGACATGTTCATGCATCTGTGCCTTTGCACATCCCATTCTTGACCTGAAAAGGCCATCTTCTCACCATCATCTGATTCATTATTCTTCAATACATTACCTCAGATTCCTTTTCTTCCATAAAACCTAGTTTTCCATGTGCTTTTTCTTGCTACCTTCTCTGTGCCCTGATAGCACAGTCTGTGCACCTCTGTTCAAGCACTCATCACTCTATACCATATTCATTCTGGCTCCTTCCAGGCATGGAATGAATTCTATTAAAATCTGTATCTCTAACCTCCAACATAAAGTGTGTTATAAATAGAGATGATCAATGAAAGTCTGTAGAATGAATGAATGAATGAATGACGGAATGGCCTCTCTTACATTTTGAAGACAGAGAGGACTTAGGCTTAACTGTGAACAACTGAAACGAATAACAGATCCCAGTATCACCAGCAAAGCCTCGGTGTGCTTTACTGCAGAACAGCAAGTGCCAAGCTAATTTAATTGGGTTATTTCAGATCAAATAAAAGGCAAGGTCAAGAGAAGAGAACAGAAGCAAGCAAAGTGTCAATGTTAGATTAAAACATAGTGGCCAATAAAATCATCAGGTGAAAAATGAATGCCAATTTTCATGGTGTTCAACCAGTCTTTATGAGATGAAAACAAGCTGCAGGCACACTTTTTTTTTTTTTTAAGTAAAAACAAACCTAATAAGCAGAAGGACTGAGTTGAGCCCCTAGGGGAGGAGTGGGTTGCTGTTCTCATTGGGGTGTGGAAGCTGGGTAACAGCACATATTTTTTTACAGATCTCTCTTTCTCACTAACAGAAGAGTGAAAGAGAGGACGTTAGAATATAAAGACAGAGCAGGTTTCCACAGCTATATCCTGCCCTCCCCTTCATTAAGCCTCCAGCCCCTCCAGGCCTAGTATGAACCTATTATCTTTTAGCCCAGAGTTCCCATGTCAAATGCTGACGAAGAGGGTTGGCAAGCCATAAAGAGGAAATCAGGAGGCCGGAATTCCAATATGTGCTGTAACTTACCTGCTCGTGGAATGCTTGGTATGTTACACTTGCTATCCTCAATTTCTTTTTCAAGCTGGGCCATCATGTCTCTCTCACTGGACTGAAAGAGGGAGAAAACAGGAAACTGGGCACTCCTGGAGAGTGCCTCTTGCCTCCCAGGCAGAGGCTGAATTCTATTAATATTTGTATTTCTAACCTCTAACATAAAGTCTGGTATACGTAGAGACGATCATTGATAGTCTGTAGAATGTACATTTATTATATTGTATACTGCCGAGTCCATGTATGTACCCTTCATAAAAATAGGAGCTCTTTGAAGGCGGGAACCAATTTTTACTTAATTTTACTTTCTAAGAGCCTGGAATGTAATAGATAACAAACGCTCACTGAAATGAAAAAGGAGGTATTCGGTGAACACCCAGTATAAAAATACATTATTTACTATGATAGTTCCTGAAGATTACAAGAAACAAACATGGTTTATTGATGTATAAGAAGATTGGCATCTTCCTATGTAGACAAAGGAGGCTACCTGGAAGGCATTAGCAAGCAATATGATATGGCATATCAATAAGTCCTTGTCTTAGCACAGGCTGTTCTAAAAATATCATAAACTGGGTGTCTTAAACAACACAAATTTATTTCTTATAGTTCTGGAAGCTAGAAGGTTAAGGACAGGGTGCCAGCATTGTTAGGGTCCTGGTGAGTACCCCATTTCTGGTTTATAGACACCCATCCTGTGTATGCTTATATGACATAGAGAGGGATAGCTAGCTTTCTAGCATCTTCTTATAAGAGCACTAATCCCATTCATGATGATTTCAGTTTCATGGACTAATTATCTCCCAAAGACCCCACTTCCTAATATCCTCACATTGTGATGAGGGTTTCAACATATGAATTTCTGGAGAGAAGACACAAATATTCAGTCCATAGCAGTCCTAATGATTTAGAGCAGGAGATATTTGTTAAAGTATAATAATTGGGCAAAGTGGAATTTCAGTCCTTGGTTCATACATATCTTTTCAAATACCTTTTTAGGTAAATGAAAAATACCTTCCAATGACAAAATATTTCTGAATATATCAAATATGTTATTCTCCCACTTCATCAGGTAAATTGTATGAATGTGACTTTAATCCACTGGATGGAAGTTTTTTGAATTCCAGACACAAATACAGAAGCACAGTTACTAGTTTAATTGAAACATCTGTTTTCAACTTCCTGAAAGGAACAGAAGAGGTTGCCAATGTACATACATATTTGAAGCAGGGCTTGTATTGCACACATGGATACAATATGCATTTGTAAAAATTTTCCAAGTGGTCTAATATCCCATTCAGGAAAAAGATGATGGAAGAATATGATACAGGAAGATGAGTAAGTCCTGCAACCGCCTTTTAGGAATTCAAGTTTCTAAGAGAGAGCAGAGATCACTGCTTAATAGTCAGTGTAAACCAGCTGCTGGCCATGTGATCAAATGTTTACCTATGGGTAATGTTTTAACCCCATTTCTCAGAAAGGAACAAAAGTCTCTAGTTCAAGTGGAGGGATAAGTTTGGATATAAGTTTCCATAGTTCCAAATTCTGGCCTATTTTCTTTTACTAATTTGTTCAATGACTTTGACAAAGCACCTCATCATTTCATCATTCTGGGTCTCAGGTTTTTCATCTGCAAATTAAAAATTGCTAACAGGAACTGGGTCAAGGTCACTGGACTCTAGATCTCTTGAAATGATAATAGTCTTTAAATCAATAAGCAGGTAGCCAATCTCCAAAGAATTGAGAATGCAACCCACATTTCCTAAACAATACCCTAATTGTCTTAACAAGTTAATCACCTGGCACTTATTACAATCTCTACATTTTGGGTAGAGATTTATAGATGCAAGGACAGGGAAAAGCTAAACCTATTTTCTGACCTGAAGAAAATAAAGTAAAATGAAAGCATCCTAAGAATTTATGTTGGATCTTAACCCTGGTCATATTAATCCACTGAGCAATAGAACAGACCAAAAAGGATCTGAGCCTAGCAACTCACCTTGCCTCTCAGCATGCTATGTCATCCAGAACACTGTCAGAATTAAGTAGTTAATACAGGTAACTGTGATATGGTTTAGCTCTGTGTTCCCATCTAAATCTCACATCAATTTGTAATCCCCACACATTGAGGGTGAGACCTGGTGGGAGGTGATTGGATTATGGGGTCGGTTTTCACCATGTTGTTCTTGTGATAATGAGGGCGTTCTCAGGAGGTCTGATGGTTTTAAAAGTGGCAGTTTCCCCTGCTCTCTCTTTCTCTTCTGTCACCTTGTGAAGAAGGTGCCTGCTTCCCCTTCACCTTCCACTATGATTGTAAGTTTCCTGAGGCCTCCCCAGCCATGTTGAACTGTGAGTCAATTACATCTACTTTCTTTATAAATTATCCAGTCTCAGGTAGTATCTTTATAGCAATGTGAGAACAGACTATTACAACATGTTACGTAACTTATGTGAGTTTTAGTTTTCTTGTTTACATTAAAGGGAAAATAATGACTATTCTCCTGTTAAGTATTAAATAAAACCCGTAAGTGAAGGATCTAGCATAGTACCTACAGGGCATGGTAGATTAAAAATATAGTTGGTTTTACCATGCTACAGAATTGCCTTTGCAAAACAGTTCCTTTTAATGAAATGTGGCCTAATATCACTCTGCTTTCTAGACCTTTATAGCTGCCTTTTCTTGCTGTGCCTACTGTTAGCACCAGGTACTTAGGTTTGCTTGAAACTTCCTAGCCATATTTTGAAAACCAAAAATCGTATCCTTAACATGGGGTCCTGAGATCTATTTCTTTGTATTTTCATTCATCTCTGGCCCCGAGGCCACTCACTTACAGGCATCAGATTTTCTCTAAGCCCTCTGATGTTGTCCAGGGAAGGACACACTTCAGGAGAGACAAATGAGGCGAGAAAATGGCAAGATTTTTTCTGAAAGGTCATGGAAGAAAATGTACAGACCAGTCTGTGGCATGACTGACCCACTGAGGCGAGCAGAGGTGGCACCTGGGCCGCCACCTCGGAGGGAGGTAGATGCCCTGGGAGGGTATGGGGAGGTGGAGGTGGGGAAGAAAGAGTGGCAGTGGTCAGGCTTCATACTGCCCTTCAAAGCACTGGAAACCCACAGAGCAACCGGAAATAGATTCCTCCAAGATCTCTGTCTCTTCACAAACATTTTTGCCAAGCATTCAAAGGAACTAAAGGCTTGTGATCCAAATCAGAGACTTATGAACTCCCTTCAATTTCTGGTTGACCTTTGAAGGAAATTGACGCAAACATATTCTGAAAAACTCCAAAGTGCAGGAATAAAAAAGAGAGTGAAAGTTATGAGGAGGATGATTTCGACTCCACCTAACAGAAGTATCACACAGAGCTGTCTGCAATGGGCTAGGTACATTGAGGATCTATTTAGTACAATGTAATTACTCATCAGTTAAGCCCAGAAGTTGACAATCAAATTCAAATATCACATAAAAGGTGAAACAGATTTCTAATTGGTACTTGGCAACTTTGAGTTTCTAATGTTTTTGGCTTTTTTCTAAAATGAACATATAGTAGCCAAATAGGTATTAGGAGCCTTTATTCTTTCTTCTCACCCTCTTTCCGAGTGATATATATTTTCAGAGTTTCAGCAGCCCACAGATGTCTTACTCCTCTGTTGTCTCTGGAATTTAGACCTGCATATCCAATGCTTGTGGGGCATCTCCACAAGGGAGTCCCACAGGCACTGCAAACTACATATTCAAAATTAAAATGTGAAGAATTACTTAATGGGTACAGTACACATTATTTGGATAATGGTTACACTAAAGTCCAGACTTCATGACTATGTAATATATCTATGCCACAAAACTGTACTTCTCAAATTGACACAAATGAAAAAGACAGAGAGAGAAAGAGAGAGAGGAGAGAGACTAATGCTGAGAATGGCTACTACATTTCAATTCCCTTTTAGCAGAATCAAAGGAACCAAAGACTGTATTTCCCAGACTTCTTTAAAACGACCATCACAGATGTGAAAATAGTGCAAATTTGGTAGCATGGCGTTTCTAGAGATACACAGGAAAGGACATTTGTCTTTCTCCATTCTAAAGTTGTCCTCATGTACCTCAGCTTAGAGCCAGCTTCTTCTAGGAATTTTGCAAGAACCTAATTACCTTTATTAAATCCTGTTTTGTTTTAACTAGTGTGGATCCTTTTTTTTTCTTCAATTAAACCCTGACCAATGCAATATAAGATAATACTTCATACTACATCTAAATCCGCTTCTTTTAATGTCTTCCTTGCCTTGCTAAATGGTACCACCAAACACAGACATCCAGCCATACAGCTGGGATATTAACTTTCAAGAATCAAACCTGACTCCACCTTCCCTATGAAAACCTTTCCTTATTGATCTCGAGAAAGGATGTGACCATTCCTTGTGTGTGTGTGTGTGTGTGTGTGTGCCAGACTTGTATCACAGTGTTATAATTTTACTAATTTGTTCTCGTGTTCCTTTTTCCATTTTACTATAATGGAGTAGATGTATTAAATGTATTTATTAAATTCCTAAATTTATTAAAATATTAAGGCTCAAGGACATATTGTTTTTATAACCTGGGTTCATAGGACCCCTGAAGATCACTGTATATTTTTGTGCATACAATGTGTTTTTTTCTCAGAAGAAATAGTCCATACATTTCGCTGACTGTAGTTTGGTTGAACAAATAAAACAAATTTTAAGCATAAAAATGTAATTAATGCCGGGGTAATAGCAAGTCACATACTTCGAAGTTACCACAAAGAGGATACATTGACATGGAAAGGTTCTGATCACACAGATGTCCCTCATTACAGCATTGTTCATGGACTTGTTAAACATTTGTTTCCTGACACAGAAACTGAGCTGCGTGACGGCAAAGAGTGAGATACCCAGTTTCTTCTGAGTATCTGGCACAAGGTGTGGCAAATACTAAATGGTTTTGAAGGAATAAATGAACACATTCTCTGAAATACCACATGCATTCATCAATCAAGGTTTTCTTGAGAGTAATTACAAAATTTGAATTAAAAAACATCAATGTAATGCAAGTATACTTGTGGTGGGCAGCTTTAGAGATAGTTTTCAATAATCCCAACTTTCTACTGTTCACACTCTTGAGTGTGCACTGAACATCATGAGGAGAATAACTTGCTTTTAATGGCAAAGTGATGAAGTGTCACTTTTATGGTTAGGTTATAAAAGATCGTGCTTTTCTGGTGTCCTCCCTGGCTTCTCCCACATGCTGGTTGTGATAGGGAGGATGACATGACAAGGAACTGAGGGAAGCTTCTGTCCAATAGCCAGCAGGGAACTGAGGCCCTCAGGCTTATAGTCCTGAAGGAACCAAATCCTGCTAACAGCCACGGGGTGAGCTTGGAAGCAGGTCCTACCCCAAGTGAACCTTGAGATGACTGTGGGCCTGGCTGAGTCCTTGATTGCAGCCTTGTAAAGGAACCCAAAGCAGAGGACCTAGCTAAACCATTTCCAGATTTCTGACTTGCAGAGTCTATGCGATAATGTTTATTTTTTAAGCCACTGAACTTGGGAGTAATTTCTCCACTAGGTAACTAACACAGTGTTTCTATATTTTGCGCATAATTAAAAAATACAAATAAGAAAAAGAATATACAGGCAAATACTATTGCCATGATAGATTCTGTTTTTGCTCTGACATGCTAATCATACCATATAGATCCAGTGTTTGTGGAAGTGCATGTAATAGAAGCATGGCATAGTGGAAAGAATTGATTTTTTTTAGAATGAGTCTGTTTGACTTTTGGCAAATTTCCACATGAGTTCCTATGCCTATTCTGTCTTTCACAGCTCTAAGAATTGTGGGGGAACATGATGATAATTTTTGCATCCTAGATTTATTAAAATATTAAAGCTCAAGGAAATATTGTTTTTATAACCTGGGGTCATAGGACCCCTGAAAATCATTGCATATTTTTGTGCGTATGATGTGCTTTCCCTCTGAACAAATAGTTCATACATTTCACTAAATACTCAAGGTATATTTTAAAATATTGATTTATTCTAATCCTTTTATTTTATATGGAAAAACCAATTCTTAAGGAGAAACCATTTATATCCTACTATACAGCTAGTTAGTATCAGATATAAGGAAAGGTAAGTCTTCAAATTAGTTACTGCTCCTGCCATTTCCTTATGTTTTTGGTTTGCATGTTTTTTACACTCTCTCAACTTGTAAAGGTTAGAAGGCACACACAATATCATTAATGTTATCTAATTAATCTGGTAAATAATTTTTCATTCAACCACATGTTTATTGGATTCCTGTTATGTACCAGACACAATTCTAGGTGCTGAGAATACAACAGGAAACAAAACTCATTTCCTGTCCATGTATAGCTTAAATTACAGTGAGGGTAACTGTATTAGTTCATTTTCACACTGCTATAAAGAACTTCCCAAGACTGGGTAATTTATAAAGGAAAGAGGTTTAGTTGACTCACATTTCAGCATGACTGAGGAGGCCTAAGGAAACTTACAATCATGGTGGAAGGTGAAGGGGAAGAAAGGCACCTTCTTCACAAGGTGGCAGGAAGAAGTGCCGAGCAAAGAGGAAAGAGCCCCTTATAGAACCATCAGATATCATGAGAAGAAATATCACGAGAACAGCAAGGGGGAAACCACTCCCATGATTCAATTACTCCACCTGGTCTCTCCCTTGACATGTAGGAATTATGGGGACTGTGAAGATTGTAATTCAAAATGAGATTTGGGTGGGGACACAAAGTCTAACCCTATCATTAACAGAAACAGAAAAATTCATAAGCAAACAGATAATTTAACTTTAGATGATACTTTGTCATTTGTGTCATCTTAAATGTGGCTGCTCTTCTTCATGGGATAAGGGTTACCTTTTATTTCTCTGACTCTTGAAAAAAAGGAAAAGGCTTTATACCAGAAAGGCTCCCTGAAATCATGCTGTTCCTTTATTTACAGTGGAAATGCCCAGTGTCCACAGTGCCCTAAAGAGAGCAGAGAAATTAGCTTTGATAGGAAATGACATTTGGAATATGAGATTTAATCCAACAGAATACAATTATCTCTTTGAACAGTGACCAATAAAAATCAATTCCATTGTGATAATATTTTTATTTGCTCTATTTTAGGGTTGTCCTTAATCACTTGCTCAGACAAAAACAAGTCTCCTGAAAAACTAAAGATTCAAATGGGTAGGTATGGCCTTCTGAAAATTACCAAGAAAATAAAATTTTACAAGCTATCTACACCACTAAGGACGAATTACATCTGTTAATACCTGTTTAAAAATAGACTGTTTGAAACTGACTTTCTTTTTACGAAATAGTCATTGAAAGTCAAGAGAGATATAGTTTTACCAGGTAAGATTTTGAAATAAAAATGGTGACACATGAAAAATGGATTAAGGAGTTTAAAGAGTTTATGTGGCAAAAATGCAAATATTTAAATTTAAGAAAATTAAGATGAGGAGAAGACATTGTGATCAAGTAGTGTAGGAAATAAGAAATTAAGTCTATAGCTGGATACTAGATTTAAAACAATGTTAAATAAATACAAACCTCACTAATTTGTCTATGATATTAAAAAAAGGAATTATCTTTAATTTCAGTAGAAATAACATACCAATATGAATTACAGATAGTCTAATAAGATAAAAGGAAGAAATCTGATACACAGTGCTGGAGTAATTCCCTATTATATGGCATGGAATAAAGTAATAAATTATCACAGACAACACATTTTTTATCCCAAAATTCAGTTTCCAGTACTTGAAAAGACGTGGAGACAATATCCTTTAATAGGCAGAAGATGATAATAATGGCTTGGAAAAAAGAAAATATAATACAGGAGGCTGCAGAGAAGTCATGAATAAAACCCTCATGGGGAGTATCATAATCAAGTTGAACACAACTGGAAATTCAGATACAAAAGAAAATCTTTATAGTACTTTTTTATGTATATTCCTTATCATTGTGCCTTCTAAGTCCATCAAAAGAAATTTCAAATCTCTCTCATATTTGTGCTGTAAGAGCTAAAAATTCAAATTGATGAAGGTATATTACGTTGGTAACTTAAATGTCATAAGCAGCATCTCCATGAGTGATATGATACTCCAAAATAGTCAATAACTTCATGAGTATCCAGTGACAACTAAATAAAAATTTTTTCTAATACACATAGTTTAGTTTCTGAAAAATAGAATGTGTATTATAATTTTACAAAACACATTTTGTATTTATATCTAAAAAATGAATTAGGTCCTAGGCTATATACTTATAAATACATATTTCACTTACATTACTGCCTACCAGGATATCTTTGATATTTGACCTTTGTTCACTAAGTGAAATCCAAAAGCTCTCCTTTTCTCATTGTTTCAGGAAAATTTGTTATTTCAAGAAAATAATCAGAATCAGAATTTTAATAATTACCTTTTCAATAATAGTCTTTAGTACTGCATAAATAAAAATAAGTAAGATTGTTATTCCTAACTCCTTAAAATAATACAGAATTTTGCTTTTTTTTTTAAGACGGAGTCTCGCTCTGTCACCCAGGTGCAGTGGCGCGATCTCGGCTCACTGCAAGCTCTGCCTCTCAGGTTCACGCCATTCTCCTGCCTCAGCCTCCCGAGTAGCTGGGACTACAGGCGCCCACCACCACGCCCGGCTAATTTTTTTTGTATTCTTAGTAGAGACGGGGTTTCCCCGTGTTAGCCAGGATGGTCTCGACCTCCTGACCTCGTGATCAGCCCGCCTTGGCCTCTCAAATTGTTGGGATTGATTACAGGCATGAGCCACCACGCCCGGCCAGAATTTTGCTTTTTTTAAGTAAACTTTAGGAATAAAACTAATAACCACACTGATGATTTATTACAGAAATAGATACAGTTTATAAACATTATTTTACTTAAAAATTATTATTATTATTATTTAGAGACAAGGTCTCTCTCTGTTATCCAGGCTGGAGTGCAGGGCTGTGTTCATTGCTCACTGCAGCCTTAGACTTGGGCTCAAGACAGTCTACTTCCTCAGCCTTGTCAGTAGCTAGGAATATAAGCACATGTCACCATGTTCTGCTAATGTGTTTATTTTTTTGTAGAGATGAGGTCTCACTATGTTGCCCAGGCTGCTCTCAAACTCCTGGCCTCAAGTGATCCTCTTGCCTTGGCCTCCCAAAGTGCAGGATTATAGGCACAAACCACTGTATGTGGCCATGACTTTTTTTAATTGACAAATAAAAATTATTGAATATATTTATGGTGCATAACATGATGTTTTGAAATATGTATACATTGTAGAATGTCTAATTCAACCTGATTAACTTGGTATACTTGCATTATCTCCCATACTTATCATTTTTGTGTGTTGAGAACACTTAAAATCTACTCTCAGCAGTTCTCAAGTATACAATAAATTAACTATAGTTACCATGTTGAACTTTTCCCTCCTAACTGGAACTTTATAATACTCATGAGCCTGGTTTTTTGTTTCTCTTCCCTTTGTTGCAATGTCACACTTGCTTTTGGTTAGAGGATACAAATGTCTTCTCCTCATCATTGTGACAAGGGGAATTAAAAAAAAAATTCAGAAAACACTCCATTTATTATTATTTTTTAATCCTCTAGGGGGCAGAAATAATCAAAGGAGAAGTGCTGCTCAGCAGAATCACATCGAATGAAATCATAATTCTCATGGCTTCTATTAACATGTAAATAAATAATTCTTAAATCTAGAGCTCCAGCTCACATTATATTGCTGGACTTGTGACTCATAAATCTTATTAAATACAGGTATGTGTTATTTCATTTCACTCCACCTTATTGCAATTCACAGATATTGTGTGTTTTACAGATTTAAGGTTTGTGGCAACCCTGTGTTGAGTAAGTCTATTGGAATCATTTTTCAAAGAGCATGTGCTCACTGTATGTCCTCTTTGTACATTTGGATAATTCCCTCAATATTTCAGATTTTATTATTATTAATATCTCCTGTGATCTGTAATAAATGATCTTTGATATTACTATTATAATTGTTTTTGGGCACCAGGAAGCATGTCCATATAAAATATCAAATATAATTAATAAACATTGTATGTGTTCTGACTGCTCCATTGACCAGCTGTTTCCCATCTCTCTCCCTCTCCTCTGGCCTCCCTATTCCCTGAGACACAACAATATTGATATTAGGCCAATTAATAAGCCTGCAATGGCCTTTAAATGTTTAAGTGAAAGGAAGAGCCAAAAATCTCTCACTTTAAATCAAAAGCTAGAAATGATTAAGCTTGGTGAGGTAGGCATGTTAAATGCTGAAATAAGTCAAAAGCTAGGCCTCTTGTGCCAAACCATTAGCCAAGTTGTGAATGCATAGGAAAAGTTTTTGAAGGAAAATAAAAGTGTTACCTACACAAATGAAAAGAAAGCCAAAAAGGCTGTTGCCTTATTGCTGATAGGACAAACATTTTAGTGGTCTGGATGGAATATCAAAGCAGCCACAACATTCCCTTAAGTCAAAGCCTAATCCACAGCAAGACCTTAGTTATTTTCAATTCCATGAAGGCTGAGAGAGGTGAAGCAGCTGCAGAAGACAAGTTAGAAGCTAGCAGAAGTTGGTTCATGATGTTTAAGGAAAGAAATCATCTTCATAACATAAGAGTGCAAGGTGAAGTAGCAAGTGCTAATGTAGAAGCTGCAGCAAGTTATCCAGAAGATCTAGCTAAGATCATTGATGAAGGTGGCTACACTAAACAACAGATTGTCGGTGTAGACGAAACAGCCTTCTGTTGTATAAATATGCCATCTAGGACTTTCATAGCTAGAGAGGAAATGTCAGTGCCTGGCTTCAGAGTCCCAAAGGACAGGCTGACTCTCTTGTTAGTAGCTAATGTAGCTGATGACTTTAAGTTGAAGGCAGTGCTCATTTACCATACAAAAATTTCTACTGCCCTTAAGAATTATGCTAACTCTCTTCTGCCTGTGCTCTATAAATAGAACAACAAAGTCTGGATGACAGCACATTTGTTTACAACATGATTTGCTCAATATTTTAAGACCACTGTTGAGACCTATTACTAAAAAAATTTCAAAAATATTCCTGCTCATTTACAAAGCACCCAGTCACCCAAGAACTCTGATGGAGATGGATAAGGAGACGAATATTGTTTTCATGCCTGTTAACACAACATCCATTCTGTAGCCCATAGATTAACAAGACATTTCAACTTTCAAGTCTTATTATTTAGGAAATATATTCATAGTGCTTTAGCTCCAATAGATAGTGTTTTCTGTAAAGAATATGGGAAAAGTAAATTGAAAACCTTCTGGAAAGGATTCACCATTCTAGAAGCCATTAGGAACATTTGTGATTAACGGGGATGACGGGGGTCAAAATATCAATATTAACAGGAGTTCGGAAGAAGTTTATTTCAAACCTCATGGATGACTTTGAGGTGTTCAAGTTTTCACTGGAGGAAGTCACTGCAGATGTATAAATAGCAAGAAAACTAGAATTTGAAGTGGAGCCTGAAGATTTCACTGAATTGCTGCAATTTCCTGAGGAAACATAAATAGATGAAGGAGTTTCTTTTTATAGATGAGCAAAGAAAGTGGTTTCTTGAGGTAAAATCTACTCCTGGTGAAGATGCTGTGAAAATTATGAAATGACAAAAAAGGATTTATAATATTACATAAACTTAGTGGGTCCAGCAATGGCAGGTTTAGAGAGGCTTTATTCTACTTTTGAAAGAAATTTTACCATGGATACAATGACGTTAGACAAAACTGCATATTACATAGAAATCTTTCATGAAAAGAAGAGTCAATTGATGCAGCAAACTTCACTGTTTTATTTTAAGCATTTGCCACAGCCGCCCTGACCTTCAACAACCATCATCCTAAAAAGTCAGCAGCCATTAACATCAAGGCAAGACCCTCCACCAGCAACAAGACTACCACTGTCTGAAAGCTCAGATGATTGCAGGCATTTTTAGCAATAAAGTATTTTTAAATTAAGATATGTGAATTATTTTCAGACATAATGCTATTGCACACAGAAGAGTACAGTATAGCATAAACATAAATTCTATATATATGGGGAAACCAAAACAGAAATTTCTGTGACTTGCTTGATTGCAATCATCACTTTATATAGTAATCTTGGCCCAAATCCACAATTTTGAGGTATGCCTATATATGTCTATTTATTTCTAATCTATCTATTTATAAGTTCAATTAGGACCTCATATTCATTGTCTCAAACAAAACATTTTCTTCAGTTTGGCTAAAGTTTTGAGTGACCTGCTTCTCCTCTTTTGTTTCATACTTCAAAAAATGCCATCACCTTCCACCCAGTTCCCCAAACCAGCTCCCAAGAAATTTTATTTGATTTAACCCTCTTTCTTGTTTTAATTTTCCTTAACTTTGTTGAGGTATAATTGACAAATAAAAAGTGTACCTGTTTAAGGTGTACAATGTGATGTTTTGATATATGTATACATCGTGAAATAATCACCACAATCAAGCTAATTAGCATAACCAGAATCTCACACAGTTACATTTTGGTGATGAGAACACTTAGGATTTACCCACATAGGAAGTTTCAAGTGTACAATACGATATTGTTAGCTATAGTCACCATGCTGTAAGCAGAGTAGATGTCCATTTCTTGCTCTTTACATTTGATCAAGTCACTCAGTTTTATCAGTGTCATTTGAATGTACATTAACTAAATCTCTATCAAAACACCTCATTTCCCCCATTCACTTTTCCACTATTAAAGTTCAGGCTATTATTATTAATTCAAACCTTGGTCACTTTTAAAACCTCCAAGGTTATCACCATTCCTTCAGTTTTGTCCCTGCTGTCCCCACACAAACTGATTTTTTTCTTGTGGCCAGAATAATACTTTTTCTAAACACAAATGTACTGTTTAACTGTACCCCTCTTTTTTAGTAAAACATTGGTATCCAAATGCCTTTCAGATCAATTATATAACATGTACTCTATTCAGAGCTCTTGCACACACTGGTTGTTACCTTTCTATATGCATGCTCCTCATTTTTATTCCATTTTTTCCATGTTTCAACCAACCTGAACTTCTTTCAGTTCATCAGTTATGGCATGGTGTCTCAGTTCGAGTTTATCCAAAAGCAGACCTTGAGACAAGGGTTTACTTACATGTTGTCTTGGTCCATCCAGTTTCTTAAAACAAATTACCATGAACTGTTTAGCTTATAACCAACTGAACTTTACTTGTCACAGTTCTGGGAGCTGGGAAGTCCAACATCAATACACCAGCAGATTTGTTGTCTGGTGATGGCCCATTTTATGGTAAAAAAAAATACAGCAACTTCTCACTGTGTCCTCACATGGTAGATAGAATGGACAAGGGAGCTATCTGAAGCCTCTTTTATAAGGGCATTAATCTCACTTAAGGGGACTGATTATTTGCCCAAATCTTCACCTTCTAATACCATGACCTTGGGGTTTGAGGTTTCAGTATATAAATTTTGGGGGACAAAAACATTCAGACTATCACACATACATTTTAATAGGGAGTTGATGTCAGAAATCACCAGTGAGGTAATAGGAAAATAAGACAAAGAAGGAAAGCAGTCAGTAATGGATGGATTAGTGAACATGCTACCGCTGTTGGTTTTGAAAGCTTAACCTAACTGTGGAGCTCTGGGGTCCAGTGTAGAACACATGCATTTGAGTTGTCCAGTCTCAGAGGCAAGAGAGCCAGGATATCCATACACTAAATCCTGGGAGGGGGATTAGTTTCTTGGTATTTCCAGCCATTTGCACACAGGCGGAACAGATTCCAGCAACCAGAGATAGTCTCCAGGCAGAAAGATACAGGCTTAGATGCTTGAAAAAGTGTTTCAGGCTGTGGCAATTATAAGGACTTAGGGGATATTGATGGAGGATTCACATAGTCAGCTACGTAACATTTTCATGCCTCTGTGTCTTCCTAAGGCTATCCCATTTGCTTGGGTGCTATCTTGCCCGTGCCTTCGATACCCAACTAATTTCTTCTCATTCTTCCTTTGTTAGTTTGAACATAAATTATTCTTTATGCTTTCTTTGGCCTCCCAAATCTGTGCTAGTCACCTCTTCTGGTGACTAGCACAGATTTGGAAAAAAAAGGTATATACCCTTTTTTCCACTATCTTAGTTAGAATTTATTACACCAACAGGTTAGTGAAGAGAATGTGATAAGTAGATACACATAAAAATATTGTCATAGAGTTATTGGAAGTAGATGGGTTGTTCATGATTAGAAATATCCAAGAAAGCTCACTGGGAGGCACAATATTTAAATTGATCCTTGGGAATAAAAAGAAATAAACTTTTAACAAAGACACTGAGGTAGTTCAGGCTTATTGGTGAAATGGTAGACATAACAGTATGACTGGGATACAGATGTCATAACAAAATGTAGAGGGAGACCCAGTTCCTAATACCAGCATGATAATGTGAGCCTACAAGCCATGTCAGATTTGGGCCATGTAAATATTTGATGAGAGAAATTGATAAGTACAACAGCAAAACAATGACAAAGTCACATACATGCATACACAGCAAAGATACTATGTATCTTAATTGTCCTAAACATGCTAAGGAAATTGTAGGTGCAGAATTGACCTTTTTAGTTTATATGACTGCTTATTATTCTTCATCAGGCAAACTGTTGTGGTGTCCAAAGACTTAAAAGTGAAATGACTTTAAAGAGCAAAAAGGTTTTGTTCTATACAAATGCATTGCAAATCACTTATTGTAGATCTATATTAGCTCAACTGTTTTAGGCTTTCAGGAATCATAAAACATTAACACATAAAGATCTTATGGTCTCTGATTTATAAAATATATTTCATCATATACTTCTACACTGAATGTTTAATTATATTTATTATGAAAAGATATGACTTTTTTGTGTAATTAAAATCATTGTATGTGTATAGTAGAAATGTAATTATAACAATTATATTACATAAAGAGAAATATTATAAAAAAGAGACAATTAGGTATTTTGCTCAAACAAATTAAATTTCACAACTATATGTGATACATAATTACCAGTTACTCTTAAAAGCTTTTACTGACAGTGTGTGTCTCAAAATAGAATGCAGCCTAAAACTCTAGCCTAGATTGAAGTGTGGTTGTTTTAAGACTTAGAGAGGAAAGAACCAATAATAATGTTGACCTCTTGCCATGTAGTAGAATTAAGTAGAACACATGTGAGTCTCAGGATGTACCTCAGAGCTGAGAGAAATACAGGTTCATAAACACATGTGGGAAAGAAGTACTTCAGCAGAAGGCTGGATGGTGTCTGGGCAGTCAGGTGGATTCAGAGGATGGCTGGGCTTCCCTGGAAATTATCAGCATTTTCTTTGTAAGGGAGCTTGAAATTCTGGGTTTTATACTTAAGCTTACTGAGAAATAAGTTCCTGAAGATACATATTCAGAAAAAAATCAAGGAAGTAAAACTCACCTTCTACATTTGCTTTACTTTTAATGTAGAACCTGCAGATTATTATTGGATTCTTTTATTATTATTTTATTTGTTTATAATATTTGGTCTTAGATTATTAATTGATTTACTTTTATGAATTTATTTATAATAGTCTTGATTTTTCCAAGAAATATATAAAACAACTTAAATTATTAAGGCATATGAAAATTGGAAATAAGCAAGTTGTAGAAAGGGAAATTCAGAGGAAATTTAGCCAAAATAACTTCTCTAGAAGATCAGAAGTTGTTACTACAACCAAAGAGCGCTTTTAATCTTTGTACCCAGGAAGCTAAATCAGAAAAAGAACATTCAAAGCTGTGTGATCTTCAGCAATTTAGTCAAAGTCTTTAAGAACCATTTTTTTAAGTATGAAAATGGAGTTAATAAAACATCCGTACCATATCTGGTAGTTGTGAGGATAAAATGAGAGAATGTGTGAGTCTTGGCACGTTACATGGGAAATGCCAAAAGCTCAAATATTAGCCTATGTCTTCCTCCTTCTACTCTTTTTCCTTCCCTACTTCTTCTTGCTAATCCTCCTCTGCCTCTTTTTAGCCCATCTTCTTTTCCCTCTTCCCAACTTATTTTATTATTAAGAAAATTTAGTTTTCCTTGGGAGGCCGAGGTGGGTGGATCACGTGGTCAAGAGATTGAGACCATCCTGGCCAACATGGTGAAACCCCCCATCTCTACTAAAAATACAAAAATTAGCTGGGGGTGGTGGCACACACCTGTAGTCCCAGCTACTGGGGAGATTGAGGCAGGAGAATCACTTGAACTCAGGAAGTGGAGGTTGCAGTGAGCTGAGATCGTGCCACTGCACTCCAGCCTGGCGACAGAGCAAGACTCCATCTCAAAAATAATAATAATAATAATAATTATTATTATTATTATTTTCCAGCAAGAAATGAAAAGAAAAAATATTCATTGAGGAAATATTTTAAATCAATTACTATCTAGACACTAGAGATACACCAATAGTAAGTTATCTATTTTTATGGAGTTTATATTCTTCCTTACAACAAAAGTCATAATATTGTTTACAAAGGCTTTGTGAGGAATACATAAGTTAATGGATGTGCAGGGAACAGCACAATACCTGACTGTTGTTATCATTATTAATAACATAGACCTTATCATTATTATCAATATTACACTAGCATTAGTAATTGTAATAATAATAGTTGTAGTTATAGTTGAAGTGATCGCAGTTGTCATTATATTCATTGTAATAGTCATTGTCATCATTGTAGTGGTCTTTCTAATTTCAATGACACGAATATTATACCAGTGTACATTTCAGGAATGACTAAAGAGTTAATTGTAGACAAACTATTTCACACAACTCGGATAATGCTTAGACAGTAACTAACTCTAATGGAAAATTCCAAGTACTAAGCCACTGCCATATGATACTCTAGAGTTTTTACAAGTGGGCAACATTCGTGATCTAAATTCTGAAGACTTCCAACAAGAAGGACATATTGGTCACCAGAATGTGCGTGTGTGTTTGTGTGCATGCATGTGTGTGTGCATGTGTGTGTGTTTCATTGACTTTGTATAACCAAGGAAAAGGCAGCTTCCTTTACTCCTTGAAAACAGTGATAAGAAGTTGTTCTATGGGTGTTATTCCAATAACAGCTTATTTCTGATTATAATTATTTCTCTCTTTTACTGATGGCAAATTTATTTCCCACATAATGTTGATTCTCAATTTCCTTTTGTACATGATTCCCCCAAATTTAGCTGAGACTGGTTTCTTTGGAAATATTAGTGTCACCAGTTCCCCATGCTCTGTCAAAATGAAACAAAAACAAATTAAAATGACTACTGAACAAATATTCAATGTACTATATATGATATATATGTTATATATCCATTCCCATGATCCAAATGCCTCCCACCAGGCCCCACCTCCAGCACTGGGGATTATAATTCAACTTAAGATTTGGGTGGGGACAAATATTCAAACTATGTCAACCTCTGTTCCAGATTTTCTTCAAGGCAATTCTATGTCCTTATAAACACAAAGTCCTTTCTTAGACATAATTCTCATTTCTTTGCTTTTCGACCTCTTCCTATTCTTCTTCCAAACTTAATGGTGGCCACCTCAATGCTATCTGAAATGAGAGTTGGGAAGGCCATTGTGTGCATTAAAGGCTGCCCCCGATTGGAGTTATTTAGTTCAACTGCAAAGACTTACTGGACTCCAGTCACTAAAAATCTCTTTCAATCTTATGTGTTGCTATTTGGAGTCTGGTAGCAGCCTGCATTTTCAATGCTGTAGGACTCTGGACCTTTGGATTTTTTCCAGTTGTCTTGGATATCTACTTAAAAGTCAGGCAATACTTGCCTGAGCTCCCCTTTTTTTGTAATACTGTGCCAAATACAGTCAATAGAATTTGACAGTCACTGTGACTTTTTCCAACTACTTTCCCTGAGAGTTACAGAAATCAAGTAGTCTAAATTAAAGCAATTACTTACCAATGTTTGTCATAGAAAAACAAATATTTCCAGTCTTCTTGCCTAATATATATATATATGTGTGTGTGTATGTGTGTGTATATATATACACATACATACATATATATATATACACATACATACATACATATCTATACACATACATACATATATATATATCTGAGGCAGCCTTTAAACATATAAATAAATATATACGTGTATATATATGTTTGGCCAGAAGACTGCAGATATATATATATATACACACGCACACAATTGCCACCCACAAACCAATCACTAAGCCAAGGCCAAGGTGTCTATCTGTATAATAGTTGAGGGTAACATATGCTGCTGAAACAAATAAACCCCCAAACCTCAGTAGCTTAACATGATCAGTTTATTTTTCAGCCACCTAAAGTCCAATAAGTGATGGCTTTCTAATAGTAAACTAAAGACCTACCTAAGTATCTATTATTTATGTTTTCTACCATTCCCCAGCATAATAAAGTCCTATGAATCAGCCTGTGGGCAAAGGAGAGAGACAGGGGGTCTGTTTGTAGAAAGCTTTTATAACGCAGGCCTACAGGTTGTCCACATTACTTTTATCTACATTTTCATTGGTTAAATAAGTTACATGTGGTCATATGTAATTTCAAGGGAGGCTGGGAAATATCAAGTAGTGGCTTTTGGAACAAGAGGAAACATGTTTGTGGGACACCTAGGTGACCTCTGCCACATTTGTCAAAAAACAAACTAAAATGCTTAGTCTATTGAAGAAAAATAATTAGAACTTTTCAGTAAGTCTTTTAGTCTGACACAGCTCATTATTCTCCTCTGTGCCTGTCTAATCTCTCCTCTTAGAAAGGAACATACTGGATGAAATTCAGCTGGGAAACTTTGGGGCCCTGCCTGTCATGGTGGTGAGGAAATTCATGCAAAGGCTGAAGACTGCAGGACTCAGGGTGTTTTAGAACTATTACAAGAATTTTTTAAAATTAAAATTGGCTGGGTGAAGTGGTTCACACCTTTAATCGCAGCACTTTGGGAGGCCGAGGCGGGCAGATCACGAGATCCAGAGTTGGAGGCCAACC
This sequence comes from Homo sapiens, assembly GCF_000001405.40. NCBI lineage: Eukaryota > Metazoa > Chordata > Mammalia > Primates > Hominidae > Homo > Homo sapiens. The sequence goes on from NC_000002.12 coordinate 13,000,152, forward strand.
TGGCCCCAACATAGTAAAACCCTGTCTTTACTAAAAATACAAAAAAAAAAAAAAAATTAGCCAGGCACGGCGGCAGGTGCCTGTAATCCCAGCTACTCAGGAGGCTGAGGCGAGAGAATTGCTTGAACCTGGGAAGTGGAGATCTCACCACTGCACTCCAGCCAGAAGCCAGAGCTGGAGCTTTTAAAAAAAAAAAAAAAAAAGAAAAGAAAATCATGTTGCTTACCCTATTGAGAGATTAATCAAAAGTGGCTGGAAAGAGATATAAAAATAAATTTCAAAAGTCAGATTCTGAAGATATTTAAGATCAAAACAAGATGGTTAGGATGGAAGGAAAAGCAACGCTGGAAAGAGTGGCTGAGATATTTCCATGAAGTGAAAGTGTGTTTTCCTCAGAATTCTCTAGTTTCTGCTGGGGGTAGGATAAGAGTTAATGAGAGCTCTGAGATGACCAGGATAACACCAACAGAAAGTGACAGAGTTTTTCTGCTCTCTTTATAAACATGAAATAAATCCTCAAAATCTAAAAGGAGAAAACGTCCTCAAGTACTAACATTGCTTTTGCTGTCACATTTGTCCTGGCTTTGCAGAGGTTAAAAAGATTATTGCATAGCAGCTTCCAAGCATGGAAAAAGGAGGTAATCAAATTGGACCACAGCCCAGGGAAACTGTGAGGTCTTACTGAGCACTGCGTGCCAGTGGAAAGAAGCATTTTGAAAGGTAAACTGGTGGGGGCGATGGGGTTCAGATATTCTCTGAGACCGGGAACGTCACTGCTCTCCCCGGGAAGCTGCTTTAGGCACAGTGCTCCTGCCTGACTCGGGAAGACTGCTCTCCTGGCCTCCTGGAAGTCATATGGGAAACAGGTACGCCTCCTCATGTTGCATCTTTATTCTAAGCTCACCAGCCATCCGTATAAGATTTCAGAAATCCAGGCAGACCAGAGTCACTCCCTGAACATGGGCCATGAAACAGCATAAGGAGTGGAAAGAGACTGTGATGGGAATCAGAGGACCTTAACTGAAGTTCATGACAATCAGGTCTGGCCAGTGGCCAGTCGCTTGACCATACTGAGCTTCAGCTGTTCTGTCACTGAAATGGTTACAGGGGATTCCTCAATAGCAGGGATAGTGTTCTATCCCATGTGTCTTCATGCACAGTGTAAGTGCTTCGTAAAAGTCGATAGAATAAACAAAAAGAAAACAAAGCAAGTACATGACCATATACAACACATTTTCATCGATGCTTAAATTACAATGAAATTATTTATAAAAACTTTTAATAAAATTATGACATTCACATTCTTACTATAAGTCAGTAACTGATTAAACTTGTTTCTGAACAAGGCAGATTCCATGGAGGAAATATCTGTCTACTCGACTACTTATTCTTATGTAAGCCTTGTCTTCCTGTAGAATTACTTAAATCAGACTCACCAGCTCTAGCTGTGTGGCAGGAAACAGGTGCAAGCACTCTGAGTTGGATTCAGATCATCTAGGAATTGGAGCTTCTAGCTGAAGAGTAAATCTGTGTGCATGCTCTTGACACATCCTTCCCCATCTGACAAGTTTTCCTGTCTTCTTCGGTGAGCTTTGAGACAGACAACCAGTGATGGAGGAAGAGGAAGTGTGACAGGTTCCACCTCCCCTTATAATCTATAGCATATCAGGTTCACAGCCATATCACCCAACAACCTGTATAACTAAAATAACACATAGGCTCTGCTCCCAAATATTGGTGAGATAAATATACACACATGAATAAAAATATATATTAATTAGTAAAGAAATGCCAGGCAAAAGACAATGATGGCCTACAAATGTTTGGGACAAAATGTATGTGCTGTGTGTTTGGAGGCAGAGGAGAGTAGAAGACTGGGTTGTCAATAAATGCTTCTGAGATGCTTCAGACTTACTACAGGTATCGACTGATGCTTTGTGTTGGGAAAAATAATACTTGAAAATAATTCTGGGGGCCTTGAGCAGGTGAAAAAGCATAAATGAATGTATAGCACATGCAGGGTGTGGTTGGTCACCAGGTGAGAAATTACATAAGGAGAAGAGTTGTTGATGAGAAAGAGCAGATCAGGTGGGATCAGAATGTCATGTTTTTGTCAGTAATAGGTAGATAGTGATTGATGGCTTTTCAGCAGAGACATAGTATGATCACATTAATGTTTTAGAAAAATACTTTCAGTTACAGTGCTAGGAAAAGGATTGCACAGAGAAAGAATAGAAGTAGGAAATGAATATAGTTGTGGTATGTAACCTACCTAAGCTCTGGAATTTATTCTTGGACCAAAACATCCTTGGGATCCAAATGGCCAGGTCAAGAAACATGGTTAAAACATCCTTGTTCATGTTATGAAACAGCTGCTCAGCAATCCCAATGATGGACCAGAGTCATTGCTGGAAGGAGCCTCAGTGGTGATGTTTAGGAAATTTCTTTGCAAACGGTCTGTTTAGCAGTGACAAGGGGCATGATACCGTGAACAAGGATGGCTGTTTGCGAAGTTGTCTAAAAAGGTGACTTTCAGGGTCTGGGAAAAGTTCCTCTAACTCCGGAGTGAATCAGCTGGGTCATATGGTCATCTGCCAGACCACGCTGGTCTACTGTTGACACAGACAGGTGCACTCAGAGCTGACTAGAATATATGTGTTTTGCTGTAGTCCTTTGGTGGGTATATAAACACAGCTTGTGCCTGCCTCTTCCTTTGCTATTTCTCATACATGGTTTTGGCTCCAGGTATCTTTTGAATGAATAAACTGGGTCAAATGAAGGGTATATTGCTGCAATCTGTTAAAGAAAAGCAAATCCTAGTGCCAAGATCAGAAGAAAGTTCTCCTGGGGAGTGAGCCAATGTCACTGTCTTTGCTTGGAGAAATGTGGCCAATAATTATATCCAAGCAGTAAAATAGAACTTTTTTCCTTCCTCCAGCTGGCAGAGGGATTTGGACCACATCTGTTAAATATTTATCAGTAGCAGATACTAGTTTATCTTAGTTTTATTTTCTTGCAGAGATCACCAGGATTTTTATCTCATTAAGCTAGATGGTATCAGTGAGACCTCATTTCTTTTATGGAGACTGGTGTGAGTTGTAGACAGGAGCTAAAGAAAGACTAACCCCCGAGCAGATGCAATTGTGCATACAGCGAGGATACTACCACTTACTTGCTATTTCAACATTAATATTTTTCCTTAAGCCTCTGGGGTTTGAACTGAATATTGGTAGTTTTCTCCTAAGATTTTGAGAAGTTGACTTAAATGGAAAACTTCCTGGAATAATTTATGCTTTATGATATAAGGTCATGGTATTTGTAACTCTTTATAGTCATTGCTTTTGGTGAGAGAAATGTAGTAGTGAGCCAAGCTCAATGAGTTCAACATCATGCCTGAATTGTCTGATTTTGTTATAAATTAAACATAACCGGTATGGCTCCATGCTTGATTATTTAAAACCACCATACTTATCTAACTGATCACGCTTCAAAAACTCCACCTACTTGATTTCTGGCAAGAACATCACATGCAAAAGGAACAACATTTTTCCAATCTGTCCATCTAAATGATTCATCACATTAACTTTCATTGCTGCCAAGCTTTTCCCCAACTGGGAGAATTTACTAACATGGATATGCTGAGGCATGATGGCAAAGGAAAGACCACTGTACCAGAAAGTAGAAAGGCAAAATTGTTGTTGCAGTCCTATTAAACTCAGCCAGGCATCTCTTCTGAGCCTCAGTTTCTCTTCTCTATACAAGTAGGACAGTCACATCTGCTCCGAAGACTCCACCAGGCTCTTAGGAAGAAAAAATACATTGATGACAAACATGATGATATTGAAAACTACACTGACATTTGATAAGCACTTACTTCTTATTGCTATTGTGCTATAAACTGCAAACATTGATAATTTCAAGCTCTTAAGAAATGTATGAGGAAGGCAGCAAAAGGACTTGATCAAGTTCCCATATATGGAAAGGAGCTGCCAATTCCAGAGCTTTGATGAACACGGCTACTGTAACATGTGAATGGTTTTATAAACTCTACATACATAGAACAGTATAATTACACAGTTAGAAACCTAAACAACCTTATATATTATTTTGTTAGATACATGTTTGATAGCAATGCAATTAAATGTTGAGTGTCTATGTAATCCAAGTCCTTAATGAATCAATAACATGTCCAGAAAGGGTTGGGTTCAGGGAGGTAGCATTCAAGTACAGATTTTTTTTCTAAGCAAGGTGCAACAATTTGTTCAAGAATATTGGAAATCGCAATTTGATTCTACTTGTGTGAATAAATACAAAGGCATGTGGAGGAATTTAAACTGCAGAACCTCTAGTTATTATAATATATGCCCCAGACAACTCTATATTTCATCTGTAAAAATGGCAGCAATGATTCTTATTCTGCTGTATTGTTATGAAGGCCAGCACTTAAGAAAATGAAGTTATGTACAACAAGGTTGAAATTTCTGTCATACACATGTGGAAACAGAACCAGAGAAGTTGCTTAGGGACACAAAGTCGGTGGTAAAGCTGGGGTGCTAGTGCAGGTCTCCCCATAATTGATTTCCATGGCGATCAAGTCAGTTCAATCCAACAAACATTTATTTTGCCATTCTATGACTAGCACAGAACTTATTTCTGGGTTTAAAATAGTGAATGAGACCAAGCTGGACACAGACATTAAGCAAGTTAAAAACAAATTGCAGTTTGATGGGGGTGAAGAGGACTGAGAAGTTTTTAAACACTTTGACCACCATATCTCACATGTAAGGTATGAATAATAATAATGATAACAAAAACATCCAATTCACAGTGTTTGGGAGAAAGATCAGAAAGATAGAAAGTGCAAAAGAAATCATGAATTTCAAAGTCATTTCACCAGTTTTTAAATAGAGAATGTCCATTTCACCAGTTTTTAAGTAGAGAATGACGTTCATTTTCCTAGAACTCAACATTTTCTTTAGTTGCATATTTGTTGCATATAATTATATTAAAAACTGAAGGGAAAAACACACACATTGCCTGCATAGTCACGTGGTGGGTTCTGAGAGGAACCAGCAGGAAAATGAAATTATGACTCTAATAGAAGAACTGAAAGATGGATGACCTGATATATTCAGGGGTTATCTCTAGCAAAGATGGGAATCTCATTTGGGTAGTAATTAATTATAGGTGCCTCAACATTTTCATTTGTTATGATTAACTTAGTTTAGGTGATCAATCTTGCTTGTCAGCTCCAATAGATAGGTAGAATTTCCAGTCTGAGATGGAAATTATTTTGATATTAATCAATCTTTACTTGTTCTGAGATGACAGTTTTCCCCTGTTACCAAGTCCTGAAGCTCAATTAGCAGCCTGGACATTTTATGTATTTTCTACATTGGCAAAAGGAAAACCATGTATTATTTCATAAGAGTTGAACCTGTTGCAGAGACTAAAGTCAGTGTCTCTCTTCTTTGGCTATGCAAAACCAAACCAAACCAAACAAACAATAACAACAACCACACACACACACACACAAAACAAACAAGAAAAAACCCAACAACACAAAAACCAAACCAAAACAAAAAACTGCTAACATAGTCTCGGGCCTTCTCTTTACTGCTGGCATTTTCTTTCTTGCTCACGCCCTTCCAGAAACACTGGCTTCCCTGCCCTTCTCCAATACATCAGGCATATTCCTGTCTCCAGTTCTTTGCACTGGCCTTTTCTTCCTGCACATATCCTTTATGGCCGTGCAGCCTTTTCCCTTAAGTGCTTCCTGTCCTCCTTCCTGCCTCTGTTCCTCCTCCACAGCCCCGATCACTTTCCCGCATACTGTGGTATTTTATTTTATTTATTTATTTTTTTGGTTTATTGTAGGTCTGCTGCTATCAGCATATAAGTTTGTGAATTCTGGGGCCTCTATCTTTTCTGTTCTCTGCTGAACTTCCAGAGCTGGAACAGTGCCTGCCATGTAAAAGGCACTTCCTACGTAGCTTGTGAAAACATGAGTGAGTCTTCACAGTAACTATGCTTTAGCATGTCATTAAAAACAATTTCAGTGTTGTAAGAATTAAACCTCCTACGAACATTTCTGATATGCCGCATACCCATGACTTGCTAAAGACACAAATGAGCACTTAAATATGACTTCCAAGAGATTGTTATTCAATTCTTGGAAGTTTCATTTTCTTAAATTTTATCGAAAATACTGGGTTGAATTAAAAATTCATAATATTCCTAAAGAAAAGAAAATCTTTGCATTTCTGAGTCAAATACTTACCCTTTTAAATCAGAATTTAAAAAATAAAGTCAGTTTACTCATCAATCAATTGCACATCTCTTAGAGAATCTAAAAAGGCATTTTGCTATGTCAAGACTTGAAGAATGGGACCACATCTGTGTGCTCGAGATGCTTATAGTCCAGCTGCCTTGGAGCACCACTGAGCGTGAAGGAGGTGGTTTGTAGCTGGGAAGTCTGGTCTTAAATACGGTTGCTGCTACAAACTCGGTGAATAGTATTAGCCAGGTAACCTTTCCTCTCTAAGCCTCAGTATCTCTCCCTATTAAATAGAACTGGAGATAATGATAGATAGAAGAACTCTAAGTTCCCTTACAGCAGCAAAATGCTAGATTTTAAATCAAGAGATAATAAAACAAAACACATAGCTGGCTTTCAATAAATACTTCTTGGCTTGAAAAAAACGAAATTATTATCTCACTGTAGTGGGAACAGGCTCCTGCAGCTGGTGAAAGACAATCCTCCTTCTAGCTGCTGAAGTTGAGCAGGTCTGCTGTAACGAGGAACAGATAGCATCAAGATCATTTCCAGGACTATCCTGGATGGAAGATCTAGGGAGGGAGCAAACCCACCTAGTGCTAGAGGACAAACACACCCCGTTCTTGGGAGGAGACCTCAGAGGCGCTTTGTAATGTGGCTCTGGCGCCACCTGGTGATTATTCCTAGAATTTTTCCTGTAACTCCAAGGCTACCAGCGACAGACAAAACACCCTGCAAAGGATTTATCAATGCATTAAAGCTGTATGTAGTTCAGGGAATGGGAGCAGAATAAAGAGACTATTCTGTCATAAGAACCAGGACAGAATGAAGCTCCAGAATCCCGTATATTTACATTTAAAAATAATCATTCACACAGCAGCTGAGACTAATTCTGGCCAATGTAAAACCAAATGGACCCAGCTGTTCTCTGACTAGTTGAACAAGCTCAATCATTTCAATATCATTTTTATTGGTGATTTTAGTTCACACCAAAAAAAGTTGTACAACTCTTCAGGGTTGAAGCAGTGTTAGGCGCTGGCCGTGGAGACAGGGAGTCACACAGTCGCAAGGAGCTTGTATGCAGACGGGCTTTACACCCAGTAAGTTGAACACAAACCGGAGGACAGCATTTCTCATGTGGGAAGTACAGCGGGAATGTTACAGAAACGTGCCTGTGAAAGTTAACTAACTGTGGACCAAGCAGCATTGGGCATAGTCGAAAAATCAGAAATGGCTTGGCAGTGACTTTTTGCAAGTCTTCACATTTTGATGATCGAAAGTGAAGAAGCTCATTTACGGTGGAGGGAATTGGCATAAAAGAGCATGGAGGTCAGTTAGCTCAGGGTGTCCCCCACACATCTGGCTGGGTGTGCAGGATACAAGAGGCAGGGCTAGAAAGTTCAGGAGGGCTCAGGGCAACCTTAACCCTGAATGAAAAGGTTGGACTTTACTGCCTGCTGGGATGGGGGATGAAGTATTGGAAATTCATGAGGCAAAAACCATGTGAATTTATTGGAAGGAAAAGCTAAGATTTTTACAAAAAAAATCTGTGATCTTTAGATTTGACTCTAGTTAAACTCTGGGAATCTCTAGTTGGGAAGAATATTGATCACACTCACACTAATACTTTAACGTTATTTATTTATTTATTTATTTTGGTGGGCAAATATGCTTCAAATGTCATCAGTCCTCCTTGGGAGATATTTGGACATCAAAAGAATTATATATATATATGCTTAGTTAGGAGTAAGTCAAATTAAAGTGTAACATTTTTCATATTTGTGATTTTAAAAAATAACTCATGTGAGTTTAGTTTTAGAAGAATCAAAGAAATTACTTAGGTAAATAAAAATGCAGTGCTTGTACTGAGTAGGATTGTATGAAGTCTGTTCATCATCTTAAAAACAGGCAAGGAAGATTTTCAGCAGAATGAGATTTGCTCGGATATTAGAATGGACACATGAGAATTAAGAACAATGGTTCCATTCACAGATTTTAAAAAGCCTTCACGGATGACTGGATCAAAAAATCTTTGTCATTTTAGATTTTGTTAATCTTTGAACGTTAATAATTTTTAAATGTTCTGTGAAAAAGGATACACATTTTAAAAATGTATTTAATGTTTCATATTAACAAGTTATCTATGTTTCCCAAACTTGCTTTCAAAAAATAAAATTTTCTGGGGAACATTCTAGATCTCTTGAATGAGGACAGACTTTGCAGGTGAATTTTATGATCTAGCAATTTGGGAAAGCACACTGGAATTGCCTTCTTAAAATCCTCATCAAACAGCTGACAGTCATCCCCACAGATGAGTAAATGATGGTTCAGAGAGGCTGAGTGGCCTGAGGTCCCTGAACAAGGTACTAACCATTGGGATTCTAGTGTCTGTCTATCTGGGTGATTCCAAAGCCCAAACTCTGCCCAATATACGTGACTGCCCTGCAAATAAAGATGATCTGACAATTGGGCATCTGTAAACATCTCTCTATACACAGTTCGTTCCTTCCACAGTTCAAAAGTCAGCATCTATATTGGACCAGCGGGAGGTAGGGAAGTTCAAGAGGTGGGCCACTGGCTGTCCTCTTACAGGCAAGGCCAGGTCTTACAACATTTGAAGGCCCAGGGATGTGCATTGGTTTGTCTGGTTAGCTAGTGGATTACAATGGAAAACCTCCAGCCCCTAGACTTTGCTCACGACTCCCACAGCTGATCTTCAAAGAGCTACAGGAAGAAAGCACCAGCACTTCCACCTCTCAAATCAGAGCATGGATGAAGCAGGCTGATGCTCCCAAGCCGGCATGCCCATGCAAGCTGATTTCTTATGACTCACACAATAGAACTGCATGGTTGCCATTTAGCAATAGCACTTTTTCAAATAGGATATTCAGTTAATTCTGTTTTGGATTATATCACCCCTGAGAACTACAAGGAATTAACATATCTTTCAAAGATGAGAATAGAAATAAATTAGAATAGGAATGTGTTCTCCATTCTATAGCAACGTAGAATGCGTATTCTCAAGGCTAAGAAAAGACTAGCACGTCTCTACTTTATATTACTTGGGTTGACTAATGTAGTCTTGCATATCCTGAAGGATCAAATGCAAAGTGTTTAAAATGAATTAATGTGTATGTGATAGACTGAAATTCTTCTCTCCTGCTATAGTTCTGGACAGAACACCCTCAGAGTTGGAGGAGCTGAATTCTGACCAGGTGGCAAGTGAAGTTAATGGATTAATTAAAGGAATTATTTGAAAAGTAATCCTACAGAGGACACTTATTCAGTTCTGAAGCAATCACATCAGTAGACCAAAGGGATAGAAATATGTATATATATATATATTCATGTGTATGTGTGTGTGTGTGTATATATATATATATATATATATATATATATATTCATTTTCTGATATCATTTAATGACCTAAGTGTCCAAACTAAGCTAACTGGTTGGTCAGATAGTGTTTCAACTAAAAATATACATATGTGTGTGTATATATATATGTGTGTGTGTGTGTGTATATATATGATTTCTATATATATATGATTCTCTCTCTATATATATATGATTACTATGTACCAATATGTTTACGTAACATATTACGTATTGTGAATCAAATTACGTATTGTGAATCAAAATATTTTTGTACCATTACCCAATAAATGTTAATTTTGCCAAATGGATCTCATAGAGAATCTTTTCTTAGATTGCTTAGGTCCTCAGTTACGTTAACGTCGATCTGGCTTTGATTCACTGTAATTTCCTTAAAGGATAGTCACTGGAGTCCACATAGAATGAAAGCAGGGAAAGGGCAGGAGCTCAAGGTCAAATTCTTTGCAGAAATCCTTTGTCAAGTAAATAATGCAGTGTTACCCTGATCCATGATGGATTTTTGGCTTTTTTGTGGAGGACAGAGGGGAACGTGGAACTGAAAAGGTGGCTCTTCAGCACAAGAGCATTCTCACCGGTTCCACTGCCTGCTGGAACCTCGGCCTGCCCTGACTTCGTTCCTCAGACAACCACAGAGTTCAGCACTGTAGACCCCAAGCTGTTGCCCAGCCTTGCTGTGATGTGGTGGAAGGAGCCCACACTGTAGCCCCAGGTGGATCTGGTGTTCACTGTGCAACTGGCTATCAGATTTGAACAGGACTTGATGAAACGTTCTTAACCCCTTTGAATGTATTTTCTGATCTATAAAGAAGGGATAATGATGATGATCTCACAGGATTTTGAAGAGGATTTGAAATAATATATGTAATACGTCTGGCAGGGGCCTGATCCAAGGTAGGCACTCAATGTTGTGTTTCAATCACACACACACAAGTGCGCACACACAACACACATACTCACACACACACCTCCAGAAAGACAACAGACTGAGGCTTTCTTCCCCCATTCCCATTGATATTGTTGCTGCAATAACTTTATTCAGTAGATCAGAACACCAATGTTTCCTCGAGAATTGTGCACCTATTTTCTTATTTCTTATAACTAAGGAAATCAAGGAGGGTGACTCCTCTGGGAGAAAAAAGGTATGTGAACAATTGCTAAACCAGAGGGCATTTTTAAGTCATCTGCCTTACTGCTATCCTTTATCAGCAGAGACCTTAACACTTTTATTACTTGTTCTCAGTGATGAAGTTGTAGGGTTTTTTGTTTTGTTTTGTTTTGTTTAACATCTCCCCTTCTGGATAAAAGTTGTTTCTATTTAAAGACACTCGCAGTGTGGTTGGATGTTCATTGAACGTTGGCAAGGTGCATAGCACTTTTCAGATGCTAGCCTTAGGTTGCTGAGGGGAAAGCTTGTAGCGAAGACCCCTATTGTCTGTCAAGCGGTCATCAAGCCAAAAGGTGGTGACCAACCTACAATCCTCACTGGTATTTGGGGCCTGTTTGGATGTTGGTTGTACAGCCCTATTTCATTTTTCTTCTACCTAGTTAGAGATACTTTCTATAAAGCCTAGGTCTGTGTGACCTTCCTGGTCTCTTTGCTCTGGATTTCCCCAGAGGTTTGCAGTCTCTTTCCCATCTGCCTGGAATAGGATCCTTCTTGCCCTGCACCTGCTTAGACTTGGTTTCTTAAAAAAATAAAAAAGATATGTAATGTTTGTACATATTTGTAATGTACATGTGATAGGTTGTTAAATGCATACAACGCGTAATGATTAAGTCAGGTTATTTAGGATATCCATCATTTCTAGCATTTATCATTTCTATGTGTTTGTACATTTTAGATTCTCTCTTCTAGCATTTTGAAATATACAACAGATTGATGTTAACTGTACTCATCCTACAGTGCTATTAAACATTCTGATGTTTAAGTTCTAACTTTTTTCTTTTATCTAATAGTATGTTTGCACCCATTACCCCACCTCTGTTCATCCCCACTCCCTGCAACACACACTTCCTAGCCTCTGCTAACCACTTTTCTACTCTCTATCTCCTGTACCTCCATGAGATCCACCTTTTAAGCTCCCACATATAAGTGAGAATGTGTTGTCTTTCTGTGCCTATCTTATTTCACTTAACATAATGACCTCCATTTCCATCCATGTTGCTGTAAATGATAGGATTTTATTCATTTTTATGGCCAAATAGTATCCCAATGCACATATGTATCACATTTTCCTTATCCATTCATCCTTTGATGGGCACTTAGATTGGTTCCATATCTTGACTAGTGTGAATAATGCCACAATAAACATGGGGGTGCAATATCCCTTTGATATATTGATTTTATTTAGCTTGCATAAACACTCAGTAGTGGGATTGCTGGATCATAGGGTAATTCTAATTTTAGTTTTTTTAAAGAAACTTCCTGCTAGCTGCAGTGGCTCACACTGCCTGTAATCCCAGCACTTTGGTAGGCCAAAGTGGGCAGATCACTTGAGGCCAGGAGTTCGAAACCAGCTTGGCCCACATGGTGAAACCCCATCTCTACTAAAAATACAAAAAATTAGCTGAGCTTGGTGGCGGATGCCTGTAGTCCCGGTTACTTGGGAGGCTTAGGCGTGAAAATCGCTTGAACCCTGGTCGGGGGTGGGGGTGCGGAGGCTGCAGTGAGCTAAGATCGTGCCACTGCACTCCAGCCTGGGCAACAGAGTGAGACTCTGTGTCAGAAAAAAAAAAAAAAGGAAAAAAGAAACTTCCATACTATTTTCCATAATGGCTGCACTACTTTATACTCCCATCAGCAGCGTAGGAGTGATCCTCTTTCTCCCCATCCTTGCCAGTATCTTTTATTTTTTTGCAATTTTTCTAATAGCCATTATAACTAGGATAAGATGATATCCCAATATGGATTTGATTTACATTTCTCTAATGATTATTGATGTTAAACATTTTTTAAATAAACATGTTGGCCATTTGTATGTCCTATTTTGAGAAATGTTTATTTAGAATCTTTGCCCACTTTTGAATGTGATTATTATTATTATTATTTGCTGTTGAGGTGTTTGTGTTCCTTGTCTATTCCGGATATTAGTTTCTGATCATTGAACCCCGTGGCTCACTGCTTCTGGCCGACTGTCTCCCATATCTAACTCTCCTCTTCTTTCCTGATGTTCTAAGATGTTCTAATCCATGTCAAATAGTGTTATTTGTTGACTAGCATCCATTGTTCATTTTCTTCCTTGTTGACAGAAGCCCAATTTTGTTCAGCTATCAGATGAGTAGGAGGATATAAAAGGAAGGAAGGTGCTTCACCCAGTCCTAATAGTCATGCTTAGTATAAACCATTCATGTCATCACGATTATCTTATGAAAGTATAAGCTAAGCTCACTAAATAATGGTACATGAAGGTCCATCTGTGGAGGCCTATTTTTCTCTCTCTCTATGTTGCTTCTTTCTTCCCCTTGTGAAGCTTCCATGAAGAGCTTTTGCTCAGTGCTGTAGTTTGCTTGGTGTTGTATCACCACCAATTTATAACCGTGGAAGAAAGATCAAGAGTCACAAAGACACCCACCCCAGATCCTAAATTGAGTTAACAAGCCTGGATCATCTGTCTTCAAATATCTAAGTAAGCATGGATGCCATTGTTGGTCAGGGGTGCTCCTCCTTTCATCTCTTCCCCACAGCCTTCTGTGCACTGACTGATGCTAGGTCCTCACTTTGCCCCTCCCTGAGCTAGGGCTCTAAGCAGCGTGGCAGCTACAGCCTGAATGCTGCTGGCTCAAGTGAGAAGACTTGAAAACTGACTGCGAATGGTTTTCTGCTATTAAAATGTACTGAAATGGATACTTTTTATTTGTAATAGCATTTTCTCTTCTAACTACACAAGAGGTTGGTTTTATTAGTCCTATTCAGGAGATTAGAAAATTGAGGATTAGAGAGTTTACGTGACTTGCCAAAAGCGTCATAGCTTGTGAGGAATACGAGGTTTATTTGGTTATGAGATTCATTTTACATATTTACATATTTTATCTGACCTGTGTGATAAGAATAAAATCTAAATACCTAACATGGTTTATAAGATCCTACGTGATCTTATCTCTAGTCATCCGCTCCCACCAATAATTTTTACTTAAAATTCTCAAATATTGGAAGCTACATCTCCTTTCTGGATCTTTTCTTATGCTGCTCGCTCTGTCTGGAATGTTCTTTCTCTTCTCTTTCCCTGGGTGAATGCTCTTTTCTTTAGAACAGTGCTAAGACATTGCTTTCCCTCAAAAGCATTCCCTGTTCCTCATATCATTAGGGCACATCCCCTACTGTATTTAAGTACTTCAAAGTGTGATCGATGGTCTGTATCTACCCTTATTCATGGGAGCCCATCCCATTTAACCTGTGTTTCCACTCCATATACTGTATCATAAACTTTAGCGCTTGAGGCAGGGAATTTACAATTTTGAAAGCTTCATTGATAATTTTAATGCATATTCCTGATGACAAATAAGAATATTATGCAATGAAAAGTATTAGTTGAGTGAATGCCTGGCCGGTTCCTTGATCAGTAAGCAAAAAACCAAGAAAAAACAAAAATAAAGTAATATAAAATGTTCGGTATCTTTCAACTAGTTATACAGACTAATTCATTTCAACCGCAATCATTGAAGCCATGTCTATTGCCTAGAAGTTCATAACTAAACAACAGAAACCAAACACAAATTAGCTAGGAGTATCCACAAGTATTCCAATTCCTGAAGGTTTGATGAAAATATTCCATTTTGAGTCACACAAACAGTTCACAAAAGAATTATGTCTGTTTCTGTATGAATTTCTATGATCCTTGACGAAGCACAAAAATTATATACTTTTCTCAGAGTTTAGAAGAATTGCTGATTTAAGAAAAGGAAAGCAGTAGATTAGAATAAGAATGAGTGTGCCTCTTTAAATAAATCACACTTTATTCAAAATGCTGCTTTTATTTCTGATAAAATCACTTGTGGAATATGTGTGTGTGTGTGCGCGCACATGTGTGCGTACACATATTTCCTCTGTGTGCATGTGTGGTTCATTTCCTATGAACCAGAGTTGTCTTGGAGAAATAGGAGTTTCAGAAAGGAGAAAACAGGTCAGCAGTAGATATCTTGCCTCAGGGCAGAGAACAAAGAGCAATTCCAGATGGCATCCTGGAGATGGGAGAGGAAATTCACTAATAATTATAGATTACAGGGATAAACATTGACTCTATTGAATATCCTGGCAAAACAGATCCCTTTAATAGACAGTCAGAGATTGTGCTGATACTTTAAAATAATGGAACTTAGACATACCTGGATAGAAAGAAGAGAAAATGCTCTGAACTTGGAGAAAATTGATTTTATTTTTTTATTTACAGAGCTACAGTTTGAAGAGAGAAGCAAAATTGAAAAATTAATGTTAAAACTGACATTAAAAACTTCTATTTTTAAAGGTGAATTAAAGTCTTAAAGGAATCTGAAAGTACAGTGAAAAGAGATTGAAATAATATGGTAGTGTAAACTCAAAATATCAATATACTGTGATAGAAAGGACAAAGAATTTGGAGTTACTGAGACTGTAAGTTAAAGCCTGCTCTTATCTGTTAACTGGGACATGATACTTGAGTCTTAGTGCCCTCATTTGTACTGATAACAGTTTATTATCTTTTCATTTTTTTCAGATTTGAATAAGAGACCATAAGTAAATTTCCTGAGACAGGATCTCAAATCAATTTTTTAAAAATCACAATTATATATTACTCTGAACATACAATAAGAGGGCTCCGAAGCAAATTTCCTAACAGTGAAAAATTGGTTTGATTTGGTCTTTGAAATTGCCAGCTGCTGTCAGAGCATTCTGGTCCTTGAACAAACACGCATAAAGTGTTTTCCCTGGTGCTAGGAAGTGTTCATTGAAAAACAGCTGTTGGCATCTGAATACATTACATATGATGCTAACAAGACCTTACTTTTGTATAATACTTTACACTTCTTTTAAAGCACTTTGTTTAATTTCATCTACAAAGGAAAGGCATTATTTCCCTCTCTAACAAATTTAGAAATGGATACATCCATTAAGGGGTAATGCAATTTCCCAGTCAAGAAACAGTTTAAGTATTTGTTAGACTGTCTTGATGTCACAGTTTCTGGCTTTTAGAATTGTGTTCCAGGGTAGTGTGACAGAGGCTTGTGGTTGGATAATATTGTGGGGAGAGATTCCCTAGTACTCAGAACCTTTCTAAATGCAAGACAATGGATGACCCTCTGAAAAATGGGATTAGACCATGAGAGCCAAAGTAAATCACTCTGAGACACAGCAGGTCTCCACTACAATGGCTCTCTGAGAACTGAAGGCAGAGCAGTGAGATTGAGAGAAGTCTCTTGATACACAGAAAGCTAGTGGAGAAAATATAAAGCAAAGAAAATTGCATGGTAAGCAAACAGCTGGCAAGCAGAAGATAGAGGTGAATAAGTATTTTCTATCAGCCTTCAAGGCTGATAGCTAAGGCGAAAAAACAAAGAAATCTCCAGAATCTTGTTGGGATAATCGCAATGTCATGCCAAGTGAAAAGTTTAATTCTGCCTTTGAAATATTTGAAATGATTTGAGAACTAGTCAGTGCTGCAGCAAAGCTCAGACCTAGCTTCAGTGCAGATTAGATTCACCTAGCCACTGCCTTGACAACCTAACAGACGGTCATGTACTTCTTTGGAAGATAAATATTATTTTCTTCAGGTCTGTACTGTTCTCTTACATATAATCCTTAGCACACAGATATAAACAATGAGAAAAGCAAAAGAGATGACAATTGCAACCCACAATTAAGATAAAATATAGTCAAGTCAATACAAGCAGGACCAGAGTTGGACTAGAGGCAAGAATGATCAAACAATGATGTTGAAATCATCAAGATAATTACTTTAACAAATACAGTGGGGAAGAAAGACAAGAGTGAAGAAATAGGTAATTTCAGCATATCCATGAAAATATTATTCATAAAATTAAAACACTAGGAATGGAGAACCCAATATCAGAAATAAAAAGGTCATTGGGTGGGCTAAAGAGCAGACAGGACATGAAAGGAGAACATACTAGTGAATTTGAAGACCAGTCATGATAACATCTGAGAAGGTAGTACCTAAGAAATTTCGAAATTGAAAGATAACAACCCCCAAATCCAAGCAGTTGACCCAAGCACAATAAATACAAAAAAAAAAAAAAAAATACCCAGGAAAAGCTTAGTCAAAACTCGGGGGGAAATGCAAGATATAGAAATAGTCTTAAAAGCAGCCAGAAAGGAAAAATAAAAACACGAAAGAAGACAGCTTACATAAAAGGACAAATAATAAGAGTGATAGCTAAATTATCGTAAGAAATCATCATGAATAGAAGACAATTGAATGGTATGTTTAAAATGCTGAGAAAAAAATGAACTTTCAGCCTAGGACTTATATAGTGAGAATATCTTCCATAAATATATAAAGAAATATAAGTTTAAAACAGAAACACACTACAGTTGACCCTTCAACAACATTGATTTGAACTCTGTGGGTCCACTTATACGTGGATTTTTTTCAATAAATAATTTGAAAAATTTTGGAGATTTGTGACAATTTGCAAAAACTTGCAGACTAACCACGTAGCCTAGAAGTATAAAAATAAATTAAGAAAATGTTAGGTATGTCATTAATACATAAAATACATGCAGATACTAGTCTACTTTTTCATTTGCTACCATAAAATAGTACATAAATCTATCATAAAAAGTTAAAATTTATCAAAACTTAAACACACAAATGCTTGTAAACCATACATGGCACCATTTGCAGTCAAGAGAAATGTAAAGAAGTGTAAAGATGAAGAATCAAATTCTGACTGCATAAAATTAAGTGTAATAATACTGTACTACGGTAATCATTTCATAGCCACCTCCTGTTGTTGTTGTGGTGAGCTCATGTTACATCTGCATAGAATGCCATACTATGCTAAAAACCTCCACCTGAGCAGCTCATCACTCCAGTAAATTGTGTACCACGGTAAAAAGTGAGTTCTCACAGTTCTTATGTATTTTTCATCATGTTTAGTGCAATCCTATAACCTTGAATTACACCATGGGACCCCATACAAAGTGCCTCCAAGAAGCCAAGAAAAGTCATGGCATTACAAGAAAAAGTTGAATTGCTTGATATGTACCATAGATTGTTGTCTGCTATTGCGGTTTCCTACCATTTAAAGATAAATGAATCCAGCATAAGGACTGAAGCTGTTGCTGCAGCTATGTCAACAGGTGCAAAAATCTTGTACTTTTTGTGAAATATCCTTTTATATCATATTGAAAATGCAGCTTTTATGTGGTGCAGGATTGCCATAAGCAAAGCATACCTATAGATTTGAATATGATTCTAGGAAAAGCAAAGTCATTATATGGTAACTTAAAGCAAAAAAAAAAAAATAAAAATAAAAAGGTAAAAGATCTAAAGTTAAATAATTTAATGCCAGAAAGGGATGGTTTGATAATTTTGAAACAGATTTCAGCAAAAAAAAAGTCAAGATAACAAACAAAACAGTTTATGCTGACCAAGAGACAGCAGACAAGTTCCCAGATGTTATTAAGAAAACCATTGAGGAGGAAGGATGTTGGTCTGAACAGGTTTTTTTATGAGGATGAAATTGCTCAACCTGGAAAAAAAATTGGCACAAAGGACATTTATTAGTAAGGAAGAGAAATGGGCACTAAGATTTAAAGCAGGAAGGGATAACTGACCTCTAATATGTTGTGCAAATGCCGCTGGGTTTCTGATGAGGACTGCTCTTATCTGTAAAGCTGCTAACCCCTGAGTCTTGAAGAACAAAGATAAACACCAGCCGCCAGTCTTCTGACTGTACAACAAGTTGGCCTGGACAATCAAAACTCCTTCTTAACTGGTTCCATTGATGCTTTGTCCCTAAAGTCAGGAAGTACCTTCCTAGTAAGGGATTGCCTTTTAAAGCTTTTGATAATAGATCATGCTTCTTGCCATCCAGAAGCCCTAGAGGTCAACACTGAAATCACTGAAGTGATCTACTTGTCCCTAAACACAGTGTTTCTAATTCAGCCTCTAGATCGGGAGGTCAGAAGGACTGTTAATGCTCATTACACATGGTACTCTATGGAAAGGATTGTCAATGCTGTGGAAGGGAACACTGATAGAGAAAACATTATGAATGTCTAGAAGGGTCACACCATTGAAAATGCCATTATTGCTATGGAAAAATTCATGAAAGCCATCAAGCCCAAAACAATACATTTCTATGGGAGAAAACTGGGTCCAGGTGTTGTGAATGACTTCACTGGGTTTACAACAGAGCCAATCAAAGAAATAATGAAAGAGATTATGCATATGGCAAAAAAAAAAAAGGTGGGTGTGAAGGGTTTCAAGGTATAAGTCTTGAGAGAAATTCAAAAGTGAAAAGATACCACACTGGAGGAATTAACAGAAGACAACTTGGATGGAGTTGAGTGCTTCTGAACCAGTATCAGATGATGAGGAGGGAGATGGAAAAAACAGTGCAGAAAACAAATTGTTATTAGACAATCTGGAAGAATCATTCTGATTATTCAAGACTACTTTGAAATGCTTTTACAGCATAGATAGACCCTTGTAGGATATGGGCACTGAGACTACAACAAATGGTGGGGGAAGAATTGGTACCATATAGAAATATTTGTAGATAAATTAAAAAGCAAAAATGTTGACAGAAATTATGATGTATTTCCATAAAGTTACACCACGTGCCTCTCTCTCCTGTCTCTTCCTTCTACCTCTTCAGCCTCTACCAGTTCTAAGACAGCAAGACCAAAACCTCTCTTCCTTTTTCTCAGCCTAGTCAACGTGAAGATGAGAATATAGACTTTCATGATGATCCACTTTCACTTAATAAATAGTAAATATATTTTCTCTTCCTTATAATTTTCTTAATAACATTTTCTTTTCTCTAGCTAACTTTACTGTAAGACTATAGTACGTAATACATCTAACATACAAAATACATGGTAATAAAGTGTTTATGTTTTCGGTACGGCTTCTTGTCAGCAGTAGTCTATTAGTAGTTAAGTTTGGGGGAAGTCAAAAGCTATACATCAATTTGTGACTATGGAGGAAGTTGGTTCCCCCTAACCTCATGTTGTTTATGGGTCTACTGTAATAAATCATCACCAGCAAAATTGTTCTGCATGAAAAGTATTTTCTATGTGTGCATGTGTTACATGTATATGTGCATGTACATATGTTTATATATATATTTATACACACACATATCTTGTGAAAGACTCATATTCAAAACATAAAGCTTCCAACACATCACCAATGTAAAGAAAATAAAACAATTAAATCGGCAATAGCTTGCAACTGATAATAAAGGAAGGTATGAGTGGTCAGCAGGTTATTTAAATTTGTTCAACATCATTAGTCATTGGATAAAATTAAATTAAAACTAAAAGAAGATACCATTTTACACTTACTAGAAAGCTTTACATTACAAAGGCGAAGCTAGTTGAAAGTTTGAACCATGCAAACTCTGACTTACATGCAGTAACCCTCATGCCAGCTCTACTCCTCAAAAAGCATCGACCCCCAAACCGGTCACCCCTCCTTGTTTTCTCAAGTCATTTGCTGATCGGGTTTGGAGCCTGCTGTGCTACCCTGTTGCAGGAGTGGGGGATCCATCTCCCACATCTCACATCTCTGATTTGGCTACAACACAAACAATACTAAATGTTGCAAATATGTGCAGCAGCTGGACACCCGCATATTCCTGCTGGGTGTGTATCATGGGATAAGCACTATGGAAGAAATGTCAACAGTTTCTTATCAAGTCCATGCATTCACCTCCCTTAATCCTCAGCGTTGTCCCTCCTAGATATTTTTCTAAGATATATTAAAATAAGTGTCCCAAAAAGACTTATTTAAGAATGTTCATAGCAATTTGATTCATTATAGCCCAAAACTGGAAATAACACAAATATCCATCAATAGTACAATAAATAAACAAATAGTGGTATATTCATAGAATTGAAAATGAATAAAAGGAGTGAAGATATACACAACTACATGGTTGGGTTTCAGAAACATTATATAGAGAGCAAGAAACTAGACATAAAAACACATATCGCAATTCTGTTTATCTGAAGATCAAAAATAGGCAATGCAGAAATCAGAAGGTGACTGCCTCTCTTGTGAGGCAGGCAGCTAGAATTGCCTGGTGAGTGGTCCAAGGGAATTGTTGTCATGGTGGAAAACTCTGTATCTTTTATCTATTCTTTTGGAGTTACATGAAAGTATGAAATTTCAAAACACATTCATCTGAACATTTAAAATAGGTACAGTTTTGTATATAGAAATTATACCCCAATTTAAAGCAGTGAAAAAGAGCTAACACACTACATATTGGGATAATTAATATATTAAATTTGCTAACAGGTTCCCCTTTATGTAGTACGTGTGTAATTGCTTCAAAGGCATCTCATTGCGAAGGACATAATGGTGTAAGTTAGGAATTCAATTTAAAGCCCTGTTTGCTATATGAAGATACTGGGCTCAGAAATGCAACTAACTTCCTCACTTTATGCCTCTACTAAGCAGTATCACTAGAAAGAGAATTGTATTCTTTCAGCTTCAATCTCAAGAGGCTACCCTCCCCCCCACTGTGGGATGTGCACCATGTGATATTTTCTGGATATATCTGTATCTTTGTGTGACTTTGAGAGTTGATGAGTGAAGGGCGTGAATTCTTTCTACAGACACTAGTAGTTAAGTCTCTTCACTGACTAGCCAGCAAGCACGAGCATCAAAAAGCTAATGGAGTCTTAGAGTATGATGTAATGATTTATGTGACAAGTTCCTCAAGTGTTAAAAATGCTGGCAATTCACATCTATGAGGCCACACGCATAGAGCTTCTCTCTTCTGCCATGAGATACTGATAAAATACTTTTAATTATATTATGCAATCATTGCAAAGAAAATAGATAGCTTTCAGCTGCTGAGTTTCCTTTCAATGACCTGATTAAAATGTATCAAGGGAGATAGGACCCAGCTGTTCTTGTCATTAACTGATAAGCTATTGCTAGTAATTTTTACTGATTGCTGACATTATAGGGAAATGCAAATAACAGGAAAAGAGCAATATCTTAATAGAAAAATATAAACAGCATCTCCTATAAGCTGCACTTTTGAGGATTTATCTGTCTTTAACCTTTAAATTTTGTATGTGTTTTTCCTGGAGTTAGCCACTCCATGATATCTCTACTCGTTTACTGGGGAAAAAAAATATTACAGCAGCGATGGCAGGCATGCTCATTGAATTAAGTCTGTAAGTAGTGTTGATTTAAGACAAAATTGTTAAATAAGATACTATACACTGATGCCTCACATGTCCAGTTTATGTAATAATTATTTTAATTTTGAGTTTCTAGGTAGAAATTAATACTCACTTAGGATCTGTAATAACAGTTGTTATCTTGCCACTGTCCTCTCCATGCTTCTGCTAAACCTTTAAACACCATCAGGTTGACATTTCTAGGACACGTGTATCACCGTGCCTCCCCTCTCCCAAAACACCTATAAAACTCCCAAGCCTACGGGATAGATTCATAGAATCTTAGAATTCTGGAGAATGAGAATGGAAAGTAACTTGGTGCTGAAATAGGTGTGAGATCAGCAAGCTTTTTCTGTAAAGAAACAGAAAGGAAAGATTTCCAGCTTTGCAGGACATACAGGCTCTATTGCAGTGCAAAAGCATCCATAGACAATATGTAAACAAATGGGTGTGGCTTTGTTCCTATAAAACTTTATTCACAAATACAGCCAATATTTCAGATTGCAACTGTGAGTCATAATTTGGTGACCCCAGAACTAGTAAACCAACAATCCAGTCTGATATGGAGTTGGGCTTTTAAAACCCTGGAGAATATACTTTTTATTCTCAGAAAATGATTGCCAAAGTACCTAATTTGCCAAAACCCATATAGATTGTCTACACAATGTAAAAGCAGTCAATAGAGCACATCATGTTAGGGCATAGCTTTCCGTTATGTTTGTTATTAGTAAAATTCCTCACTCTTGACAAGACCAAATATATATACAAACATAATTATAAGCAGTAGTTACATGCTAAGTCTCTATTCCAAAATGAACTTGCTAGGGTGTTTCAGTCCGCTTTATAATTTATGGATCCAATGTTAGAATACTTACTATTCTCCACTGACAAAATACAGCGTCTTTTCATTAGAAGAAAACAAAAACATAGTCAAAAGACTACATGTGTGGTCAGACCTTTCTTCTTGGACAGAGCAATCTCAGCTGGCAGATTGTAACACGGAGTAATGATTTTGTTCTATGCCTATAGTTGAGGATGGCAGAAGGGTTTGAAACAAAGACAGGGAACACCAGAGGTAACATCAATATCAGGTTATCCAGCTGGATATCTCACAGACATTTCAACACAATATGTGTAAACCATAATTTTTCTCTCCTTAAAACTTTCCCTTTCCATATTCATCTGGTATAAAGATAATTGAGTGAGCAAATATATAAAAAAAAGGCAGGGCAGGAATTAATATTAGAGGTCTGCCTACATTTTTTTCTTTCATCTCAAAGACAGGCTGTATCCTCTGTGGCATTCTGTCTGTGTTAGTCTTTTGCCAAACACAAGAAGACAAAGTGATTTCTCTCTTCCTCAATAAAAGGAGGCAATGAAATTTCAGCCAGTAAAAACAAAGGTGATTAGTATGTATGATTTCACCTCTCTTGTCTCTGTTAGAAGTGCACAGAATTGCATATTCTTTGACAGTATGGCCTTATCTCTCTTCCCACCAAGAGATGGAATCATTCCCCCTCCCTTGAATCTGATCTGGCTCTGTGATTTTTTTTTTTTTTTTTTGTGATGGAGTCTTGCTCTGTTGCCCAGGTTGGAGTGCAGTGGCGCAAACTTGGCTCACTGAAACTGCTGCCTCCTGGGTTCAAGTGATCCTCCTGCCTCAGCCTCCTGCCTCCTGAGTAGCTGGGACTACAGGCATGCGCCACCATGTCCAGCTAATTTTTGTATTTTTTTTTTTTTAGTAGAGACGAGGTTTCACCATGTTTACCAGGCTTGTCTCGAACTCCTGACCTCAGGTGATCCACCTGCCTTGGCCTCCCTAAGTGCTGGGATTACAGGCATGAGCCACCAGGCCCACTCCCTGTGACTTACTTGGACCAATGGACTGCAGCAGAAATAATGCTGTGGAAGGAGGGAGGAAGGAAGGGAGGAAAGGACAATGGAAAGAGAGGGAGGGAGGGAAGAAAGAAAAGAAAAGGAAAGAAAAATAAAGAAAGAGAAAGAGGAAAGAAAGAAGGAAAAGAAAGAAGAAAGAAAGGAAAGAAAGAGAAATGAAAGGAAAAGAAAATAAGGAAGGAAGTAAAAAAAGAAAGAAGGAAAGAACAAACCATCAAACCCTAACTAAATGCAAGCTAACATGAAGATAAAGTAGCTGTGACATACAAAGACAGATAATTGTCAAAAGGAACAAAGCCACTTAGTTGGATTTAACCTTTATTAACAATAAGTCATTCAAATAAATAGACTTCAGCTTTGTGTTTTTGTTTTTTTTGTTTGTTTGTTTGTTTCAGAGTCGGGGTCTCGCTCTCTCACCCAGGCTGGAGTGCAGTGGTGTGATCATTGTTCACTGTAGCCTCAAACTCCTGGCCTCAAGTAGTCTTCCCACCCCAGCCTCCTGAGTAGCTGGGACTGCAGGTGCACACCACCACACCCAGCTATTTTTTTTTAATTCATTTTAGAGGTGGAGGTCTTGCTATGTTGCCAGGGCTGGTCTGCACCTGAAGCAATCCTTCCATCTCAGCCCCCTAGGTTATGGGGATCACAGGAGTAAGCTCCAAACTTAGCTTCTGATTTCTCATCCTAACTCTTAGCAACTCCCCTTACCTAAGATCTATAAACATTGCACTTCAGAGGAATTGCCCTGGGTAACATGTTGTTTACTTATTTCTGTCCTCTTGCCATTGTACTTTGTGTTCTGTAAATTTCCTTTTATTCTCCTGGAGGAGAAAATCAAGATCTAGCTGAGTAGCAATGTCCTGAGACATATTTCCTGGGTAAGGAGAGAAGGGCTGTGTCCTGGCATTCGTAAGGACAGTCTGTGATGAAAAGAAGGTAGACATTGAATTAGGCATTAGAAGTTATGGGTTAAAGCCCACTTCACTAAAGAATCCTTTTCCTTCCTTCAGTTATCTTCTCCTGGCACAGGGTGCATAATAACTGCTCAATTAACAGTATTCTTTGAAAGAACCCAAAAAAGTGATTTTAGTTCTGCTGGTACCTTGGTAATTCTTGCTCATTTACATAAAAACAGTCACTAGTCATGTTCTGCTGATACTGGTTTTTAGGCAACAAAAGTCATGATTTAGAGCAAACGAATATTTAAAAGGAAAACTTGGAAACATCTTACAGTACTTAATTTGACACCTTTGGCTTTTTTTGAAATATATACTCCATAGAATTTATTATAATTAAAATTTACTTTCTTAGGAAATAAAATAGCTAATTATAGATGTTACTTAGGGAGAAGAAAAATGATGCATTTTTTCCATACAATTTTAATTAAAAACTATATTAATGTAAAATTGACATTCAAGCATATTCCATCGATGACAGATGTGAAACTCCTCTCAACTAAGTGATTAGTAGTACCATTTTTTCAATATCTTTTCAATATTATATAATCTGAAAGGTATGGCAATTTTTACGGATGTTTTAATAGCTAGTGTGGAATGGCTAGAGAATAACAAAGCCAATCGTTTTAACAACAACTAGTAGTTTTTGGTTATCTTCTGTGGTACAGATACTATGCTAGATACTTTATTTTTATCACCGGCTTTATTTAGAACAATCCTTCAAATAATTATTATTTTACAAATGACAAAACTGGTTCATTGAAGGTGATAGTATTACTTAAGGACACTTTTCTATTGTAGATTCAACTTGAAGCTTTGGAAGTATCCAACTTTGAGTCCCTGTTATTTTTCATACTTTAAGCCTTGTCTTTCCTCTTGACCAGAATAGGACCTTTCTTTTGGCGCTTCAAATGGTTTAAAAATGTTTAGCACCTCCCCAAACCAAGGATTTTTGTTGGCTAAATATGATCTTTAAAATGATGGTCTCCAGTTGTCTTTCAGGGGCCATTAAAAATATCCTTACATGTTCTGTTCCTTAATAAGCTCTACTATAATAATTATGCAGACAGTATCATCTATATCAGGCCTCATTAAATAAGATGAAGTTCTTAATGATTCACTTGTATAACCAACTGTGGACCAACATTACTGTATGATAAACTGTAGGCTGCTGCTTGAGAGTTTCTGGATTTGTGGAACTACGCCGTCATGCTATTACAATGTTGACAAAGGGGCTAGGAGTTATATCTTATATGTGAAATGATAAAGGACAGCAACCAGGGCTGTGACTTCAAGCAACAACTACTCATTTGGCAAATACAAAAGAGAAAAGCATGGTATTTTCAAAAGCCATAGATCCAAAATGATATCTAGCCTGGTATTCCCCTATATTCAGGCATGGTGAGGAATGTTTGCAAGTATGGTTGGTTAGGCTAACCTAGATTCTATTTTGAGGAAGCTTAAAAAGCCTGCTGGGACTAAGGAAGAGAGCACTCCAGGATACAAGTTTATTTCAAGGACAGTACATTGAGTTTTAGAGAGTATATATAATTCTGAGACACTACCTTGTCTGTGTCTTAATTTTTTCTCTCTCTGAGTCCTTTGGGGGACCTGGACTTAAAGTCAAAGAAGGGTTGTAATAAAAGAGTTAAGTAAAAGTTAGAAGATCTAGAAAATTGAAAGAGCATCCCATCAGTTTCTGGAACAACTAGGTAACAACACCCTTAGCCAGACCCAAGAACCCTCATATTGGGCATCAGAAGCATAGGCACTAATATTCCTGTTTACAACAATAGTGGCACTTAAGTTGAGCACCAATGTTGATGGCACCTTCAGTGGGATTTGCCATATTCCTGGGAAAATGACAGATGCTATGGGCTGTCAAGAACACCAGCTTAATAAAAATGGTAGAAACACCCTCCTGAGACTATCACACATATTGATGAGAAAAAGAAAAACATAGATAAGTGAGTAAACTGGAATTTCCACAGAGAGAATGAGAGCTATGTTGAAGAACAAATTCTGTATTAATCTGGAATAGAAACATCAGATACATGCAGTCTCAGTGCAGTTTTGCTGCTATAACACAATAATTGAAACTGCATAATTTATAATTGAAAAAAAAAAAACACAGAAATTTATTTCTCACAGTTCTAGGGACTGAGAAGTCCGAGATCAAGGCTCTGGCAAGTTCAGTTGTCTCCCAGGACCGATTTCTGCTTCTAAGATGGCGCCTTGTTGCTGCACCCTCCAGAGTGGAGGGATGCTGTGTCCTCACATGGTGGAAGGTGAAAGGGCAAGCTGAACGCAGAATGAAGCCTCTTTTAGGAGAACCTTAATTCCATTCATAAGAAAATAACCTTCATGGCCTAATCACCTCTTAGCAGCCCCACCTCTTAATACTGATACATTGATAACACTTGAATTTTGGAGGGGACATATTAAATCATAGCATGCGCATACATAACTAGAATGAATATTAGTAACATGCAAGATATTTTAAAATAAAATGTTGAATATAACTAAAATACAATTTTAAAATGTAGGTACCTTTATAAATATTGGCTTGCATTTGAATGTATAGCACTGCAAAGAAAAAGAAATGAGCCCAAGATTTCAATGTTACCCTATAGTATATAATGCTTGAATTAATTTATTTTTGTAATAACTGTTTCACCTCAAATACACAAAATATTAATAAAGTATAAATATTAAGTGATATTAAAGTGTAATTTTTTGCTCTAGAATGATGAACATTATTGATTGACCAAGCATAATTACAATACTACACTGAGTTTATGAAACATTCTGCATATATTTTCATTCTGGCTTTTGTATCTTATTTCATCTCACAGATGAAGAAATGCAGGTTTATTTGAGGTGATTTTCCCAAGTTTTAATGACCAATAATAAAGGGTACTTGCAATCTGGCCTTCTCATTTCACAAATCTCTTCTAGTCCATTGTACTATGCAGAAGGTAGGATGGAAAAATAGCTCTCTCTGTATTTATTTTAATTGTTAATAATTTAGTCAGAATATAATGTAATGAAATTTTTAATTCTTCTAACAGTTTTTAAGTACTGCAATTGTGATTAAGAATAAGAGCATTTTGGCCAGGCACAGTGGCTCACGCCTGTAATCCCAGCACTTTGGGAGGCTGAGGCGGGTGAATCACCTGAGGTTAGGAGTTCAGTACCAGCCTGGCCAACATGATGAAACTCTGTCTCTACTAAAAATACAGATATTAGCCAAATTAGCCAGGTGTGGTGGCTAGTGCCTGTAATCCCAACTACTGGGGAGGCTGAGGCAGGAAAATTGCTTGAAGCCAGGAGGTGGAGAGATTGTAATAAGCTGACATCATGTCACTGCACTCCAGCCTAGATGACAGAGCTAGACTCCTTCTGAAAAAAAAGAAAAAAAAAAGAATGAGAGCATTCTTGTGTTGTTTTTTATTTTGTGGTTTTTTTTATCGAGATGGAGTCTCGCTTTGTCGCCCAGGCTGGAGTGCAATGGTGCCACCACGCCTGGGTAATTTTTTTTTTTATTTTTTTATTTTTAGTAGAGAAAGGGGTTTCTTCATGTTTATCAGGCTGGTCTCAAACTCCTGACAGTTTTTCTCTGAAACCGAAATGAAAGTGGATATGTGAACAGGAGTATCCTTGGGTGTCAAGTCTGAGTAGCTTTGTGAGAACACAGCTAAACTTAGGGTGTTTCTCATGGAATTCTGAAGTGGAAGCAGTTCATGAGGATTCTCTTGCTTTGGTTGGCCTGCTAAATAGAATAGGGTCATGATATCGCGTGCCATTGCTGGAATCCTGGACTATTTAGTACTAATCATAGAAGTCCACAGTCCTCTCAGATATCTACTGATGGAGCCAGCTCTTCTTATCAGATATATACTGATGGAGTCAGTTCTTTTTTTCTGTCCCTGGAGCAATAAACTTTTCACATAGTTTTGTATAGAGATATCCAAGCTGAAATTTAAAGGATAGGTATGGGTTAGTCATAACGAGGGGAATTAGTGAGGGAGGGGTGACAGAAAGCATTTCAAGAAATGAAAATATAACATGCACAGGAGGAGAAGCAACAGTGCATGAGGGAAAACAGAAACAAAACAGAATGGCAGAAGGAGAAAACAGGGCCACATAGTAATGCAGAAAAATGGGCATCATAAATGTACAACATATTAAAATGCTGACATTTAATCTAAAGTAAATAGACATCTATGGAAGCATTAAAACATGGATGGAACATGATCATATTTTATCTAAAATGTTATTCATGGCTGGATTTATGCAGACAGACTGAAATCAGGTAGAAGGCTATTCCCGAAGTTTAAGAAGGAAATGCTGAGTGACTAATTAGAGTGGTGGAGAGGGCATGAAATTAACAGGATGGAGTTTAGAAGCAGTTCAGAAATAGATGTTTCAGGCATTACAGGGAAAGATGGAGAAGTTAACCATGCTCAGGATTTTGTCTGGGCAACTCTGGGGATGTTAGTGCTGTTCACCGGTGTAGGAAATGACACAAGAAAAGGTTTGAGAAAAAAATGAGTAAAACTTTGAAAATTAAAGTTTTAGATTCAAATGAAATATCTCTCTCTCTATATATAAATATTGTCTGAGGAGTAAATGAAAGAAGTGAAACAAACATATATTTATTTAACAAATTGAATATATACATATATGTTATGTATATGTGTGTGATATATATTTTATATATAATACATTTTATGCCCCATTTCTATATGTATATATTCTATTTGTTATATATTACTTTATATAACATATTTATATATCAGCACCAAATATATTTGTATATATTTATTTATGTAAACTTTATCAGAGGATAGTAAAATAAAGACTATTTTTCAAATTATTTTATGTAGCCAGCATATACTTAATACAAAAGGAGGACAAGAACACGTCCATGAAGTGAAAATATAATATTATATTTATATAATATAAATATAACATATGTATATTATATAATTGTATAATTTATACAATTATATAATATACATATTATATAATTGTATAAATTATACAATCATATAATTATATTATATATAATATACATATAATATAATTATATATAATTATATAATTTTATAATATAATTATATATAATTATATAATTATATATAATATATATTATAATTATATATATAATATATATATTATATATATTATATATAATATATAAATAATATATATAATATATATATAATTATATATAATAATATATGTAATATATATAATATATATATAATATATTATTTATAATTATATATTATATATATATTATAATATATATAATTATAAATAATATATATTATAATATATATAATAATATATATATAATTATATATAATAATATATATTATAATTATATATAATAATATATATAATTTATATAATTTGTAATTATATAATTTTTATTATATAATTACAAAAAAGCAACATATTTATATTATATACAATAGGCAGATGGCAGTTAAGTCAGATAAATTACTGGAATTGTAATCAGAAAGTATAGAATAAAAGAAAGATAGTTTACAAAAAATCCCTGAGAATTCTGATGTTTTTGAAGTCCTGAATGTGAAAATGGCAAAAGAGCGTGAAAAAGGGCACTCTCTTCCAAAGTTGTGGGAGGAAAACTAAAAAAATCCAGGCACTGGATCAACAAGGCAAGATGGCATTGGAGAAGTCACATTATAATTCAGAGGTGAGCTGAGACTTGCAAACAGCTGTTTCTTTCCCTGGAGGCATTTACTGCAGCTGGGTGTGTACTGGGGACTGGGTGTGGTCCATACAGATGATTCTTAAGGAGAAGGAGAAACCAATGAGCCCTTATCAACTGAGACCAACATGGCAGGTGGGAAAGTTGGGAATCTCTAAAGGCAACTAATTTGCCTCATAAGACTCACTGAATTGTACCAAGATGAGACGGAGAGAGAGGAAAGGAAATAACTAATCCAAAGGCTTCAAAAAGCCAGAATAAATCTTCTATAATCTTGGGATGCATACGAGACAAAACCTGTGAGAGGGAAGAGACTTTCATCAAACAAGGGTTTTCCTTCTCAGACATTTCAAAGTGAATGACATTAAATGAAAACATATCAAATCTTGTGGGATGTAGCTAAAATAGTACTTAGAAAAGAAAGGAGAGCCCTAACAGCATACATTAAAAAAGAAGAAAGGCTGAAATTCAGTCAGCTAAGTTTTCGTCTGTTGAAGTTTACAAAAGGAATAGCAAGCTACATCCAAAGAAAATTGAAAGAACATAATAAAAATAAGAACAAAATCAATAAGATAGAGAATAAACATTATAAATAAAATAAAAAAATAAACATTTGGCTATTCGATAAAGCCAAAAAATTGGCAAATGCCAGCAAGACTGAACAAGATAAAAGAAAGAAGCAAGTAAAAACTACATCATAAGCAAAGATTAGTATGTTACTCAAATTCAAATGACATGTTTAATAAGACAATATTGTAGACAATTTTTGACATTAATTTAAAAGTGTAGATGCAATCAACAAGTTTATTGGAAAATACAATTTCCCAAGTTGACACGTGCACACAAAATGAAATAAATTTATACCTATTAAATAAAATATTCATAGAATATTAAGCATTTTTATATTGTTATCAATGCTATTCTTAGTAGATTATTGTATAGACTACGAACATAATGTTAAATATAATATTAAACAAATAGAATATGTATATATAAAAAATGGTACATAACTTTATCAGAGGATAGTAAAATAAAGAATATTTTCCAAATTATTTTATGTAGCCAGCATATACTTAGTACAAAAAGAGGACAAGAACACACCCACCAAATGAAAATTATAGCTCAAAATTTTTTACTAAAACATAGGCAAAAATGTTAAAGTAGTTTTTGCAAGTTGAATCAAGATATGTATATAAAAATACACCACAAAGTCAGGCAAAGTTCATCCAGGAATAAGAGGTTGGATTAACTTTTGAAAGTCAGTTAACGTAAT
Organism: Homo sapiens; assembly: GCF_000001405.40. NCBI lineage: Eukaryota > Metazoa > Chordata > Mammalia > Primates > Hominidae > Homo > Homo sapiens. Next base: position 13,032,057 of record NC_000002.12, read on the forward strand.
TGACCATATTAAGAGAAAAAAATGATAAAACATTATGTGGTCATCATAATACATACACATAATTATTTGATACTATTCAGCACTTATTTATATTAAATTCTCAGTGAATTATCAACGAAAGAAAACTTCCTTAGTCTGATAAATGGTAGACTTCCCAAAAACAAAAACAAAAATAGAGCTTACATTATACTTGATGAAATGGCATATTATTTCCCCTGACAGTGGGAACAAGACAAGTATGTTCACTATTTTAGATTTTATTGGACAATGTACTAGAGTTAATAGCTAATGGAAAAAGACAAAAATACACATATAAAATTTGTAACTAAAAAGAGAATTTTTAATATCCACAGATGTAATGATTGTATATTTTGAAAACTCCAAATAATCTAAAATATTATAATTAATAGGTAAATTTAGCAAGATCGTTAGTTAAAAGGTCAATATAAAAATTAATTTTATTTGTAAAAATAGAAAATTAAAAGTAAAGTATAAAGATACATTTTGCAATAGCACAGAAAAACATCAACCTAATAATTCATGTAATAACATATGTAATGAAAACTGAAAAATATTACTGATATAAATTAGGGAAATCTAAAAACGTAATATATACATACATCTTCATGGAATGGAAGACTCAATATACTTTAGAGGTGTCTCTTCAAATAATCTAGAAGTTCTTTGCATTCCCAATCAAAATAATGTAGCTTATTTATTATAGAAATGGAAAAACTGATTCAATTCAATCTTGACAGAATATACTGAGACTCAAAGGATTAGAATAAGCACAGTAATACTGAAAAACAAAAGGTTGGAGAAATTTCATTACTAAATATCAAGCCATTATGAAGCTACAGGAATGTGGATAATATGCTATTGGTGTAAGGATGTATTAATACAGATATTCAAATTAAATATAATAAATAGAAATAATTGCTCAAAAAAGGCAAGGTATGGTATATATTCAGTGGTAGTGTTGGGCCAGTGGAATATCCATATTGGAAAAAGAGCAAATCTTGACCTTATCATGGTATACACAAAAATTAATTCAAGATAGAGCATACATACGAGCATATAAGGTAAATGTATGGAGTTTCTAGAAGAAAACAGGTAAGAATATCTTTAATCTAGGAGTAAGCAAACTTTTTTTCTAGCAGAATAAAGAAAGCACTAAACAAAAAAATAATAAAGCAGTTTTTATTAAAATTATTATATCTATTCATTAAAAGCCAATCATAAAAGTATAAAAAGTTGGCCCGGTGTGGTGGCTCACGCCTGTAATCCCAGCACTTTGGGAGGCCAAGGCGGGTGGATCACAAGGTCAGGAGATCGAGACCATCCTGGCTAACAGGGTGAAACCCCATCTCTACTAAAAGTACAAAATTTAGCTGGGTGTGGTGGCGGGCGCCTGTAGTCCCAGCTACTTGGGAGGCTGAGGCAGGAGAATGGCGTGAAATCGGGAGGCGGAGATTGCAGTGAGCCAAGATCGTGCCACTGCACTCCAGTCTGGGTGACAGAGCGAGACTCCATCTCAAAAAAAAAAAAAAAAAAAAAAAGTATAAAAAGTCAATCAGAGACTGAAAAGATACATATTTACATATTTGACAAATGATTCACATCCGGTATATAGGTTTAAGTAAATATAAATGCACATATACATGTGTTTATGCATATATATATATGTACATACATAAAATATGGGTAAACGCAAATAAAAAAGAAAATTTAATTTAAAAATTTTAAGAGAGGATATCTAATGCCCATATGAATATTGTTTTATTAATATGTTATATTTTATATAAAAACACTACAAATAAACATGAAAAAGACAGAAGATTCCATTTAAATAACACTTGGCAAAAATTTGAAAAGCTACTTACTAAAGAGAATTTTCAAATGGCCAATATGCATATGAAAACATATTCAAAATCATTAATCATGTGATTTTAAAAGATTAAAAACACAATGAGATGCCCATCATAATATTTATTATTTAAAAAACTGGCAACACTATATTTTGGTGAGGATACATAGCAAATAGAAATCTCATATATTGATATTATGGATGGAGGGAAAACGGCTGTAACCATTTTTGAAAACTCTCAGCTATCTTCTACAGCTACATAAAATAAAACTTATAATGCAGCAATTTCTCTCCTGAAACTTGTTCTCATATTCACAAATAGAACAGAAAAAAATGTTCAGAGCAGTGGAAACAGCCTGAATATCTATCACCTGTAGAATAGATCATTTATATTTTCTCACTGAAAAAGATATACAATTATGAAATACTATGTACTACTCCTACATGCAGCAATATGGATGAATCTTAGAAATACTGTAGAGTAACAAGGCCTCCAATGAAGAATAAATACCATATGATTCTATTTATGTGAAATTCACAACTATGGAAAACTAATCTAAGGTTAAAGAGCCAGGGTAGTGGGTAAATTTTGGAATGTCTGTGAGCAACTGTCGGGGTGCTGGAAATGTCCTAAGTTTTGATTTGTGAGGTAGTTTTATGGATGTACAGGTGTTTAACATTTATTGAGCTAATGCATACCGGGCTTCATACCTAGGTGATGGGTTGAGAGGTGCAGCAAACCACCATGGCACATGTTTGCCTATGTCACAAACTTGCACATCCTGCACATGTACCTGAGAACTTAAAATTAAAATTAAAATTAAATTAAATATTGAGTGGTTTGCCTAGGATTTTGACGCTTTACTGTTGATTTTATCCTCAATAAAAAGGGATGAGGGAAAACAGTGGCTTTCAAAGAGAGAGAGAGTTATCAACTGATTAAAAATGCTTCCTAAAATACAAATATGACAGACAGAAAAAGCCCTTAGATTTAATGAGAAGAGTTCAATGTTGATTTTAGAGAGAACAATTTGAGAGAAATACTGCGTTTGGTATGCAGATTGTGGAGTAGGAAGGAAGATGGTGGGTGAATGAGGTCAAGTCTCTTGGCCTTTATGGCTAAAAAAGGAAGGGAAAACATGGCAAGAGGCCTAAGGAATGATGGAAAGAAGATAGGGTTTTACTTGTTTGTTTTGTGTTGGAAATAATTGAGCATGTTTTTATTATTACATGCCTGTGGGAAGAGCCTGTATTAGTCAGGGTTCTCCAGAGGGACAGAACTAATAGGAGATTATATATATATATATGGTCTCTCTCTCTCTATATATATATCCATATATATATATACACACACACACACACACATATATATATATATATATTTGTCTTGTTCCCACTGTCAGGGGAAAATAACATATTTATGTGTGTGTGTGTGTGTGTATATATATGTGTGTGTATATATGTGTGTATATATGTATATATATATACACTCATATATACACACACATATATACACACACATATATATACACACACACACATATATATATATATATGGAGTTTATTAAGTTTTAACTCACACGATCGCAAGGTCCCACAATAGGCCATCTGCAAGCTGAGGACCAAGTCCCAAAATTGAAGAACTTGAAGGCCGACGTTCAAGGGCAAGAAGCATCCAGCGTGGAGAAAGATGTAGGCTGGGAGTCTAGGCCAGTCTTGCCTCTTCATGTTTTTCCTGCCTGCATTACATTGGCTGGCAGCTAATAGATGGTGCCCACCCAGATTAAAGGTGGGTCTGCCTTCTCCAGCCCACTGACTCAAATGTTAATCTCTTTTGGAAACACCGTCACAGAAACACCCATAATCAATACTTTGCATCCTTCAATCCAATCAAGATGACACTCAGTATTAACCATCAGAGAGCTTAAGGGAATAAAACATGTGGGAAGAAGTTACTTCTCAACTTTCCAGAATAGCTCTTAGAAGTGTAGGAGAGATTGGAGTCTCTTAAGTAGGTAGACTAAATTGGCTTTAACAGGAGAAAAACAGGAGGTGGAAAATAGAGTAGAAATTCTGAGGTTATGTGTGGGACTACAGACTTGTGGCAGAGAAGAATCACATATTACCTGGAAATTGAGAGGGGTCCACCCACCAAGTGTGTGAATGCGCAGGAGGGTGTTTAGTTAGTTAGATTTCTAAAGCCTCGTTCTGCTCAATCCCATGGGATTAAAGCTGTGGGGCTGATCCCGTAGTGTATATCAAAGGATTAGGAGCCAAAGGGTAACACACAATGAAAAATAGATGATTTGAGTTTATCATTTGAACAAATAGAAAAAACATAATGCTTAAAAAAATTGAGAATTAAGATCCTGCAGAGGCACAGGGAATTATTAAGTGAAATTACACACTCTTTTATGTGGACTATGTAACTGATAAATTTATGTAGAAACAGATTATCATCAAAAGAAGAAATTATCATTCTAAAAATCTGAATAAAACAGCTCCACACAAGTATAAAGGGTGATTATTAAATAAGCTGTTCTAAACTAAACTAAAAATGCTTAATTTTGATTAATGAGTCAATCATGAAAGTTTTTTTCTGGTCAGCTGAATTCAAGGCTTGGGTATTTATCCCAACCTCTCTAAGCTCTATCTGAGCACAATTCTTTTGCCCCAAAATCTACAACTTAACGAGGGAGATGACATATTAATAGGAAACTGCAATTCAACTTAATAACAACTTTGATAAAAGGCATTATTGGTTACAATGAAAACACTGAAGGGCAATGAGTCCAATTTGATTGTTAGGTCAGAGTTTCTCAAAGAGGTTTCACATAAGCTGTATGATGAAAGATATATCATAACTGACAGCACAGAAAAAAAACAGATTGTTGGAAACAGTTAACTCAAAGTACTGATGGGGAGCATTCTTTTCCACTTTGTAAAAGTGCATGCATCCCCTGACAAAGGTTCCTACTGCAAGAGCTATCTCCAGCCAGGCAAACGGGATACAGGCGAAAAAGGATAAATAAACACCCCCAGCACTAACAGTGAGTCTGTTCTTCAAGAAGCGTTCATTATGTTAGAGCTGAGAGTAGAAAAACAGGGTTCACAGTTTTCCAAGTTCACAGGCTGCTGACTTGTTCGTCTTTGTTTTAGTCGGCGATCATAAGAATTCTATCAAATTCTACCCAGTGTAAACAGGAATCAAAATATGCCTAATATTGAAAGCATTTTTTAAAAAAATAAATTATTTAGGCCGGGTATGGTGGCTCATGCCTGTAATTCCGGCACTTTGGGAGGCCAAGATGGGCGGATCACTTGAGGTTGGGAGTTCGAGACCAGACTGACCAACATGGAGAAACCCCATCTCTACTAAAAACACGTAATTAGCCAGGCGTGGTGGCACATGCCTGTAATCCCAGCTACCCGGGGAGGTAGAGGCAGGAGAATCACTTGAACTCGGGAGGCAGAGGTTTCAGTGAGCCAAGATTGCACCATTGCACTCCAGCCAGGGCAACAGAGCAAGACTCCATCTCAAAAAATATATAAATAATAATAATAATGAAATAAAATAAAAAATAAATTATTTAAACTCAACCTAAGTAAACCAATTCTATAACATTTTCTGAACTATTAACTGTGCTGGCTTTGGAATGCGGAGGTCACAGAGCGTAGCAAAACCGCAGCTCCAGATTTCAGAGCATTTCCAAGTTATCCTTCTCTTTGGAGTGAGGACAATGATAATCGGGAAATGTTGAAGAAATAAGAAGAAGACAAGAAAACCACTGAATTCTCAAAGGGCTAACACAGAATTCTGAAAGGGCTAAAAAGTTTCATTTAAGAAGTAGCATTTGTATTAAATGTTACCAAAACATGTCTTATGTATTTTTGCTTAATGGATATTTGACGTCTATGCATTATGCAAATGTGGTCATGTGTGAACAGGAAGGAAATTTTCTTATTTGTGTCACAAGGAAATTCAGCCAATATTCACTTTAGTTATTTCAGAGCAACACTTGCAATCCTTCTAAATATGAAACACCAAATAATGTATGTATTTATTCCCATACTCTGAGGGAGACTGAATATGAATAATTGGGTCTCACATTGGAATAATTGAATTCTAAATTAAAAGAACTTTACAGTAATAAATGAGTCTAATAAAATAGTTATTTTGAACCATCTATTTTTAAAGAATGCTTGGGGTATTGCTGATATGTGTAACAGGAAGAACTTTTGAAATTTTGCCCAAGGCATAGGATTGTAATGATTTTTCAAGGACCTCAATATCCATAAACATTAATGATCCTATAGAACAGCCTGGACTCCTTAGTCCAGTCAAAAGATAATAGACTTTGTCTTCATAAGTATGAGTTTAAATGCATACACCTTCACTTACTAGCCTACTACTTTGGGCAATGTATTAACCTCTATGAGTCTCGTTCTTAAATTGTAAAAGGCACATAATATACATTGAAGGATTAATATGAAGACTATAAATAATATGTTACCACCATGTTCCTGACCCTGCCAGTGTGTATCAATATCACATTTTCTTTAATACTCTAATGATACTAGTTCTATCTTGCCAAATTAACAGAAACTCTAGTCTCTTTCCCAAAGCGCAATGCCCTCAATATTTCTGAGAATCCCTAAGTTTGCCTATACTTGTCCATACGTCAGACATTCTTATTGTTTCTTTGTTGCCACTTGTCAAAAATGCAGACTCTGATAAAGTCTTGCAATAGGACCCAGTTGCCAGATCGTCTTTTACCAGAAAAATTCATTATTTAGTCTCAGGTCAAATCCAGCTGCTAGTTCACCAGATTTTGTGGGATGCCAGTGCCTCTGATCCTAGTGGTGAAGCTCTAGCAGCCTGCAATGATCTGGCTGTTACTATGCTATTCACTTCCACTGGTGCCTCTTACAAATCTGATTATTTACTCAGGTTCTATCAGTTCTCAAGCTATAAGAATTCTATCACGACTAAACTGCCGAGGCCCTAAGTGGATTTTTAAAAATTTGATGTGTTCCCTCAATTACTAATATACTTTGCATCTATAGATTTGCCTATTCTGGATGTTTCCTATTAGCAGAATCCTACAATACATGGTTCTCTGTAACCAGTTTCCTTACTTCGGAATTTGGATAAACGTTTAAATGTTTCATCTAAGAAACCACTGCTTAATCCAAGGTCACAAATATCCCAATGTTTTCTTCTGAGAGTTTATAGTTTTATCTCTTCTATTAAATTCTTTAATGCATTTTAAGTTAGTTTTTACATGTTGTATGAAGTAGGTATCAACTTCATTCTTTTGTATGTGGATACCCAGTTATCCCAGCACCATGTGCTGGAAATACTACTTTCTCCTTGTTTCCCTGTGGAATATGCTGTCAAAAATCCATTGATTGTAAATGGGAAGGGTGAATTATGGACCCTCAGTGCTTTGCCGTTGATCTGCATATTGATCCTGATGCCACTGCTACACTGTCTTTATTATTGTAGCTTTTTGGTACGTTTTGAAATAGCAAAGTGGAATCCTCCTACTTTGTCCTTCTGTTTCAACATTGTTTTGGCTACTCTTGGTCACTTGAATTTATATATGAATTTTAGAATAAGCTTGTCAATTTCTGCAAAAGTTCAGCTAAGATTTTGATAGGAATTACATTGAGCATATAGATGAATTTGAGGAGTATTGCTGTCTTAAAATTATTAAGTCATCTCATCCATGAATATAGGATATATTTCCGTTTATTTAGTTTTCCTTTAATGACTTCAAACAATATTTTTAGTTTTCAGAGTATAAGCTTTGCACTTCCTTTGTTAAACTTATTCTCTTGGATGCTATTTTAAAGAAATTGTTGGAGCAGCCAAGACGGCCGAATAGAAATGGCTTTGCTCTGCAGCTCCCACCAAAAAGGATAAAAACAGTGAGTGAATTCTGCATCTTCAGTTGAGGTACCAAGGATCGCTCATGAGAACCAAGTGGTTATGGCGACCCACGGAGAGCGAGGAAAAGGAGGGTGGAGCAAGGGCTCACCTGGGAGCTGCACGAGGCAAAGGGAGCTCCTTCTTCCAGCCAAGGGAGGCGGTGAGGGATTTTGCTCCTTCTCCCTGAAAACCCCACTTTTCCCACAGATCTGGCTGGAGGAGATCCCTCCTGATTTGCAACCTGCAAATCAGGCGGTCCCCTTGTGAGCCCACACCAACCAGGATTCTTGGCTCCCAAGCATAGAGCAGTGCAGACTCTTGGCGGCTGCTCAGGTAGGCGGCGGCTGGAGCAGGCACTGAGACCCCGAGTTTCCCAGGGGGCAGGGACAGCCACCATCACTGCGCCTCTAGTCGGCTGTTTTCCCCTGCCGCCAGCGCCAGCGCGGTTTGTACTGGGAGCAATTCCCCACAGTGCAGCACAGCGGCTGGGGCAGTTCGTGGCTGGACTGTTTCCTTAAGCAGGACCCTGATCCACTCCCCCTCACTGGGTGGGACCTCCCTGCAGGAAATTCAGCATCCCCAGGCAGGCATTTATGAACAAAACTCTGATATCCCTGAGAGGAGCCCCTAGGAGGAGGTGCAGCTGCAGTATCATGAATCTTAGTCTTATCTGCCTGCTTACTGGCTCTGGAGAGTCAGGGCAGCCCAGGCAATGGCGCAGCACACCTGCTCCAACTAGGGGCAGTCAGATTGCTTATTTAAGCAGGTCCCTGATCCCTGTCCTCCTGACTGGGTGAGACCTCCCAACAGGAGTCTCCAGACACCTCATACAGGAGCGTTCCAGCTGGCATCAAGTCTGTGCCCCTCCGGGACAGAGCTCCCAGAAGAAGGAGCAGGCTGCCATCTTTGCTGTTCTGCAGCCTCTATTAGTTATATTTTCAGGAGCAGGAGGGACGCAGGAAAACAGGGTCTGGAGTGGACCCTCAGCAAACTGCAGCAGCCCTATGGAAAAGGGCATTGACCGCTAAAAGAAAAACAAAGAGAAAGCAACAACAACAACAACAACATCAATGAAAAAGACCCCACAAAAACTCCATCCAAAGGTCAGCAGCCTCAAAGATCAAAGGTAGATGAACCCAAGAAGATGAGAAAGAATCAGTGTAAAAGTGCTGAAAACTCTAAAAGGCAGAGTGCCTATTCTCCAAATGATCACAACACATCTCCCTCAATGGCACAGAACTGGGCTGAGGTTGAGATGGTTGAACTGACAAAAGTAGGCTTCATAAGATGGGTAATAATGTACTTCACTTAGCTAAAGGAGTACGTTCTAACTTATTGCAAAGAAGCTAAGAACCATGATAAAACATCAGAGGAGTTGTTAACCAGAATAACCAGTTGAGAGAGGAACATAGATAACCTGAAGGAGCTGAAAAACACAACGTGAGAACTTCACAATGCAAACACAAATATCAATAGCCGAATAGACCAAACTGAAGAAGGGATATCAGAGCTTGAAGACTATCTTGCTGAAATAAGGTAGGCAGACAAGATTAGAGAAAAAATAATGATAAGGAATGCATAAAACCTCCAAGAACTATGGCATTGCATTAAAAGACTGAACTTACAGCTGATAGGGGTACCTGAAAGAGACAGGGAGAATAGGACCAAGTTGGAAAACACACTTCAGGACATTATCCAGGAAAACTTCCTCAACCTGGTAAGATAGGGCAACATTCAAATTCAGGAAATTCAGAGAACCCCAGTAAGATACTCCATGAGACGATCAACCCCAAAACACATAATCATCAGATTCTTCAAGATCAAAATGAAGGAAAAAATGTTAAGGGCATCCAGAGACAAAGACCGGGTCACATATAAATGGAAGTCCATCAGACTAACAGCAAACCTCTCAGTGGAAATCCTACAAGCCAGAAGAGATTGGGGTCCAATATTCAACATTCTTTAAAAAAGAATTTCCAACTTAGAATTTTATATCCAGCCAAACTAAGCTTCATAAGCAAAGGAGAAAATAATCTTTTTTTTTTTTTTTTTTTTTTTTCTGAGATGGAGTTTCTCTCTTGTTGACCAGGCTGGAGTGCAATGGCATGATCTCGGCTCACTGCAACCTCTGCCTCCCAGGTTCAAGTGATTCTCCTGCCTCAGCCTCCCAAGTAGCTGGGATTACAGGTGCTCACCACTATGCTCAGCTAATTTTTGTATTTCTAGTAGAGACAAGGTTTCACCATGTTGGCCAGGTTGGTCTCGAACTCCTGACCTCAGGTGACACCCACCTCGGCCTTCCAAAGTGCTGGGATTACAGGCATGAGCCACTGTGCTGAGCCCGAAATAAAATCTTTTTTAGACAAGCAAATGGTGAGGGAATTCATCACCCCTAGGCCTGCCTTGCAAGATCTCCTGAAGGAAGCACTACATATGAAAAGGAAAAACCATTACCAGCCACTACAAAAATACACTGAAGTACACAGGCCAATGACACTATGAGGCAACTACATAAACAAGTCTGCAAAATAATCAGCTAACATCATAATGACAAGATCAAATTCACATATAAACAGTATTACCCTCAAATGTAAATTATCTAAATGCCCCAATTAAAAGACACAGAATAGCAAGCTTGATTAAGAGTCAAGATCCATCAGTAGCCTTTATTCAAGAGACCCATTTCACATGCAAAGACCACACATAGACTCAAAATAAAAGGATGGAGGAAAATTTACCAAGGAAATGGAAAACAGAAAAGGCAGGGTTTGCAATCCCAGTTTCCAACAAAACAGACTTTAAGCCAACTACGATAAAAAAAAAAAAAAGACAAAGAAAAGCATTACATAATGGTAAACTGGTCAATTCAACAAGAAGAACTAACTATCCTAAATATGTATACACCCAATACAGGAGCACTGAGATTCATAAAACAAATTGTTAGATGTACAAAAAGACTTAGACTCCCACACAATAATAGTGGGAGACTTTAACAATCCAATGTCATTATTAGATAGATCAGCGAGACAGAAAATTAAAGATATTCAGGATTTGAACACACCTTTGGATCAAGCAGACATGATAGATATCTACAGAACTCTCCACCCCAAAACAACAGAATATACATTCTTCTCAGGACCACATGGCACTTGCTCTAAAATCAATTATATATTTGGAAGTAAATCACTCATCAGCAAATGCAAAAGAACTGAAAACATAACAGTCTCTCAAGCCACAGTGCAATTAAATTAGAACTCAAAATTAAGAAACTTACTCAAAACCACAAAACTATATGAAAATTGAACAACCCGTTCCTGAATGATTCCTGGGTAAATAATGAAATTAAGGCAGAAATCAAGGAGTTCTTTGAAACCAATGAGAACAAAGAGCAATGCACCAAAATCTCTGGGACACAGCTAAGCAGTGTTAAGAGGAAAATTTATAGCACTAAATGCTCACATCAAAAAGCTAGAAATATCTCAAACTGATGCCCTAACATCACAACTAAAAGAACTAGAGAACCAAGATCAATCAAACACCAAAGCTAGCAGAAGACATGAGAAAACCAAGCTCAGAGAAGAACTGAAAGAAATAGAGACACAAAAACTCCTTCAAAAAACAATAAATTCAGGAGCTGGTTTGTTGAAAAAATTAATAAAATAAATAGACCACTAGCTAGACTAATAAAGAATAAAAGAGAGCAGAATCAAATAGACACAATGAAAAATGATAAAAGAAATATTACCGCTGACCCCACAGAAATACAAACAACCATCAGAGAATACTATAAACATCTCTATGCAAGTAAACTAGAAAATCTAGAAGTGGATAAATTCCCAGACACATACACCCTCCCATGACTTATCCGGGAAGAAGTGGAATCCCTGAATAGACCAATAAAAAGTTTTGAGATTGAGGCAGTCATAAATAGCCTACCAACCAAAAAAAAAAAAAAAAAAAAAAAAAGCCGAGGACCAGATAGATTTACAGCTGAATTCTATCAGAAGTACAAAGAGGAGCTGATACTCTTTCTTCTGAAAATATTCCAATCAATTGAAAAGGAGGGACTCCTCCCTAACACATTCTATGAGGCCAGCATCATCCTGATACCAAAACCTGGTGGAGATACAACAGAAAAAACAAACAAACAAACAAACAAAACTTTAGGCCAATATTCCTGATAAACATCAATGCAAAAAATTCTCAATAAAATATTGGGAAACCAAATACAGCAGCACATCAAAAAACTTATTCACACAGTCAAGTTGGCTTTATTCCTAGGATGCAAAGCTGGTTCAATCTATGCAAATCAATAAATGCATCACATAAACAGATCTGAAGACAAAACCTCTTGATTATCTCAATAGATGCAGAAGAGGCGTTCAATAAAATTCAGCATCACTTCATGTTAAAAACTCTCAATAAACTAGATATTGAAGGAACATACCTCAAAATAATAAGAGCCATTAATGGCAAACCCACAGCCAATATCATACTGAACGGACAAAAACTGGAAGCATTCCCCTTGAAAACTAGCACAAGACAAGGATGTCCTCTCTCACCATTCCTATTCAACACAGTGTTGGAAGTTCTGGCCAGGGAAATCAGGCAAGAGAAAGAAATAAAGGGTATTTCAATAGGAAAAGATGAAGTCAAATTATCTTCATTTGCAGATGACAAGATCTGTATCTAGAAAACCCCATAATCTCAGCTCCAAACCTTCTTAAGCTGATAAGCAACTTCAGCAAAGTCTCAGGATACAAAATCAATGTGCAAAAGTCACAAGAATTCCTATACACCAACCACAGGCCAGCAGAAAGCCAAATCATGAATGAACTCCCATTTATAATTGCTACAAAGAGAATAAAATACCTAGGAATACAGCTAATAAGTGAAGCGAAGGGCTTTTCAAGAACTACAAACCACTGCTCAAGGAAATCAGAGAGGATGAAAACAAATGGAAAATATTCCATGCTCACGGATAGAAAGAATCAATATCGTGAAAATGGCAATACTGCCCAAAGTAATTTATAGATCCAATGCTATTCCCATTAAACTATAATTGACAATCTTCACAGAATTAGAATAAACTATTGTAAAATTAATATGGAATCAAAAAAGAGCTTGTATAGCCAAGATAATGCTAAGCAAAAAGAACAAAGCTGGAGGCATCATGTAACCAGACTTCAAACTATACTACAAGACTACCGTATGAAACAGCATGGTACTGGTACAAAAGCAGACACATAGACCAATTGAACAGAGTAGAGAACTCAGAAATAAGACCACACATCTACAACCATCTGATCTTTGACAAACCTGACAAAAACAAGCAATGGGGAAAGGATTCCCTATTTAATAAATGGTTCTGGGAGAACTGGCTAGCCATATGCAGAAAATTGAAACTGGACCCCTTCCTAACACCTTATACAAAAATTAACTCAAGATGGATTAAAGACTTAAATGTAAAACCCAAAACTATAAAAATCCTAGAAGAAAATCTAGGCAATACCATTCAGGCATAGTCATGGGCAAAATTTCATGACAAAAATGCCAAAAGCAATTTCAACAAAACCCAAAATTGATAAACGGAATAGAATTAAACCAAAGAGCTTCTGCAGCAAATCAAACTATCATCAGAGTGAACAGGCAACCTTCAGAATGGGAGACAATTTTTTTAATCTATCCATCTGACAAAGGTCTAATATCCAAAATCTACAAGGAACTTAAACAACTTTACAAAAAAACAAACAATACCATCAAAAATTGGGCAAAGGGTATGAACAGACACTTCTCAAAAGAAGACATTCATGCAACCAACAAACTTATGAAAAATAGCTCAACATCACTGATCATTAGAGAAATGCAGTTCAAAACCACAATGAGATATCATCTCATGCCAGTCACTATGGTGATTATCAAAATGTCAGGAAACGATAGATGCTGGCGAGGCTGTGGGAAAATAGGAATTCTTTTACACTGTTGGTGGGAATGTAAATTAGTTCAACAATTGTGGTAGATGTGTGGCAATTCCTCAAGGATCTAGAACCAGAAATACCATTTGACCCAGCAATCCCATTACTGGGTATATACCTAAAGGAATATAAGTTTGCCTACTTTCTACTTCAAAGTATTTGTGGAAAGAATGTGACAGATCAACAGATAAATACATTTTGAAAATGACTGGACTGGGTAGTCTTTCAGTCCTTCTATCCTGACATTGTAAGGTCCATAATGACAACAGGTATAGTAACTTGAGTTAACAAAGGTTTTCATATGCAGGGACTTGATGGGATTCATCACAACCTTGCAAATAATGTTCTGTAGCAAAAAGTCATTCAATTTTGAATGAGAAGATCTGGGTATACAACGTGATTCACCATTAGGAGGTATATTAGTCAAAACATGGAAAATATTTAAGCCTTATTATCCTTTTTTATAACTTGGGATCTGTAAGACTGCTTTGTGAATTTCACTGTGTTATTATGAAGATTATTATAATAACATATGGGACATTTCTTTGTAAACCATAATATGGCCATGAAAATATTAGTGTTTTTATATCTCTTGCTATTGTTATCTCAATCTTTTCTATTCAATTTTTCATAGAAGAATTTAAGTCTTCACCTAAGATCACAGCATTAAGATTTATTTTTGAGTTTGTCCAGTGAAGTACTCTTTCCTCATAAAATAATACATTTTGATGACATTAAGAAAAAAAAACCCAGAAGAAGCTACCATTAATATTACCATGTTTTGACTTAGTATTTATAAGGAAACATAATTTCTAAATAAGTAAAAATATATTTGGTATGATTTATTTAAATTTCATATTGAACATTTATTTATGATTCTTCACAAGTATTTCTGATATTCTCGTTTTCACCAGAAGAGGCCACTATGACCAAACTTTCTGAATTTATTATCAATTTGAACAATTCCATTTAGTTTAGAAAATTGTTATGCATGTCAAAAGTCAATGATCAGGAGTAAGTCTTTTTCCTCTTTAAGCTCCTTTTGAAAAGCAGCCTTCCAACTGAGAGTAGTAAACATATACATTCTTCCCTCTGATTTCTTGTAAAAAGCCACAGTTTTAAAGGTTGATAGACATAGATTCAAGTCTTAGTTCTACCACAGAGACAAACTGCTTAACCTTGGCAAATAGCTTAAACTTGTTCACTTTTCTAAAAAGAAAATAATGATATCTAGCTTTTTTTTAAAGATTAAATAAGCTATGATTACTAAATTACTTAAAACAGTGGCTTAACACAAATGAACAAATACTAGTTCCGGTTACTCTAGAATGTCTGGTATATCCTTTGTCAGCAAGCAGTTTTTAACGGATCCTAAAATGCTTTAGGTATTTTTACGTGAAAATGAAAAAAATGAATGGAAGATCAATTTCAAGAATGTTTACGAGGTTAATATGCGGAAGTTTGAATAGTTGATGAGGGGAGATTATGAATTTATTTGTTTTTTTTCTATAAAGTACATAATTTCACAGTGGCTCATGCATGTGACCCTAGCACTTTGAGAGGCAGAGGTGGGCAGATCACTTGAGGTCAAGAGTTCAAGACCTGCCTGGGTAATATGATGAAACCCCATCTCTACCAAAAATACAAAAATTAGCTAGGTGTGGTGGCATGCACCTGTAATCCCAGCTACTTGGGAGGCTGAGGTGGGAGAATTTGCTAGAACCTGGAAGGCAGAGGTTGCAGTGAGCCAAGATCGCACCACTGCACTTCAGCCCAGCGAGAGAGCAAGACTCTATTTCAAAAAAAAAAAAAAAAATCTTTTAAAATAGCATATATTACTTTGGAACTATAAAATATTAAAATTAATGAACAATAACAACACACTGTGCTTTAGATACTTTTTCTACTTCTGTAATCATTTAGCACATAGCTGTATGTAAAACAAACTAAAATACTAAAAGAAATGCTCATTTGTAGCCTGTCAGTATGGACCCATGCTATCCTTTTGGGTTAGAGCTATTGAATGTTTTTCTTTTTATTGTATCATAAGAAAATGTTAATAGAATATGGTTACAATGGAAAAATAATTATTCAGAACTTAAAACATAGGTGAAGAAAACCTCTGAAGAGGAGTCCTTTTGGAATACCATCAGTGGTAAATATGAGAAACTTACCATAATGACTTTTCTAAAATATGTAAATCTCCACAATATGTTCTGATTTTCTGAAGATCAAGCCAAAAAAATAGAATAATTATACTTCAGTGATTATTTTAATGACTTATAGATAGAAATTTAATGACTTATAGACAGCTGTGCAATTTTCACAAGGTTAAACCGTATCGATAGTGTGGTTCAAGTTAAATATTTTTCCTTTCAATATAAAAATCTCTCATGCTTATATAGAGCTTTTCAAAGACTTGTGCATTTATCACACTTGTCATAAAATCACTTACATAAATAGAACATTTAAAATAAAGGATCTCACAATATCCGTTTTTAAATAGGTTGAAATTAAAATTTGTCACGTAATTTTCATCTGCTTGTTTATTAACAGCATAAAGAAGCCGTGCAACCCAACATAAGAATTTCAGCTCTACATGATACTTCTCTGTGCCCACTTATTGCCTTACTCAATTTGAGGTAACACTTTTCAGAACCTTGTATTAAATCACTTTTTTGTTTCCTTGTCTGAAGGGAAACATATTTCTAGTCTACATCATGCAAATATAAGTAATAATATTCAACTTATTCCTTAAGGCCGTCTTTAACACTGTATTATTATCAATAGTTGTATAAAATGTAGAATATAACAGTTCTAAACACAATACTAGAAAACCAAACCTACATAGAAGACCGAGTTCATCATGACCAACTTACCTTTATTCCAGATAAAGTGATGATTCAATATTAGAAAATAAAATTTACTACTGTATTAGTCCATTTTCACACTGCTGATAAAGACATACCCCAGACTGGACAATTTACAAAAGAAAGAGGTTTTCTGGATTTACAGTTCCACATGCCTTGGGAGACCTCAGAATCATGGTGGAAGGTGAAAGGCACATCTCACATGGCAGCTGACAAGAGAAGAGAGCTTGTGCAGAAAAACTCTCGTTTTTAAAACTATCAGATCTCATGAGACTTATTCAATATCATGAGAACAGCATGGTAAAGACCCTCCCCCCACCCCATGATTCAATGATCACCTACCAGGATTCCCCCATGACACATGGGAGTTGTGGGAATTACAATTCAAGATGAGATTTGGGTGAGGACACAGTTAAACCATATCAACTGCATTCAAAATGAAAGAAGAAATTACAATGATGTCAATAAATAAAAGAAGATTGATATAAATGTAACATAAATTTACAAAAACACTATTAGAAGTTTAGGAATGTAAAAAGTCTTGCCCAACTTGACAAAGGGCATCTATGTTTAAAAACTTTCTAAAATACTACCATAAATAGGCAAAGTTTTTGGAAAGCATTCCTTTAAACATCAGGAAAAAGGCAAAAATTTCCACTTTACTCACAACAATTCAACATTGTTCTGTAGATCCTAATCAATCAATAAAATAATTATAAAATTTGAATTGTATGAATTAAAACTGTGATTACAAATCATAGTGATTGCAAATCACTAAATTGTCTAATAGAAAACCCAGAGCACTAAAAACATAATAGTAACAATAAATATCAGAGACTATCAAGATAGCTAAATTTAATTAGTAATTATGAATTCATAAATATGATTAAAAAGAGATACCATTTATAATAGCAGTAGAGCATCAAAGATTAAAGCCAGTAAATTATAAATACAATTTAAGAAATAATAAATTATTTAAGAAGAATATGATATTACATTTAAAGAAACCAACATAATTGGAAAAATCTTATAACAATAAAGAGAAATCATTACTTTCCCCCATAATAAGGGCTAGATTTTATCCAATTTCAATGAAAACATTAACAAATAATTTAAATTTGAGAAGATGATTTTAAAAGTTACATAGGAAAACAAATGTTTAGGAGCAACCATGGCTTTGTTGTAAAAGAAAAATTAGAAAAAAAGTAATCGTGCTATCATTTATCAAATCTTATATAGACATATTAATTAAGGCACTGTGAAAATAGAAGTAGGATAAACAAAATAAGCAATAAAAAGAAGACAAATAAGAATCCCAGAAATAGACCCAAACATTTATGAATATTTTATATAAATGGCATTACTAAGATAAGAAGGAAATATTTAATAATGCTGCTGGGAAAAGTTGATAATTTAGATAGAAAAATAAAATTATGTCCCCACAAGACACACACACACACACACACACACACACACACACACACACACACACCAGATAGATTTAAAACTGAAATGTGAAAGGCAAATTCTTCAAATCTGAGAAGATAATCACAATGACCTTTGGGTTACATGACTCAAAAAATATTAACTATAAGGAAAAGGAACATTTCAGAAAATTTAACTATATTAAAATGGAAAAGAGGTTTTTTATTAAAAGAAAGAAAAACTCAACTTACAAACTGAAATAAAATAGCTGAAATACATATAAATAATAAATGATTAATATTACAAGCATATAGGAGGATTTAAAAAATTAAAAAGTTATTAAAAATATGACATAATATAAAATCTTAAAAAAAGGAGCAAAGAAATAAGCAGATATCATGCCTATGGAGGCAGGCTTAAAAAACATTAAAAGGTGTTCAGCCTCTTAAGTAGTTATGGAAATGAAATTAATGCTGTTATGAAATAGCTTTTTATACTCATACAATGACAATAAAATACAATATCTTATACTATTATGTTTTTGTGATCATATGGATTGATGAGTAATACAACAGAATGCTGATGGGAATGTAAGTTGGTACAACATCCATTGTACAGTTGGGTACAATTTTTTAAGGCAATTTTACAGTTTTGTAAAACAGTTTAGTATCATGTTATAACACAGAACAGTCACTTAGGCTGTGACTCAGCAATTCAATTTATTTGTGCATTATCTAGAGACAAAATATTGTGTGTATTTTTGTATATGTAGAACTATATATACATACACAAAAAGTGTCATTATGGCATTATTTATAATAGCAAAATTGTTGTTTGACAGAAGAATTGATAAGTGATATGATATAGTCACCCAATGGATATTATATAGCAGTCAAAATAAATGAACAACTACACACAGCTACATGAATAAGCTTTTTGTAGAAGACAGCATGATGCAATTTTTAGAAACCTCAAACACAAATACAACTGACTGCATTGTTTTTACATATGAAAGGGAGAGATGACTTATATTAAGGATATTATAAACAAAGTTTAGAATTTTGATTGTTTTGGGGAAGGGAGGAGGTAAAAGGAAGAGCTAGCAAAAAAGGATATAAGAAAGTGAAAGTATTTGATATTGTTCTAGCTCTTATTAAAATGCTAGGTTCACAGTTAAATGATCGATTCAATCAATTATTTTAATTTATAATGAACATACATATTCAAATGAATATACCTTTATTATTTGCATCTATTCTATATATATAATGCACAATTTTTAACTTTAAACAAATGAAAGCATGTGAATATTGAGAATTTGAATATATTTATGAAATATTGAGAATTTTTTTTTTTGAGACGGAGTCTCGCTCTATTGCCAGGCTGGAGTGCAGTGGCACGATCTTGGCTCACTGCAACCTCCACCTCCAGGGTTCAAGCGATTCTCCTGCCTCAGCCTCCTGAGTAGCTGGGGCTACAGGTGCATATCACCAGGCCTAGCTAATTTTTGTACTTTTAATAGAGACGGGGTTTCACCATGTTGTCCAGGATGGTCTCGATCTCTTGACCTCGTGATCCGCCCTCCTCGGCCTCCCAAAGTTCTGGGATTACAGGTGTGAGCCACTGTGCCTGGCTCCAAATATTTAGAACTTGAACAATATTTATCAACATCAAACTACATGAGAGCCATTATTTTATTTTCCTGTTTTCCCTATTTTTGATTGACTTTGTTGAGAGTTTTCAGCATATTTCCTTGTTTCATATACTGTTGTCAAATAGGATAAACTGTTTCAGACACAAAAGCTGTGTCAAATAGCTTGAGCATGAATTTTGTAGTATTTGTTAGATTACTCTTAAAATTGTCTTTGTTTTGGACAGCTGGGTATTTAAAATTTTAAGAATTCATCATATAAGCTGGAAATATGACATTTGTAAATATGTTAGGAAATAATCACCCCAATTCATAGAAATACCATAATAATTAAAAACACATCTGATAAAGCACAACTTAATCATAATGGTAAATCTGTAAGAAAATAACATGCTATTTTCTTATTTGGATGGGTTACTGTACAAACAAATATTAAGCTATGACAAAATGCCAGACACACTCACGTGGACCTTGCCTGGTGGATTATGCAGTAGTGTGCACCTTAACTGTTAGTCTGCCTCATTGGTACAATTAAACAAGAGTAGACATGTTCAGACTTAAAACAAAAAGTAGTTATAGAATATCCACAACTTTTAAAATCAGAACACAATTTCAAGGAATTCAGATATATGCAGCTGTGTTAACAGGAGCCTTATTCTGCATCAATCAATTGGTATATTAATGATATCAATTGATTATATAAATCAATTGATAAAATCATTCCCATAATTGAAATCATTGATGTTCTCTAACATGTCCATATTTATGATATCATAATGTAAATATACATATTGCATATTAGTTTGAAAAGAGATCAATAATGAATACAATTCAAATACGATTTTCAGAATTCTCTTTCTTTTCTGAAGAACATGAGGATCTTGGTTAAAGCCACAGAATGCTGCTTGGCTGCAGCCAGGGTTAATTGGAGGAGCTTCTATCCGTGAGCCTGAGGCTAACACGTTGAAGTCGGACTGGTGGAGTTAGTTTCCTCAGCTCATACTCTGAAGGAGGTGAGAGACTTGAAGATCACACTATCCTGGTCATATAGCCTTGTTCATGCTGGGGCCACACAAATTTATACATTTTGCAGGAATATACTTGTAGGACCATACTCATTTATTTGGAGGATAAATCCTTGTAGGAATATACTTGTAGGAATCCTTGTAGGAATATACTCATTTATCTGGTAAATATACTCATTTATCAGGTAAAAAACAGAGGGAATGCTAGTTTGGAAATATTGATATAGTTGTTAAATCCATGCTTAAAATGAGTCTATTTGCCCATGGAAATGCTTATTGAAGCTTGCTGTCTATAGCCAAATATTGAAGAGAATCATGAGCTTTAATAACTATAGTAAACTGTCTCCTATTTCAACGAGGTTTTTAAATTTTTTTAAACATCTACTACATGCCCGTCACTATTTCTTTTCTTTCAGAGAAGTTCATGCTCTAATATAGTATACTTAAGAAAAACCACGTATTCCATTTAAAGGTCTTTTATGTTAACTTTTACGTTTTCTTTAATTATATTGAAAGGATGCAGTACCTGACAAGTTGTAAATAGTGACATCGAACAATAACATTACTATTTTAATAGTATTTAATGGAACATAAAGCTTATAATAATTTGATATCCACCGTCCTTCATTTAAAAGTAGATGAGCAAGCTCTTCTTTAACACAGACAACTTTCATTTTCTTTTTCTCTTTGAACTCATATTTCAATTTTACTTTCTCCCCATATTTCAATACTCATGTAGCATATAAGTTTGTAAGTCTTTTACTGATAACTTCATCATACCTATCGAAATTAAAATGAGTGTATTCATTGAGATTTTTACATTTGTTTTGTTTCCTGAGATGTTGTACGTTATAATAATATTTTTGGATTGGGTTAAAGTATTATTATAATTACTATTATTATCAATAATAGTAATTATTAACATATTTACAGTTTAAAATATTTAACATATTTACAGTTTAAAGATGGAATTTATATGTGATATAATTTTATAATTATGAAACAAATCTATTTCTTAATGACATAAAACATTATCAAAAATTGCATTTAAAAAAGAATACAGCAAAAAAATTAATTTTTGAGAATTATCAAGTTATTTTTTTGGAAGTAGAAAAGATAATCGTATTTAAGAAAAAATAAAATGAGAATTGACTATAATTGGAAAAACTTTTATGATACGATTTGAATTTTTTGACTACCTTATTGAATAATCCACAGTGAATCTGAAAATAATAACATAGAAAGTTTGTCCTTATATATTATCTAATATAATGTAAAAATGTAAAAGTCCCAGAAAACTTTCTAGTTATTTGGTTGGCGCAAAAGTAATTGTGGCAAAAATTGCAATTACTTTTGCACAAATCTAATACATTTAAAAATCCACACGACTAACATATTTCTACTTTGGCAAGGCAGATCTGTTTTGGTTTTCCTCTGATACGATTTGGATCTCTGTCCCCGCCCAAATCTTATGTTGAATGGTAATTCCCAGTGTTGGAGGTGGGGCCTGGTGGGAGATGATTGGATCATGGGGGTGGTTTAGCACCATGCTTTTGCTGCTATTCTCCTGATAGAGTTCTCATGAGATCTGTTTGTTCATATGTGTGTGGCACCTACCCCCTCTGTCTCTTCCTCCTGCCCTGCCTTTTAATGGGTTCCTGCTCCCACGTCACCTTCTGCCATGATTGAATGTTTCCTGAGGCCTCCCCAGAAACAGGTGTTACCGTGCTTTCCATATAGCCTGCGGGACCGTGAGCCAATTACACCTCTTTTCTTTATAAATTACCTAGTCTCAGGTATTTCATTATAGCATTGCAAGAAACGAGTCTCATTCTCTCAGGGGTCTCTGCCTCAAAAGGAATGTTTTCTTTGAAGATACTGAGGAGATGGAGGAGGCAAAGAATATAAATGTATTATGTTCTTAGTACTTCTACATACCAGTATACCATATATCTTAATTCACATACACCAAGATACTTTTTTGTTACTAAGTTTTATATCTGCCACTTCACCACACCCCACAGAACATAGGTTTATGGGACCTTAATTAATAATCTTTAAAAGAGATCATGTTTGTTTGGTTCCTTAGAGGTTTTCACATTCTGGGCCAAATCACCTTAGTAAAACTTGTAACAGGTAAGATATGTAAGTTTCTCTAATAAAGAGGGAAAGAACTATTTGTGAATTTTAAGATACTTGCAGACAAACTTTTTTAAAGAGATTTTTACCTATGGAATTTAAAAATCTGGACAATGTCTCCTCTGGATGTACATGCTCAAATGAAGATCCTTCTTTTAGCACACTCTCAACATAATGCAGATATTTAAGACCTATACAATACAGGGAAAAAAGCGCAATACCAACAAAAGAGATGAAACTCATTGATTAAATGTTTTAAATATTAATGTGGTAGCTCTGAAGTTAGAACTAAGATTTCAAATAGGTCAGGGTGACATTAAACATTATCCAAATCTTGGCTGGGCATGGTGGCTCACGCCTGTAATCCCAGCACTTTGGGAGGCTGGGGCTGGCAGATCACGAGGTCAGGAGTTGGAGACCAACCTGACCAACTTGGTGAAATCAAATATTAGCCAGGCGTGGCTGGGCGCAGTGGCTCGCGCCTGTAATCCCAGCACTTTGGGAAGCCGAGAAGGGTGGATCACGAGGTCAGGAGATCGAGACTATCCTGGCTAACAAGGTGAAACCCTGTCTCTACTAAAAATACAAAAAATTAGCCTGGTGTGGTGGTGGGCGCCTGTAGTCCCAGCTACTCAAGAGGCTGAGGCAGGAGAATGGCGTGAACCTGGGAGGCAGAGCTTGCAGTGAGTCGAGATTGCGCCACTGCACTCCAGCCTGGGTGAAAAAGCAAGACTCCATCTCAAAAACAAACGAACAAACAAAAAAACTCATATTATCCAAATTTTATCTGTAATGATTGCTTTCTTTGAATTTGTCACTCTTTCTACCAATGGACATTTTTCTTCATGTGAACCAGGAAGGATAATGTGCTGATGAGGCAGAGAGGTCTGAAAATTATGTTTCTATTAGACTCTCCTCACTCTCTGGAGAATACTGCTCGGCCAAGCTCTGTAGCTGTTTCTGGAATACAGATCTAAAAAAGCATAGACCTTACCCTCCTAACTCTACAGTATAATCTGGCAGACTGACATGCAAGCAGATGATAGCTAGATGTTGCTGTTTTCTGTGCTTGTGTGCTACAATGGGCGTCATTACAAGATGCAAAGGAAAACAGAGTAAATATCTCCTCAATATTTCTGGGGTATTGGGGGGAGTCTGGCTCACTTAAAACTTCATTTGCTTCCATTATATATGCTACATATTTTTCAAGAGAGTATGAAAATCCAAAATCAAGAAATGTTGCTGCAGTGCTTTATTTAATAAAAGTCTTTTAATATGATATCACAATAATAATAACTTGCACTAAGTACATCCAGTTATTTCTTTGCTATTACCTATGCCTCCATACCATTTACAGTGCTTTCAGCTGTGCTGAAATTAAATATTCCTTTGAATAATTACCATGCCTACTAATGGCAATAAACTAATTTGGTGGCTCTCTTGACACCGAAACAGTGAGTGGTGAAGTTTGACTCTTGTTGAGAAAAGCCCATTTAGCCCAATAGGTGGCACTGTGATATAAATTAGTAGTTATAAAATTAAAAAAACAAAAATAGACACTCATCAAGGATGGAATCACTGTTTTTTCCCCCTCAAACGACTTTATGAAGCATTAATCAATTCAGAGAAGCTAATAAAATGCCTGGAAAATGAATCCCAATGTTATTTTAATTATGGCTGTTTATTGGTAAACTGAGGAAACTTATGGGCCAGCTGTTACAGTCTACTATAGGCCGAGCTGATCAAAATAAACTTGACCATTGATAAAGTTTGGGGATATTTTGAGGCAAAGAATAAATTCTGGATCATTATTGTTTGTAGAGTGAATTATATTATTTTTCCTTCAAGAAGTCAACCCTGACAATCCCCATGTTGACATCAAGTGGTCTCTGCAGCAAATTATTTTGTAAATCTTAAAATCTTGCCAGTTCTTTGCCTGAGATGCTGGCCTCTTTAATATGTCAGAAGAGCATTTGTCTGCCACAATGAACTAACATTTATTTATATCCTAAATTAACATCAAAATAAAATGGGACTGAATCAGTCTGACTTGGCATTTAGCTGAATGCATCAGGGTTGTTTTCAGCAGTGAGATGAAGAAATAAAGGGAGAAAATCTATTTTTAGATGAGCCCAAAAGATGAAGTGTGTGCTGCAATCGGAAAGGAACCGTGTGAGGTGAGGCTAGCTGGAGACCAGAGAAGCAGTTTTCTGATCAAAAATCTTGGATAATGATAATATTATCCAAGTATAAAATGTTCCTGGAAACACATATGAAAGGCTCCTCATTCTCCAAAGTATTCACAGCTAGTGTTTCATTTGGTGCTCAGCAATATCTTAAGTAAAGAATTAGAAAACACAGGAGAATCAAGTATGATCATATTCCGATTAGGAAGCTGAGTGACACAGAAGTTGGTCTTGGCTTAGTTCACAACAGCCTTTGAGAGGAGTACATGATACTACTTTGGTGGTGGGCACTTCTGATGATCTGTCAGTGATAACTTGGAGAAGTCTGACATTAATCGAGTTCAATTCTTTGCATCGTGGGGTGACATGAAGGATTAGAAGTCATATTCTTGTTGATGTAGACTGCCTTGCACACCACCTTTGATGTCTTGAAAGACAAGGTGATGTAACAGGAAAAACACAAAGCTGAAAGTTAGGACACCTGGATTCTACCACTTCATCTCTCTGGACCTGTGTTTTTTCATTTATACAAGAATAGGGTTAAAAAAAACCTTATTTCTAGAATCCCTATAGACACTAAGTCCATTATTATTTCCTTTTTCTAATGCTGAATGTAATAGATGTTGTAAAATTTAATGACTTCATTACCACAAATGGTAAATTATATTTTATAATAAAAGGCTGAATTACTCATTAGTCACTCTGTGAACACAGCAGTGAATTTCTAGGTTTTGCTGGCATCATCAAAATTTGGGGGAGACAAGTTTGATAGGAAGAAAAATTAAAATTCATTTATAGAGAGTTTGTCATTTTCTCTCTGTCATTCCCTCCTTTCCTTCCTTCCATAGATATGAATTGAGCCATTACTGTGTACTAGGCACTTTACATGGTTCCAGGGACACAGCAGTCACAAGTCAAACCTTTATACTGCCTCTTTAGAGTTTAGAGTGTAAAAAAGAGTCAAGATAAAAAAACAACTAGAGTGTGAAAGAGATTTGTGCTTAGAGAGGTGGAAATACAGATATACACATGGAACTATGTCCATCCAATCAAAAATGAGAGCCTTCCTCCTTTTGTTTATCAATTTTTTTACATCTTACCTTTTCCAAAAGTAGTGGAGACAGCACTTTCGTGTCCTCCAAAACTCTTGTGCTAGGAGGAACATCTCTAGATATAATCTGTGTTAGTTTTCCAAGGCCACTGCAACAAAATTCCACAACTACGTGTCTTAAAACAACATAAATGAGTTTTCTCACAGTCATTGAGGCTAAAAGTTCAACATCAGGTGGTCAGCAGGACCATGTTCCATTCAAAGACTCTAAGGAAGAATTTGGCCATGCCTCTTCCAGCTTCTGGTGGTTACTGTCAATCCTTGGTGTTCCTTGGCTGCGGCAACATGACTATAATCTTTGCTTCCATCTTCACATGGTCTCCTGTGTGTCTCGTCTGTTGTCTTCAAATCTCTCTTTCTTTACAAGAACATCAGTCATTGAATTCAGAGGTCTGACTCTGTATGATCTCATTTAAACTAATTACACAGACAAATACCCTGTTTCCAAATAAGGTAACATTCATGAGTTCCAGGTGGACATGAACTTTTGGAGGACACTATTCAATCTAGCACACTGTGATTTTTAACTGTTTAGTAGCCTAAGGGTAAAGAAGATAGGGAGAAAGTAGAAGTAGAGGCTTTGTCAATGCAACTTACATATGTTTTTAAGGAAATGGAACGTGCTTTTGTAAAAATTATATGTGTACACATTTATAATGCAATGATATTATAATGATCGAATGATTTATAATATGTAGTCAATTTGCAGCTAGCTAGAATCCTGGAAAATGTTCAAATCTCATGGAGGTCAGTGCCCCCATCCTCTTTGCCCATCATGCCAGAGGAGAGTGTCCTTTTCATTGCCCTGTACATTTTTCAAAGGAGACACTAATGAGGTGGTCAAATGAGAAAAGCCACAGGAGGATGCAGAACACCAAGTCTGAACAATTTCGGAACAGAATAATTAGCCTCTGAATTATTGAGAATGTGAAGAATTCTTGACAGTATAATAATTTCACTAAATTCCTTTCCAATTTTCTTCAATTCAAAATCAATTTTAAATTTACCTGTCTTACCATTAGAGATGACATATTTAATATGAGGGACTTTAAACAATGACAACATGAAATCTTTTTACGATAGATTTGTTGCTAAACCCTGAAGTCACAAATCAAACTTTTTAAGACAAGATTTATATGCTTTCCATTTTTTTTCAGACCTTGGTGAATTTTCATTGAGAGAGAATTTGCTTCTGTAAAATGCAAGGAAAACTAATGTTCTGAAATCTTAGACTTGTCCCCTTCATGGATCAGACCCCAACTGAGTGGCAATTTTGAATGACTATGTTCTCCACTCCATAGTTTCTTTCTTTCTTTTTCTTCTTTTAATTTCTCTTTTGCCTCAGGAACCAGAAATCATTCTATAGTGAAAGCTCAAAGTACATGGGTGAATTTTTTGTTGTTGTTAGTCTGCTCTGAAAACCTACAGTAGACAAAAGTCCAAGCTTTGCATCTTATTGTACAAGTTTACATGTACTATCTAATCTAACATCATATGTGGATGCATCAAAGTGGGAGGAGGAAGTTAATAAACTAGGCTTGTCCAAGCTCACTCAATGAGTTTGGGACATACCTGAGAGTGGAATGGGAGCCTCTCTGGTACAGGCGCAGCTAGAATTTTGGCCAAATTTTATAAACTTCTCAATTGGACCAATTAAAAATGTGCTTTCTTTGTGCAGATGCACTACACAAAGTGCTCTTCTTTTGCCAGCACAGGCTGAGCAGAGCTGGATTTCATTCCTCACTCACCCCTTCATTTGGGGGCCTTCTTGCACCTCTAACCTGCACATCCTTGGGGGTAGCCTGAGGCCTTACTTTCAAAGCAGGCTTTCTTCTTCACCTTTACTGTATTTAGCTTTGATGGCTAGTTCTTATTTTCCATAATGTCTCATTTCCCTCACACAGGGAAGAAATTTTAGAACTTTGAGAAATAATAGTTGCTTATATTTATCAATAATCATTAAACAAGTTATTATCTAGCAAGTATCTATAGTGTCTATCTAATACCTAGCAAGGTACTAGGCACAGGAGGCAGTGCAACTCCGATGATTATATTAGTAGAGACTGGGTTTGGATTCTGTCTCCACCCCTTCTGGCTGTAAGACTTTAGACAAGTTATGTGAACAGTAATCATTCCTCAGAAAGGTTCATTTTAGTAACTAAGATATAGGATTATAGGGGTTTAAAGGACTAATGCACATGAAGCCTGTTATTTTGAAAACACCTAAAAAAGGTGTTTGACAAACACAAAACATTAGCATTAATTATTATGCTTTTAATGAATGAGGTATAGAAACAATAAGACACATAGGCATCAAAAATAAAGAATTTATCATCTGATGAATCCTACTTTAAGTGTTTTGGAAACAATTATTGTGTAACTTCCAAAGATTATTCCAAGGATTATAAGAGATTTTATTAATAACACAAAGAGAAGCGGCAATGAAACATTTCTTCTTTGTCTTCTTCATTTATTCATAGACACACAATTATATTTTTTAAATCGAATTTTGGCAAATATGGTTGGATATATTTGATACTCAAGATAAGAAATTGTCCATTGGCTTCTATTAATTCCAGTAGGAATAATATGATATTTAATCTACTTCTATGTGTATATGTCTATGTGGATGTATGAAAGAGAGAGAAAGGAGAAGAAAGTTCTGAAGTACTTTTAAAATTTTTTCATTCAATCTTTGTCCTCTGTAGGGACATGGATGAAGCTGGAAACCATCATTCTCAGCAAACTATCACAAGGACAAAAAACCAAACACTGCATGTTCTCACTCACAGGTGGGAACTGAACAAAGAGAACACATGGACACAGGAAGGGGAACATCACACACTGGGGCCTGTTGTGTAGTGGGGGTAGGGGTGAGGGATAGCATTAGGAGATATACCTAATGTAAATGATGAGTTAATGGGTGCAGTACATCAACACGGCACATGTATGCATATGTAACAAACCTGCATGTTGTGCACATGTACCCTAAAACTTAAAGTATAGTAAAAAAAAGAAAATAAGTAAATCTTCATACTTCCTGCTCAGAGAGAATTAACTTAGACTCTGCTGTTAATCTCTCTCTTCAGCTCATTAATTTTATACCTGCTGGGATCATAAACATTTTTAGAAATTAAATCTGAGTGGTATTAGTCTCAAGAAAGAAGATTTTCCGTTTTAAAAAATCCAGACTCTGAGATGATATCTATGGCTATCAAGTTTCTCTGTATGAAAGATTCACCTGTAAAATTGAATAGTTACTGCAGAAGGTGCCAATACATTGCCTGCAGGGATGTTGAGCAGTCCCCATGAGAGGGGCTGGTTGCCATGGCTTTGCTCTGAGTATTATTATTTTAGAAAACTCTTCCAAGGCCCTGGGTCTTGCTTTTGTGATGATGGGTTATTAGAAACTGACTTGTCAGTAAACCCAGTTCAAATCTATCTTCAGGACTGCTTCAGATGGACTTACCCGAGGATACTGACCTATGGACAAGAATGCCAATTTATATATTTGCACTAAAAAATAAGAACTGTCCAGAATACGAGGAGGCTGACATTCCCACGACGTGTGTCGTCCTTAAGTATTGGCAAACTGTCCTGGAACACTAAATAATCAGGAGAGGATTTGATTTTGGAGTGAGAATGAGGGAACTGTCTCCTTACTAGTAGGGTAGATTCCAGGAAGTGGATTTACTATGTCAAATGGAATTAACCTGGCTAAAAGTGACAATAAAAGGGCCCATCTTTCATTTCTTTTGGTAAAATTGAGATTGTAATTTATCTTATAATTGTTTTGAAAACTACAAATATATATCATTACACGTCTATCAGAATAGCTGAAATAAAAATATGACAAAACAAAATGCTGCTGAGAAGGTGGAGAAACTAAAGCCTTACACAGAGCTGGCGGAGAGCACAGTCACTGGAAAACAGTTTGGCAGTGTTTTAGAGGACTAAATATGTAATTATCATATGTCCCACTATTGCACTTTCGGGTATTTATCCCAGAGGAATTCCAAGTTATGCTCACATGAAAGCCTATACACAAATGTTCAAAGTAGCTTTATCATAACAACCAAACACTAGAGATGACCCCTATGCACATTGCATGGTGCAGCCACGCAATGGAATACTACTCAGAAATGAAAACAAATTGTACTGTTGATACATGCGGCAACTTTTATGAGTCTCTAGAAAATTAAGCTGAGTGAAAAAGTCACTCCCAGAAAATGATATACTGTATGATTCCATTTATATAATATCCTTGAAATGACAAAATTATAGAGATACCTGTGGTGATAGAACTACTCTGCATTTTTTTCTTAATTTTTAAAACTGATACGTAATGATTGTACATTTTTCTGGAGTACACGTGATATTATGATACAAGCATACAATGTGTAGCAATCAGGATAAATGGGATATTCGTCACCTCAAATATGTATCATTTCTTTGTCTTGGGAACATTCCAAATTTTTCTACTAGCTACTATGAAATATAAATTATTATTAATTATAGTTATCCTACTGTGATATCAAACACTAGAACTTATTCTTTCAATTTAACTGCATTTTTGTACCCTCTCTTCATTGCCCCACTTGCCTCATACCCTTCACAGTCTTTGGTAGCCACCATTTTACTGCCTACCTCCATGAGATTTACTTTTTGAGCTCCTACAAGTGAGTGATAACATGTGATATTTGTCATTCTGTGACTGGTGTATTTCACTTAAATAATGACTCCAATTGCAACTATGTTGCTGAAAATGACAGAATTTCATTCTTTCTATGGCTGAATAATTTTCTATTGTGTATGTACTATATTTTCGTTATCCATGCATTCATTTGTGGACACCTAGGTTGAATTTTGGCTATTGTGAATAGTGCTGTTATAGACATGGAAGTATAAGTATAGCTTCTATATGCCAATTTCCTTTATTTTTAATATATACTCAGCAGTGGGATTGCTGGATCATATGGCAGTTTTATTTTTAGTTTTTTGAGGAACCTCATACTGCTTTCCATAGTGGCTATACTAATTTACATTCCCATCATCAGTGTATGAGAGTTAATCTTTACTCACATTCTCACCAGCTTCTGATTTTTTTTGTCTTTTTAGTAATAGCCATTCCTAATGGGATGAGATGATATCTCATTGTGGTTTTGATTTGCCCTTTCCTGATGATTAGTGAGGTCGAGTATCTTTCATACACCTGTTGATTATTTGTATGTCTTCTTTTGAGAAATGTTTTTTCAGATCCTTTGCCGATTTTTTAATTGGATTATTTGTTTTTTTGTGTTTGTTTGTTTGAGTTTCTTCTCTATTGTGGTTATTAATCCCTTCTCAGATGGATAATTTGGAAATATTTTTTTCCATTCTGTAAGTTATCTCTTTACTCTGATGATGTTATCTTTGCTGTGCAGAAGCTTTTTAGCCTAATGTAATCCAATTTGTCTATCTTTGCTTTTGTTGTCTGTACTTTAGATGTCTTACACAAAAAGTCATAGTCTAGAGCAGTGTCCTGAACCATTTCTTCAATGTTTTCTTCTAGTAGTTTCATAATTTCAGGTAGTACATTAAGTCTTTAATCAATTTTGAGTTTTTGTGTATGGTGAGAGATAGGAGTCTAGAATCGTATTTCTGCATATGAACGTCCAGTTTTCCCAACTCCATTTATTAAAAAGACTGTCTTTTCCTCAGTGTATGTTCTTGGTACCTTTGTTGAAAATGAGTTGGCTGTAAATACATGGATGTATTTCTGGACTTATTATTCTGTTCCACTGGTCTATGTATCTGTTTTTATGCCAATGCCATGCTATTTTCTATAGCATAGCTTTGTAATAAAATTTGAAATCAGTTAGTGTGACACCTGTAGCTCTGACCTTTTTGCTCAAAGTTTCTGTGGATAGTAGGGGTTTTTGTGGTTCCAGTGAATTTTAAGATTGTGTTTTCTATATCTGGGAAGAATTTCATTGGCATTTTAATAGGGATTTAATTGAATCTGTACAATGAGTGGTATTGACATTTTAAGAATATTAATTCTTCCAATTTATAAGCATGCAATATATTTCTGTTTCTTTGTGTTCTCTTCCATTTATTTCCTCAGTGTTTTATAGTTTTCTTTATAGATCTTTCACTTCAGTTATATTTGCTTGTATGTATCATTTTTGTAGCTATTGTAAATGGGATTGCTTTCTTAATTTCTTTTTCAGATTGCTGTGGGTGTATAGAAATGCTATACACAATATACAACATTCTTGCATGTCGATTTTGTATATTTCAAACTTACTGAATTTCTTCTTGAGTTCTAAGAGTTTTTTGATGGACTCTATAGGGTTTTCTAAATATAGCATGATGTCATCTGCAAGCAAGATAATTTGACTTCTTTCTTTCCAATTTGGATCTCTTTTTATTTATTTCTCTTGCCTAATTGCTCTAAGATTTTCAATACTATGTTGAATAAAAGCAGTGAAAGTGGGCACTCTTATTTTGTTCCAGATCTTAGTGGAAAAGCTTTCCATTTTTCCCATTCAGTATAACATTAGTTGTGAATTTGCTATATATGGCCTTTATCATTTTAAGGTATGCTCCTTTCATACTTAATTTGTTGATAGTTTTTATCATGAAGAAATGTTGAATTTTATTGAGTGTTTTCAAGCATCTATTGAAATGATTATACAGTTTTATCACGTGTTTTAGTTTGCATATGTTGAAACGTCCTTACCTCCCTGGATTGAATTCCTTTTGACAATGGTGAATGATCTTTTTAATGTATTTATGCCTGAGTTTGCAATTTTTTGAATTTTTGCAATCAGACCATGGCAATAACCTTGAGCAGTAGGATATAAATAACTCCCACATGCTTAGCGTTCCACTGATGGAACACTAGGCATAAATGGATTGCACGGTTAGTTTTTGGTTTTCTAGTATTTTGTTGAGAACTTTTGTATCTCTGTTCATCATGGATATTGGCCTATAGTTTTTTGTTGTTGTGTTTCTGTCTGGTTTTGGTATCAGAGTAATGCTGGTCTTATAGAATAAGTTTGCAAGTATTCCCTTTTCTTCAAATTTTTTTCCTATATGTGTTTGGTAGAATTCAACAGTAAAGCCGTCATGTCCTAGGTATTTTTTTTTTTGATACGAAACTGTTTATTACTCCTTCAGTCTTGTGGCTTGTTATTGGTCTACTCTGATTTTCTATTTATTCTTGGTAGGCTGCATGTGTCCAGGAATTTTTCCATTTCATCTAGATTTTCTAATTTGTTGACATACAGTTGTTTATAATATTCTCTAATCATCCTTTGTATTCTGTGGTATCAGTTGTAACGTCTTCTTTTTTGTCTCTGAATTTATTTATTTGGGTCTTTTAAGTTAGTCTAATTAAATGTTTGCAATTGAAATTTTTTTTCAAAAAACCAACTCTTTAATTAATCTTTTGCATTTTTTAGTCTCAATTTTATTTCTGCTCTGATATTTACTTTCTTCACTACTACCAATTTGAGGTTTGGTTTGTTCCTATTTTTCTAGTTTCTTGTGGTGTATTAGTATGCTTATGTCTTTCAAATTTTTTTGATGTAGGTATTTATTGCTATAAACTTCCCTCTTAGTACGGTATTTGCTGTATCCCATTGGTTTTGGAATGTTGTACTTCATTTTAATTGTTTTAAGGAATGTTTACAATTTCTTCTTAATTTCTTCATTGGCTCATTGGTTGTTCAGGAGCATGTTGCTTAATTTCCGTGTTCGTTGTCTATTTGCTAATAATTCTCCCCACCCTATCTACTACCTCTCACCAACACAAATAAGAAACAAACAGAAGGCTTTTGTGAGAAACTTTTAGTGTGTATACCACTGGAGATCATTAGAGTCCTATGGAAGCATAGTTTATATTAGACCAATGATATCATTTTTCTAATTGGGCAGATTGAGGACCACAGTAGAGACATAATTTGAACTACAAACTGTTTTTACTGGTGAAGATTATTACCACTGGTTTTAATCTTCCTGTTACTTCTCAGGGCAAAAGAATGATTGTGATAGCACATTTTAAGGGCTCTTTGCTGGTAGAAAAGAGATATAATTGAATCCACTCTGCCTTATGTGTGAGGACACATACACACTGTCTCACACTTAAAGAACATACTTACTATTTTCCCTTTTAAAAAACAATGTGCATTTATTCCCAGGATAATTTGAGAAATAATTAAAATCGGTAAAGAAGAAATTAAAAATCATCCTAATTTTTCCACTAATTTTAACAATAAATATGTGAATCTGTTAAGAAGTTACACCTATATTCTATAATTTTAATTAACATTTTTACATTACTTAAATTCAACAGTTTTTTTTTTTTTAAAGGAAGTAGTACTGGTTATAAAGACAAATACTTAATGCAAGTGGGGCTTAAAAACCTAGATGATGGGTTGATGGGTGCAGCAAAACACCATGGCACATGTATAGCTATGTAACAAACCTGCACATTCTACACATGTATCCTGGATCTTAAAGTAAAATTAAAAGAAAAAGAAAAAGAAAAAAAAAGACACAAAGATTGAGCTTCAGTCTATAAATCTCTCCACTTGAGAATTAACCTTTATAAAAGATAAGCTTCTTGTTAGTGGCTTCCTTCTTCTGCCAAATACCCAAAGACTCACTACTAAGTCAATGCACTTTATCTTTCCAAATTAAATCCTCCTGTAGCGAGCCTGATAAAGATGATGTAAGTAGTTGGCAAAACATGATTTTATCTTCACTTTTTAACTTACATTTTATTGAATTGAATGCTCTTCATCTTCTTATTTTATTTTTGGCTTTAAGAATCATGGTTTTAAGTTCATTAACCACCATTATTAAACTAAAGTATATGTAAATGAAAACGGATTTTCCTCTGAGAGAGCATACTTTTTTATGCATAAAAAGAATGCTTTTCATTTTCAAAGAAAAAGTACTATTTGCTATTCAGATACATTTTAGATAATTTAAAGGTATCTGCCCTACTTTCTGTGGGCCAGAAATCTGCTTACATTCTTCATGTTATTGGAAAGAGCTGGTATGAAAAGGCAGTGGAATAGAAAACTGCGGTGTAATGAGGACAAAGATGGGGGGAAGAGAGGAAATTTAGAGACTAGGAATTTTCCTGACTGTCAATCAATGACATTCCCAAGAAACACCCATTCCATTAAAATGATCTGCAACAAGTGATATAATATGGTTAATTAATTGTCACTAATTACATTAGGGCATTATGAATTGTCTAATTTAAAACAAGGAAAGCTTCCAGAGACAGATTATTTCATGACTGAAAGCTAACCCAGAACCACCACACATATTAAAGGACCAGACATTCTGTAGTCTATGGCAAAACACATGTCTTCTGGTATGAAGGGTGCACATGTGATTCTTGGGAGGAAGGCCCTTAAACCAGGCTATGACTTACCAAGAGCAGAGTCTATTATACAGGACCCAGCCTTCTAGGCAATGTTATGAGTCATTACTCTTTAGAACTTACTGAGGTGAGATGGATTTCCCAATTTAATTACTTGACTAGCAGGTTGGTGTGATTACTACAGTCGATCTTTGAAACAGGGGTACCAAAGCCAGGTAAACCCGGGGAGGAGACATTTACCTGGACCCTAAGTAGGAGACCAGTAGGCAAGTTGGCACTATTTTGGCTCCTGCAGGCAGGTGAGTCTACCCCAATATTGGGTGAGCCAAGAAACAAGGCCTTAGGCTACACAGCAAATTTGAATTTCCCCATAGCATGCCTGACCAACGACATACTTGTTACCCCTTCCCTTTGTCCTTTCTTCTCTAATGCCATTTCACTATTCTCTTGACCATTTTATTTCATTTCATTTTTTTGCTCTGAAATATATGTTTCACTTGCAGTTTTTGCTTTAGCTTCTTGTTAACTGTATTTGGTCAATTGTTTGATGCAAGACTCTTGGTTGTGAGATGTCCCCCTTCGTGTTGATTCTGGGATGCCAATCGCGTTGTTCAGCGGCACCAACTTGGTCTTTGGGGTTCACTGGTGGCTGTGAGATTTTCAGCATTTGGTGTGGTGACCCTTGTTAACCGATACCAAGGTACTCTGGGTTTTTGCATTTGGTATTGTAGGCTGCCGCATGGATGCTCTGGGGTTTTGGGTAATAAAATTCCCTCCAGGATTGTGAGATTAGAGCCCCAGCCTAGGGAATCTTGGTCTTGCCTTTTCTTGTTTTCTACCTTAAAGTTATTTTCTGTAACAGCATTTTATTTTCATATTGCCACTTTATTTATACTTTTCTTTCTACACTTTGCTTAATAAAAATAGTTATTTTTGTCATATTTTGTTCACTGGCAAATACTTATAATTCATTTGCATAACACGTTGCTAGCTATAGATATACCTTCTCTGCAGGAAGTGAAAATCTAAAATGGAAAAATAACAATAGCCCAATTGCTTTCCCTCTCGCTAGACTTAGAAACACTTCTGTGTCCAGTAGAAATCATTGTTAGTCCTGAGGAGCATCCCATTGGACTTGCCATTAGGGTGTCTTTTAGGCTATTGGAAAAAATTCTATTATAAATATTATAAATAGCAAATGTTATTTTATAATTAGATTTGTTCGTAAATAAAGAAGGAAAACGGGAAGAGATCCCTTACATACAGGCTTTTATGGCCCTTTACTGACTCATGTTTCTTCCAGGGACCAGAAAGCCACACTTAGGGGATCTTCTCCTAGCCGCTCTCTGTAGAAGACTAATGGCCTCTCCAGAGCCTCCTCAGTATCCTAATTGTGAGGGGCACTCCTGCCAGTTCTCTAATGCAGGAGTCCACTCCATGATAATAGGTCACACCCCTCTCCCTTATCCAAGTAGCCTCAGCCTATATCCCCTGCTCCCTGAGAAAGTAAGCCCAACCGTACCATCAGAAGTAGAGCTACGTATCAGCTCTTGAAGTTTAACCTATGTCCATTGTGGGAAATAGCTGATGGAAATGGGGAAACCCTTAGAGTACATCTGCTATCTTCTATCTGATTTGGCTTTATACAAGGAGAAATTTGGCTGGATTAAAAAAAATCCAGAAAAGTTTATCGAAAAAATTGTTTTGTTGACCATTTTGTTTAATTTAATTTGTCATGACTTGCAAGTATTGATGTCCACTTGCTTTGCCACAGAAAAAAATGGGGAGGAAAAAGTCTGTGGTTAAGCCAGCCAATTGTGACAAAGTTAGAGATGTAACTCAGGGAAGAGGTGAAAATCCTGCTCTGTTTCAGGATTGTTTGGTTGACCAAAACTCCCCAGAGGGGCAAGTGTTCCATGTATGCATTTTGTTATTCAATCTGCCCCTGTTATTAGGAGAAAACTGCAAAAGGAGGATATGGGACATCAAAACCCTGTGAGCAAACTCTTAACACATGGCCTTTAAGGTTCATAACAATAAGTACAAATGAGGTAAGAAAACCCAAAAGAAGCAGCCAAAAAGTGCAATTGTTAACAATTGCTTTAAGTCCCCTACCCTCTCAGGGTTACCCATCTCAAGAAAGTGTCACAAGATTGGCTTTTGGGTATCCCAGTTGAGAGCCCGCAACTTGCCGGTCCCTGGGCCAAATCAGTGTGCCTGCTATAAGCAAAAAGGCCATTGTCAATGAGAATATTTTACACATCCCCGTTGAGAGAGGAAAAGATTCCTCATCAATACTAGAGCTAATCTTATTCCACTATCCCCAGTGAGCTGACTTGCTCAGGTAAATTTACTAGGGGTCTTGGACCCTTGACCTGACAGATAGCTTCCCGCAGTGGCAGACAAGCAGCTACCCAAACATTTTCTTCAGTGTCTCTACTGATGGGTGAGCTCTCTGTTGGCTCAGGGACTGAAAGGGCTCCCCTTTAGCAATGCAGTTTGCCCCCTCCCTTCCTTATTTACTGATATGGGATCCTTTTCCCTCACTCTTCCTGCCTTTCATACCTATTGGGCCAAACAGAATTTGGCCAGGTAGACAGGTCCCATTTTTGTCAATAAGTTTGCTCTGGCTGTCTTATATAGGTCACTTCATTTGTGTAATGTGTTTTGGGTCTAGCATGCTATTAAATTGGCTTATAAATTAAAAAGTGCTCATATATTAAAGAAATAAGGCTAGCCTAAACTTGTTAGTTTGAAGGAAATTTGTGTCTTCTAACATTTAAATTTAAGATTTTTGCCTAGGTAAACCAGTGATGTTTTCAGCCTTCAAAATAGTTAACATGGCTTTAAATAGTGAGTTTTTCCGTGGTTTTTAAATCTTAAAATTGTAAAATGGTTCTCATAAAAAATGCCAATGTCTAATAGGCAATTCAGGATTTCCTGCTTCCTAGGTTTATGTACAATGTGCCAAAGAAGATATATTTTTTACTGGGAAAAAAAGTTTGTCTAACTTGGAAGTTACTAAAAGTGAGGTTCAAAATATAAAGAAACCAATGAGTAGAAAAGAGAGCTGTGAGGAGCGTTACAGGTGGCAGGTGTATTTTTTGAGGGGAGGGATATTAAAAGAGATTTATTTTGTATGAGGAGGGATTTTGTGTGGTGGATTGTTGTCCTAGAATAAAGTGACTGGTCATTTGGGAGGGAGGTGGTGTAGGACAGGTCCTTGAGTCTAGACATGTCATGGATGGTCATTATGGGTCATAATGAAGTTTGGGAAAGGGGAATTTGTGACGGGGAATTTTATGTATGATTACGCTGGCTGCGGTTGAAGGGATGCTGTTTGTGGTAGACTTTCTGCAGAATGGGCTATATATTTTAACTAGGCTTCTTTAAGGTATTGATTTA
Source organism: Homo sapiens (assembly GCF_000001405.40). Classification (NCBI taxonomy): domain Eukaryota; kingdom Metazoa; phylum Chordata; class Mammalia; order Primates; family Hominidae; genus Homo; species Homo sapiens. The sequence goes on from NC_000002.12 coordinate 13,071,031, forward strand.
TTAAATTAGGGGAAATTTTGCTTCTAATACAATAACTAGTGTCTTTTAAAACTTCTCAGATTTATGTCTCAGAGGTTCAACTATTGTGTCTTGCTGCTTTCAGCTCTTTCTCCCTTTAACAAAGCCTGGGATGATGGCTGACCCTTTTAGCTGTTTCATTAGCTCCTCTGATTATTTCCCCTCCAGGCCTGCCTATTGTTGCAGCCTGACGCTAAAGTGTATTGTCTTGGAGGCCTATGGGAGCAGGGCCTTCCCTAAAGATAGCGTAATTCTATGCTCTTGGTTTTTCTTAATATACAAGCTTATTTTTGTCTTTAGTTTTTGACTCTAATATTGCTTCAAAATATATTAAGGGCTAATGTGCGCCTACCCACCCCCATTCCCACGTGGCCTAGAATGTTTAATTTGCTATAAGTCTTTTGACTCTAAGTCCTTAGGCCAAAGGAAATACCAAAAAAACTTAGAAAATGAATACAAGCAATGATGGAAAACAAGGAATTATATATATATTTTATATATATACATATACACATATATATTTTATATACACAAATATATATTTTTATATACAAATATATATTTTTATATATACATATATACATATATGTTTTATATATATACATATATATCATATATACATATATTTTATATATACATATATAATATATACGTATATATGATATATACGTATATATTTTTTATATACGTATATATTATATATACATATATTTTATATATACACATATCTTTTATATATACACATATATTTTATATATACACATATATATTATATGTACACATATATTTTATATATACACATATATATTATATATACACTTATATTTTATATATACGTATATATATTTTATATATATACGTATATATGTGTGTGTGTGTATATATATTTACCTAATTCTGCGCCTCCTATGTTGAAATTTAGGCCATGTTCAAAAGGCCTTTCAAAGTGATGAAGAAAGAGTATTGTCCTTTTCCAGAAAGGAAAAAAAAAACTGTGTTGTTAAAACAAAAAACTTAGTCTTACTAAAATCTTAAAAAGAAAGATTTGGGCCGGGCGCGGTGACTCACGCTTGTAATCCCAGCACTTTGGGAGGCCAAGGCGGGCGGATCACCTGAGGTCAGGAGTTCGAGACCAGCCTCAACATGGAGAAACCCCGTCTCTACTAAAAATACAAAAATTAGCCAGGCGTGGTGATGCATGCTTGTAATCCCAGCTATTCGGGAGGCTGCGGCAGGAGAATTGCTTGAACCTGGGAGGCGGAGGTTGTGGTGAGCCAAGATCGCACCATTGCACTCCAGCCTGGGCAACAAGGCAAAACTCTGTCTAAAAAAAAAAAAAAAGAAGAAAGAAAGAAAGAAAGATTTGGCAAGGATCAATTACCGATAAAATGGAAGGGTCCCTTTTAGGTATTGTTAAGTACATCCATTGCTGTTGAACTTCACAGAGTTACTAGATGGTTATACTTGTCCAGATTTAAGTATTTCTTATACGTACCCTGTATTAATTTGTTCTCATGCTTCTCATAAAGACATACCTGAGAATGAGTCACTTATAAAGGAAAGAGGTTTAATTGACTCACAGTTCAGCATAGCTGGAGAGGCCTCAGGAAACTTACAGTCATGGTGGAAGGGGAAGCAAGCACGCCCTCCTTTACATGGTGGCAGGAGAGAGAAAAATGAGAGCCAAGTGAATGGGGAAGCCCCTTATGAAATCATCGGGTCTCGTGAGAACTTATAATCACGGGAACAGGAAGGGAGAAACTGCTTCTGTGATTATATTTTCTCCACCTGGTCCATCCCACAACACATGGGGATTAAGGAAACTATAATTCAAGATGAGATTTGAGTGGGGACACAGCCAAACCAGATCATTCTGCTCCTGGCCCCTCTCAAATCTTATGTCCTTAAAATTTAAAACACAATCATTCCCTTCCAACAGAATTCTTAACTCATTTCAGCATTAACTCAAAAGTCCAAGTCCAAAGTCTCATCTCAGAGAAGGCAAGTCCCTTCCACCTATGAGTCTGTAAAACCAAAAGCAAGTTAGTTACTTCTTAGATACAATGTGGGTACAGGCATTGGGTAAATACGTGGCAGAAGGGAAGCAAACACATTCTTCTTCATATGGCAGCAGGAAGGAGAAGTGCCGCCCCAAACGGGGAAAAGCCCCTTATAAAACCATCAGATCTCTTGAGAACTCACTCACTATCACAAAAACTGTAGCCTGGAGGTAACTGTCCCCATAATTCAATTATGTCCCACAGAGTTCCTCCCACATGTGGAGATTGTGGGAACTATAATTCAAGATGACATTTGGGTAGAGGCCAGCAAAATTATATCATTTTGCCCCAGCCCCTCCCAAATCTCATGTCCTCACATATCAAAACTCAATAATGCCTTCCCAGCATACCCCAATTTCTTAACTCATTTCAGCATTAACCCATAAGTCTAAGTCCAAAGTCTCACCTGAGACAAGGTACGTTACCTCCCCCTATCATCCTGTAAAATCAAAAGCAAGTTAGTTACTTCCTAGTTACAATGGGGGTATAGGTATTGGGTAAATTAATCCATTCCAAATGAGAGAAATTGGCCAAAACAAAGGGCTACAGTCCTCATGCAAGTCCAAAATTCAATAAGGCAGTCATTAAACCTTATTATTCCAAAATGATCTCCTTTAACTTTATGTCTCACATCCAGGTCACACTAATGCAAGAGGTGGGCTCCTACAGCCTTGGGCAGCTCCACCTCTGTGTCTTTTCAGGTTACAGACTTCCTCTCGGCTGCTTTCATGGGCTGGCATTGAGTAATCTGTAACTTTTTCAGGCACACAGCACAAGCTGTCAGTAGATATACCATTTTGGGTTCTGAAGGACGGTGGCCCTCTTCTCACAGCTCTCCTTGGCAGTGTCCCAGTGGAGACTCTGTGTGGGGGATCAAACCCACATTTCCTTTCTGCACTGCCCTAGCAGAGGTTCCCCATGAAGGCTTTACTCCTGCAACACACCTCTGCCTAGACATCCAGGCATGTCCATACATTCTCTTAAATCTAGGCGGAGGTTTCCAAACCTCAATTTTTGTCTTCTGTGCACCTTCAGGACCAATACCACATGGAAGCTGCCAAGACTTGGGGCTTGCACCCTCTGAAGCCATGGTCTGAGCTGTACCTTGTCCCTTTTTAGCCATGGCTGGAGTGGCTGGGACACAGGGCATCAAGTCCTGAGGCTTCACACAGCAGGGGGACACTGGACCCAACCCACTAAACCATTTTTTCCACCTAGGCCTGTGAGGTTATGAAGTGAGGGCCTGCCACAAAGGTCTCTGACATGCCCTGGAGACATTTTCCCCATTGTCCTTGCAACTAGCATTTGGCTCCTTGTTACTTATGCAAATTTATGCTACTGGATTAAATTTCTCCCCAGAAAAATGAGGTTTTCTTTTCTACTGCATTTTCACGATGCAAATTTTTTCAAAATTTTATGCTCTGCTTCCTCTGGAACTCTTTGCTGCTTAGAAATTTCTTCTGCCAGATACCCTAAATCATCCTCTCAAGTTCAAAGTTTCATAAATCTCTAGGGTAGGAGCAAAATTCTGCCAGTCTCTTTGCATATCAAGAGTGACCTTTACTCCAGTTCCCAACAAGTTCCTCATCTCCATCTGAGACTACCTCAGCCTGGCCTTCATTGTACATATCACTATCAACATTTTGGTCAAAGCCATTCAACAAGTGTCTAGGAAGTCTCTAGGAAGTTCAACAGCCTCTGCCTGTTACCCAGTTCCAAAGTTGCTTCCACATTTTCAGGTATCTTTACAGCAGTGCCCACTGCCCAGTACTAATTTACTGTATTACTCCATTCTCACATTGCTAATAAAAACATACCCAAGACTGGGCAATTTGTAAAGGAAAGAGGTTGAATTGACTCACCATTCAGCCTGGCTTGGGAGGCCTCAGGAAACATACAATCATGGTGGAAGTGGAAGCAAACATGTCCTTCTTTACATGGCAGCAGGAAAGAGAAGTGCTGAGCAAAAGGGGAAAAGCCCCTTATACAACCATCAGATCTCATGAGAACTCACTCACTATCACTAGAAAAGCATGGGGGTAACTGCCTCTATGATTTAATTACCTCCCCCAAGGTCCTTTCCATCACAAATGGGGATTGTGGGAACTAGAATTTAAGATGAGATTTGAATGGGGACACAGCCAAACCATATCATCCTCATAGACATAAGGGGAGGACACCATGACCTACACTTGTGAACTGTGAAAGACCTAAAACTATTAATTTACAAACGCATAGATAAATAACATCTATGGGCATGGGAACATTAATTTTTATCTTTCTTCTAATTGTAATTTCCTTGTTTATTTAATCTCTTAGTAAAGTTTACATCTTCTGGTTTCCACATAAAGACAATGCTGGCACAAGGATTCCAGCCTCTTCCGTCTTCTGACCTAGAGAATAAAAATATCCTCCCATTGGGCTCCTTATATCAGGTATCTAGAGACTTTTATTTCTCCAATGCTAGGCAAGGTTTACACCCATAAAATCAGCAGGAAGCCCTTACAAAAGATGGACCTCCATGCTTCTGCAACCCCCTTAAGATTAAGGAGGAATATCTAATCTCTGAGGGGGGGAATGAAGCAGGACTTGTTTTCTGGTCAAAACATTGCTGACGAGAACATGATCTGGTCCAGACAGCATAAAGTAAAAAAAACTAGCAGGAACCAGCAGAAGGTAACAAAAATGATCCCTAGCTGCTCTCATTGCTCATTAGCATAAGACACTTTCACCATCACTACTACAGTTTCTAAACCTCATGGCAGTGACCCAGAGGTTTCCACTCTTTTTCATGGGAATGACCTGGAAGTTACCACCCCTTTCCTAACAAGTTTACAATGACCAGATCCTTAAGTTATATTCAATTTGAAAGTGGGGATAAGTGGTTATAAATACAGGTGACAAGAGCCCATACATAGCTGGCTCTGGGCACATTGCCTATGAGTTCTCCCTGTTCAATAAAAGAGTGCTATCTGACATCACTAGCTGACCCTTGAAATTTTTCCTGGGCAAAGCCAAGAACCTTCCATGCTAAGCCTCAGTTTTGGAGCTGGCCTGTCCTGCATCACTTTTGACTTTGCAGGACATAAGTTTTCTGTTTCAATTAAAACTGGTGCTGTTGCCTGAAATCAGCCATTGACATTACGTAAAAAAATTAGCATTGCTATGTTCCCATTAAGCTTTATCTATGTACACAGAAGTTTGAATTTCACTTTCTTTTTATGTAGCACAAAATATTATTCTTTCTCTCTCTTTTTCATTTTATATCAAGATATATCAATAAAATAAGGTGGAGTTTTAATACGATGTTTCAATTGAGGTATCCACAAGCCACCAAGTTCCACTGTATAAGAAATTACAAAATCAGATCTTAAACATAAGGTAGAAATTGTAAAATACATTTCCATATTATCAATCTTCTCATTAATTATTCAAGTAGAACCTGACTAGGGAAAGAGAGAAAATGTGTACACAGTTTTCTTTGGAGGAAGCTGTTGCCACAGTGTGTGGTGTGAGAGGCTGCCATCTCCTCCTACTCAAGCTTAGGAGGGGCTTTCGAGAGACACTAAGAGACCTGAAAGGTATTTATAAGACATTCTAAATTGGTGCCCAATTAACACCTGAAGTTAGAGCTGCCTGTGGAAGCGGGATAGAGATGACTGTGCTAAGATTCACCACACTTCCAGAACCACAGGCTCCAGGATGCTCATATGTTTCCTGGGCTCATATGTAAGCCAATTGGAATAGAGAGCAGGCATAGAGTCATAATAGGTCCTGCCCAGCCACTGAGGAGGGTTTAGAAAACCTCAAGACAAGAATTTGAGGATGAAAGCCTATGCCAAGGAAGAAGAGGGATCTGAAATAAAGATGTATTTCCTCAGTATAAAGGAAACTGCTGGAGAAAACTAAAAAAAAAAAAGAAAATTTTCAAAGAACCCACAGATTTGCCACACAAATATCAATTCTAATCATGTGTATACCTAGAGCCATCCAGCCAAATAAAACGAGTTCCACTGTATTATTTCCCTTTCTCTACCACGTTACAAATATGCAATACTAAATAACAGCTATGGAGTAGGAGAGACGTTGAGGAGACAGACAGATGGAGAGAGAGAGAGAGAGGAAGAGAGAGAGAGAGAGAGGATCACTTCCTGTGAAGGCAGACTTCAGGCAAGCACAAGCTATAGGTAAAAGGGGGTGGAGTTTTATTCTGAAATTATTATTTGAAGGAAACATTCATTTACTTCAAATATTTGTTAGAAATATTAAAAACTGAGTGGTTTTTTAAACAGGAAAAATGACTATATGATTATGCAGTTACTTAAGGATGAGCTTGAAAAACATGTATGGAATCTGCTTACATTTCTTTTTTGGAAGGAGAAAGATTATCTACATGTAACACAATTTATAGTAACGATGGTAGATAAAATTGTGTTTTGTTATATTGTATG